>NC_000018.10:28411206-29036206 GCF_000001405.40 Homo sapiens | reverse complement strand
TAGATACATTAAAAGTAAACACCAAAATTGAGAAAAATGTTTTGAGACTACATCATATGTTTAAAAAAATGTGGCAGAAACACACATAGAAATTAATGGCATTGTCTGCAATTTTGTCATAAAGATTATAATGTAATTCTATCAATCATTAGAAATCTAAAAGTCAAAAATTAAATTGCCACACAGATAAAATTACAACAATAATTATTTGATTTATAAGTGGAAACATGATTAGAAGGTCTGGGAAACAGGGTATATGAATAGGCTGTGGCCTTGTTTGTGCCTCTAAATCAATATTTAATCTGTAGGGATCTGGAAACACAGTCACAGAAACAGCTTACTGGGTGGAGATGGGAAAACACGGAAATACACATATACAAGTTAGCCAGTCAAAGACAGGAGATTACTTTATCTATCTTTGGGGTTCGATGCCTAATTAAAGTACAGATTGATTCTAACAGAAAAAAAAATCTCTCTGTTCCAAAGCTATTTCTTGCACAAAGCCAAACACTTCCCAGGAAATTAGTACTTCACAGACAAAATGGATTTTGCCATGTATTTAAATATTTACACTTGTTTTGAACTAAAGAAATTGATCAGTAATAAGTACCCAGCTCTACCTGTGCTGGTATATAGAGACCTTTCTCTATATAAGAAGAAAAAGAAAACAAATCCAGAAATATGGCAACATTCAGCATTGAAAAGAATAGGACAAAATGAGAATGAGAGCAAAAAATGCTCTGTAAGGATAGTCATTACAAGAAGAAGAAGATAATTATTTTTGTTTTAAGAAACTTAGAAAGTATATTTCATTGGTAAATCCAGAACTGGTTCTTATGAAATGGAGTAGTAACAAAATGAGGAAGTTCTTGGAAAGGCAAATTACAATTGCAGGTTTTTGTTTAAAAAGCAAACAGTAATAAATTGAATAAGGCAGAAAAAATAATTGAATTAAATAAATGAGAATTCCAGGAAAGTCTCATAATTCCAAGCATAATAAAACAAAAGGAGATAGAAGTTAGGAAGAAAACGAGGAGTACTAATTTAGGAAATCTTACATATAGGATTTCAAATGGAGAGAATGGGGCTGAAAATGGAGGGAAAAATGAATAAGCTAAGAAAAAATATAAATTTCTGAGTATAAGATATTTAAATCTTTATTTAAAAAACACAGTAAGTATCTGTCAAGTAAGTCACAGTCTGTAATATTTCTAAATTGCATGAACACAAAAAAATTATAAAACCATTCAGACTAAAAAATTAGATTATCCATGTAAAGAAAATACATGAAGACTAATTATTTACATAATTAAATCTTAGAAGAAATGGGATAATTTCAAGCATATATTTACTCAGAAGACATGTCATTTACATTATCTTTCTGAAAAAAAGTGTATTTTAAAAAGTAATTATATTTGCATTTCTTTGAATAACACTGCACATATTTGTATCCCAACTAGACCTTCTCTTCTATGCCATGCCTGTGCAAAACTCTTGCCAATATTACGAATAGATTTTTATCTTTCTTGTATCGACTTGTTAGAGGACTCCCACATTTGATTGCCCAATGTGCAGTAACATTCCAATACACTGAAACAACAGGAGTTGCAGCAGAGAAAATGTTTAATAATCAAAAGGCAACTGAGAAGATGGGAGGAAATCTCAAATTCACCTATTTGAGTTTAGGCCTGGGTTTTTAACGGTTCATGATGGGTAGGAGTTTGAGGCATATGGGTCACTGATTGATCAGAACATGTAGGATGAAATTATAAAGATGAAGACTGCATTCTTGTGCTGAGTCAGTTCCTCCTCTGGTGTCTTCAGACTAGCTGGTATCCACAGATCTGTGGGAATGCAGGATCTGGAAATCATCTCAAATGAAAAATCTGAGTTTTCTAACATTTAAGATGCTATTTATAGAAACAATTAAGGTAAGTTAGTGTCTCCTGACAGAGTGTACATGACTTTCAGGCAGTGAGTAACTATAAGAAAGTGAGCTAAAGGGAAAGCTGGCTAATGCTTAGCTATGTTTCTATTCAAGGCTTATGCTTTTGCTAAAATGTAATAATTAACTTTTATTAAGTTCATGAGGAATGGTTTCAGACTTGTAGAAGTTTTTTTTATATTCTGGAAATATTTTATACATGTTGCAAAAGCGGCACGACTTTACCTGTTTTTATTGTATACTTTCATACATAAATTTTTTTTATTTTAAGGAGGTTGCATTTAGCAATTATTTTCTTTATCATTTTGCTTTTCTACCTGTTAAAAAATCATTTCTCGGCCAGGCACAGTGGCTCACACCTGTAATCCCAGCACTTCAGGAGGCTGAGGTGGGCAGATCATTTGAGGCCAGGGGTTTGAGACCATTCTGACCAACATGATGAAATCCCATCTGTACAAAAAATACAAAAGTTAGCCAGGCATGGTGGCACACGGTTGTAATCACAGCTACTCAGGAGGCTGAGGCATGAGAATGGCTTGAGCCTGGGAGGTGGAGTTTGGAGTGAGACAATATCACATCACTTACTCTCCAGCCTGGGCAACAGAATGAGACTGTCTCCAAAAGACAGAAATCCATTTTTTGAGGTTGCAAAAAATATTTTCTTATATTTTTTCTATATTGCCTTCTTAAAATTGTAAAGATTTTCTTTTCATATTTATATTTTTAATCTACCTGGAATTTATTTTTGTGCATGATATAAAAAAGAAATTTAATCTCGACCTTTCTCTTTACATAGAGATAATTATGTATTCCAGGACAACATGATAAAAAGTTCCCATTGGTCCACTTCTTTAAAATATGTTATGTCTTTTCTCCATTTGTTTCTGTATCTCTTCACCAACACTCTACTCTCTTGATTACTATACTTTTACCAAAAATCTTCATGCCTAGTAGGGCAAGTGTTCCTCTTTAAAATTATCTTAGATACTTGTGATTCTTTGCACTTTCATATAAACTTCAGGTTAAAATAATAAATATAAATAAATACATATACATTTACAACTACAAACACACATTGAATTTTGATTAGAATTGCATTGAATCTATAGATAAATTTTGAAAGGATTTATATTTTTTGATTATTGAATATTTCAAACTATGAATATGGTAGATTATTTATTTAGTTTTTTGTTTGTTTGTTGTTTTGTGTTCATTGAACAGCTTTTGTATGGTAAATTCCTAAATAACTTGTATTTTTGTTATTTGAAACAAGGTTTTTTTTTTTCATTTTTAACTTAATGAAAATTTGTATAGAATGCTTCTGCTGTTTGACTATTAAGCCTGTATCCAACAGTTTGAGAAAACTCAGACTGTATTCAACAGTTTGATGAAAGCTTATTATTTTGGTTGTTGATTTTGTTTTCAATCTGCATAGAATTTACTCATTTGCTTCTGCACCAAACACCCAAAATTGAAAGAAAATGTGATAACAGTCATCTGCGTCTTGCTCCTAATACATAAGGAAATGCTTTCAACACTTCACTATAAAATATTGTGTTTACTTTTATGTAGATAGCCTTTATCAAATTAAAGGATAAAATAGTGAGACATTTCTTTAAAGTAAAATGAAAGCCAGAAAATAAAAAGACCAGTGAATCATGAGTATTCATGCTTTTGCCAAGGGGGGGAAAAAAGAAACTATGTAGTTGCTATAGTTACCACTTTAAATAATACATTATTGAAAATTGTTCTCTCATTAATTGGCTTTCTGGAATAGTTGACGTATCTCTAGAGAGCATCTGTTAAGTACAGGTTACACTAGCTTAAATAGTATTTCCAAAAAAATGACTTGTCAAAGTCTCAGAGATTTATTTATGCTTAAAGTCATATCGTTTAATATCTAGCATTTCAAGTCCTCATTCCTAAATAGGTGGGTCCTACCACCATAATAAAAGTTGAAAACAAGGAGGGAAACATCACACAAATTCTGACATTTTTCTTTAGAAATTAATATTTCATATACTTATTGATTAAAAATATCTCAAGGCATCAATTTATGCCTAATTAATTATTTACAAGATATTGGGTGCAGTCCAAAATCTAAGATTTTATAGGGGGCGTATGCAACATTTTGAAATGAAAAAAATATTTTTTAGGTTAAAACTTGTGGTCCACAGGAAGAATTACTAAGTATATGTAATCCCTGAAGGAAAAACATTAGAAGTAGAAATTATACTTGCCTTATTAAAAAAAAAATTGGCTATGTTACTACTAATTATATAAGTGACAACAATTGTCACAAGTTATATCTTTAATATATAAGCAATCTACTTTTATTAAGCTCATTCTTTAGATACTTCTCTCAGGAACTCTTCTGTTACCTTCCATTGTTATTTTCTATGTATAGGGTGTTCATGAAATGGAAGCTAAGTAAGTTGGTTATATAGAAATAAACAAAAAATAACTTTCTGGAAAAATGGTAAATTAAAATAATTTGCTTCCGGATACTTTGTTTCTTACATTCGGTTCCTATGACTCTTCACTATAGTGGATTTCCTTCCATATTTTTTTTTATATTGTCTGTTGATTCTTTACAACAATCCCATCTCAGTTTTTAATTTGACATAGTCAGAGTGGGTTTCTATTTCTCATAAGTAAAAGAAAGGAAAGGAAAGTGCTTCTGGCAAAACACCATCTACAACACTTATATAAATAATTTGCCCATTTTGATATTATCGATATTTTTATATATCTCAATATAATAATATTTAATGGTGCCATAGAAACAGAACCACTTATTTAGACTAAAAATTACACAGATAATACATTTTTAGTTATCATATAAGTAAATAGTGTAGTATCTAGTCAAGCTTGGTGCTGAGATAAATAACTATACCACATAAATTACTTTTAAATAAATAAATAGTAATATTTATCAGGGAAAAACATGTATAATGAGTGTGATAGAAACCAGTTGTGTTCATTTAATCTATTTGGGTGCATTAATTCTAAATAGGCTTTAAAAGAAATTCATGTTCTAATTAGTCTCCTGCAACCCATTATTATCTTTGACTATTGCATCTAAAATCCTGAATTATAATTACTACTGCTAAGGTACTTACCAACTTTTAAGTTTGGTTAAACTCTTCTCAATAATATATTGAAAGTGCCTTTTTTAAGTTATCATTATCTTTTTAACTTAAGTTCCAGGTATTCATGCCACTTCATTTTGTCTAATTCAAGCAGCCAATAATGACAATGATTTTTTCCCCCATCAAGAATTCTCCTACCTCATCTTTTAAAGTGCCATCCTTTATAGATTTTCTCCTGATTATCATCAGCTCTCCACTGACCTTTACCCTTCTCGAATAAGCAAAGGGCTTACAATAGCGCGTGAATTATAAAAAGCATTAAATAAACTTTCACTATTATTAGTAGTAATACCAGCATTTTCTTTCCTTCTAATAAAGATGAATGCCCTTCCAGCACAGAAATTTCTCCTATTTGAACTTTGAAACCATAAATACACCACGACCACCATCTTACTTTCCAAAGGAAAGCCCATTCCATTGTTATGTGTCCCTACTCTTTAAAAATGAATAACAATTTTGCATTTAATAAATTAAATTTAATCCCCCTCCAATTTTGGGCTCTGGTCCTAATTATAGACTCTGGAATTGTGTATTTTTTTTAAGTAATCCCTTTCTCACATTACACATTTCCTTTATTTAAAGACAGCCATCATGATACTTCTGAATATTCGCCAGTTTAAACACCAATAGCACATATATATTTTCTCATTGCGTGTCAGAAATAAAACTGACAAGACAGAAATTTGGCAGATTGCTTTAGAAAAATGAGGCTCCAGCAGATATCTGAAGAGTGGATTTCCTCCATCAAAGCAGTATCTTGTTTCTGCTCTTCTGTCTCTATTACAAGCACCATGCATTTTCCTTTTTTCTAGCTTATTAGTTTGTAGCTATCTCCCACATTGCTGTTAATTTAACCCTCACCAAAATTCTTTCCACTTGCTTCCACCTCTGGATTTTTGGAGTATCCAGTCTTAACATTCTTCTTATTCTTATTCTTATTATTTTATTTTATTTTATTTTTTGAGATGGAGTTTTGCTCTTGCTGCCCAGGCTGTAGTGCAATGGTGCGATCTTGGCTCACAGCAACCTCCGCCTCCCGGATTCAGGAAATTCTCCTGCCTCAGCCTCCCAAGTAGCTAGAATTACAAGTATGCATTACCATGCCCATCTAATTTTCTTTTTCCTTTTTTTTTTTTTTTTTTTTTTTTGGTACTGATGGGGTTTCACCACGTTGGTCAGGCTTGTCTCAAACTCCTGATCTCAGGTGATCGGCCCATCTTGGCCTCTCAAAGTGCTGGGATTACAGGAATGAGCCACCGCATCCAGCCCTTCCTATTAATTCTACAGAAATCTACTAGTCTCCTTTTACATTATAGTCTTTCTTTTCTTTAAATTTTTTGGTTATATTTGTAGTTTTCTAAAATATCCTCTTTTAAATTTAATTCTACTACTTTCTTTCCTCTTGCCTTGTCCCTCATCAATGTAATAATCTTTTGATTGACAGACAGCTTTCTTTTCAAATATATTTTTCTTCAAGGTATGTTATAATTTTTGATTATTTTGTGAATTCTCGTATTTCACAGGTCAAACCATGTTTTCTGAAACACAATATGTGAATTCAACTAAAGCATGATTGAGCAACAAAAGCTTCTAAAGTAATAGCATTTCACATTACCCACCCCAGAGTTATAGATGACTTCCACAGAGCAGGTAGTATTTATAAACTCAGCTGTAATAGAAGAAATGATAAGTATGATATTAGTAATTTGAGTCAAGCAGGTGTGTTTCGTTTCAAAACAACCAAATATAAGCAACCTCAAAGCGGCAAAAAGGTTTATTTTCTTTTCAAATTTAAGTTCAAATTATTTGTTTGGAATCTGAAATTAACTTCTCCCAAAAGAACCATTCCTGTATGTGGCAGCTTGTTTCTGCAAATCAGCTCACAATTTATGTTTAACCTATTTTATAAAGAAAACACTGTACAATTCCAAGAAGCGATAATAAAAAATGTATAAAAATTGTCCAGTCACAAATTTAGTGAATACATTAAACCTAAGAAAATAATAATTACTTATCTTAAAGGCCAATATTGAAAGAAAAGATTGACAGGTGGTCCATTTTGCTGGTGACTATGTATAATACAAAAATATTTAAGCCATATAGATATACCTGAAATATGCTTATCAAATTTTGAAATCATTAAGGAGCCAAGCAGATCAGCTTAGCAATAAGAATTATGGGGCATAAAAAGCCGTGTAACATAGTCCCTCCTCACTGTTGAGGCAGTGTAGGAGGTGAGGCTTGGCAGTCTGTTATGATATAAGAAAAAAGAATCTATGTGGTAGCAGAGAACTGAAATGGAAAGAGAGGAAAATTCCACCAAGCTTGCTGACTCATGGCCAACTATATAGGCTGCTCTCCTACAGATGGTTAAAGCTCCATAGAGAAAGGATGCATGAAGTGTGGGAGGGTTCTCCAGGGCCTGGAATCAGCATCAGAGTGGCAACTAAGAGTCTAAGTAACAAGGGATGTGGAAAGAGGAATCAAGTGTGAGAAAGAAGAGATGTATTCTCCAAGCTCAAGGTGCCTACCACCTACTAAGAGGATGGGCTAAAGTATTAATGATGATACCAAGGAGTAAGCTGCCTCCTGTCACTAATTGGACCCCAATCACAGACCATCACATATAGAAATTAAGAATACATTTTTTAAAACATAGAGGCAGTGTGGCATACAAAAACAAAAACAAAAACAAAAAGGAAAAAACAGTAAGAATGTCCAAGACCCAGAGCTAATTTTTACATGTTGTGGTATTGAGCATATTTCTCTTTTTCTCTTAACCTCTGTTTCTTCCACAAAATATGGCTAATTCTGCCCACTCAGTATAACTTACAGTTATGAGATTCAAATAAGACAATAGAAGTAAAAATGTTTATGATAAATTGTAAAGTGCTAAAAAACATACAAGGCCATACATTGGAGGACAAAGTAATTATTTCTGATAACCTCACTGGATATTTTTTGAAAAGTGAGTTCCCTTATTTACTTAAAATACAAATCCATTTATTAAAATGATTATTATATAATAGACATGTTTAGGCATACATCTATTTTATAAGTAGGATTTCTGACTGCAAATATATAAGAGAATGGTACTCAAGTTAAAAAGTGTACTTTTGTTCATCTGTAGCATTCCTAGTTTCAATTTGATTGTTTTAGATACTAAATATTAGCCATAAATATTTGATTGTTTTTCCAACTCTCTAATATCTTCACTCCACCCAATACTCTACTTGCAGACCAGGCTGAACTCAGTTTCAGAACTATTCTTGACTAAATCAAGAAGCAGCCTCAGTACATCTGTGCCTCATTTAGGGGGTTTGGCATTCCCCCACTCTTCTTCAACTGGCCAGAGGCAGCTTCTATGTGGTTTCTGGGACACAGTGCCGTGGGGGGGCCTTGCTGTTGGCTCTACGGATCTGAGGAGCTTGTCTCTCCCATTCACTGACACTTTCAACCCCTGTTTCAAGTGCACTCTTCATTACCTGCATCCAGTGCAGCATATAGTACTAAGCACTCAATAATTGTCAGTTTCCTTCCTGTTCTTCTACCTCACCTTCAGATGAGGACTAAAATCCATCTTACTTGCCAGAGATCCTCGAGACTATAGTTTTACCTTAAAACGTAAGCTTTAGTCTTGTTATCTTTGTACAAAGTTCTCGAGCCTGTTTACCTGGAAGGCAATAACTGAAAACGCAACCTAGATTTTTGATACTATGTACAATCCCTGTTTTTCCATCTGTAACCCACATAATAATATTTTCTTCTGTATGAACCAAACTTCATAAAAATTACACTTTGTTCACAGGTCCGCTTGTCTGAAATTCCATTGTTTGGAACCCCAATCATTTGGCAGGTCTAATGTCAGCCCCTCCAATTCATCTTCTCAGTCTTTTCAGAAAAATCACCATGCCCACAATAAATTATTAGATATAATACCCAAATCCAAACTAATGAAATATATATACACATGCATGGGTATACATACATATATGTGTATATACATACCTATATTTATATGCATATACATAAATATGCATATAAGTACATATATTCATATTATATAGTTACAGGTATTCCTTTTTTTTACAAAAAAACTCAGAGACTATCGTGAAATGTAGTATAATTGCCATTTAAGAGAACCTGAAGATTTAAAAATAAATATTTTTAAAATCTGTTGACCCTTAGAAGAGTTGTTCTTGGAAAAGGACCAAGCACAAACCCACCCTAGGCTTGGCAATAACTAATGCTATCTGCCTGTCATTTTTATAATAACCGAAATTGAGTGAATGTGCCTTTGCAAGGAAACAATGATGATGGCATATTTCTACAAAGGGCAAATATTTGTAAAACTGTTATTTTGAAATTAGTGAACTTTATTTTTATATTAGATATACATAAAAATCTGGAAATGTCATAGCTTCTCCGAAAGTGCTTTCATAGCAAAAATTAATTGTTTTGCTATATATCTGATAAACGTAATGTTACAAGAATGAAAGCTGTCTGAATATTTTACATAGATGTAGCCATCTGTTACATAGAACACTATGAGCTCTATTAGTTCATGAGCTTAGTCTGAATTGTTTTAAAAATAAATAACTCATATATATTTAAGCAATAAATTCAACAGAAATACAAGCAGAGAGAAAGTGTTAGAGAACACTAAAATGGTTGTGTCTTCACTAGGCAGTGGCAGTGATTTATTACAGGGCTCCGTCAATCTGAAGACCTCTAAAGATGGAGTCAAAACTCATCTGTCTTCCTGGTAGATAGAATGTGAAGCAGCTTAGAAAAAGGCAATAGAGAAGGGCAAGGTCTGTGGTGAAATGGAGAATGCATGCCCCATCTAAAAACAGTTTAAAGAGATTTATTTGGTTGGTTGTTTATTTGTACATTTAGTCTCACAAACATGAACACAGAGACACCCATCTCAATTGTTCTGACCAAACAAAATGTATCTGTGAGCCAGATTTGACAGATTTGCAGCAAAATTAAGCAGCAAATATCCAATGGAAAAACATATCTAAAGTAAAAGTATAGATCCTTTTAAAAAATTGTTTTATTAAGATCTATGTTAAGCAGTAAGTTCTGTTAGATTGTGGTATAAAATTAATGATAACAAATACTGTTATTTTTACTACAGAAACAAGAAAAAGTTGAAGAAAATACAGAAAAAAATTATCAAAAGTGTTTACAAGAGTCATTTTGTGATTTGATCTAGCCAATATATTATAGGCTTGCAACTCTCCTTTCTTGAATCTAAACACATTTTCTCATTAGGAATAATTTATGAATGTATCAAAATAGCCTTATAAAATTATCACTAAATTGTGGTGCCATTTCTTGAAGCATTACTGTTAAGAGAAATTACATTTTAAAACAAGTATGCATGTGTGTGTGTGTGCACGTGCATGTGTGTATGTATTTATTCTGCAATTCCAAAGGAAGGTTTATTCAAAAAGTATAAAAAGTAACTATTATTTCTATCTCTCAAAAAAAAGTGTGAATTATTTGCTAGCTTACAGAATTAAATAGAAGATACAACCTTTGTAAGTTGTAATTATGGTACTTTTTTTGATATATTACTGTAAGATTCAACAAACTGAATGTTATCTTATTTCAAAGATAAAGTAAGCTTTTGAGAAGTAAGAAGCAGTTTTACGTTCACATAGTGAGTAGAGAAATGAGTTCAATTTAGAGTGTGATTTTCCTTATTTCAAAGCACATACTTTTTACCTATTTTGACTACCTTATAATTTTGTCTGTGGTATGCACTATATTAACATTTGTGGTGAAATTTTTTTTTCCTATTTCAGGTTGAACTAAATTAGCTATCATTAGCTCAGACAATAGGAATATTTTTGGTTTTAATATGTATTATATTCCAGGTTTAATTAATTGAACTTGATTTGACTCATTATTTTGTCATTTTTGATAATTGTTTAAGTCCATGTATTTCTGAAAAAAATACATAAAAATAATTAACTTTGGAAACCAGAAAACAATATTTAGTGATAGGATTGTGTGGAGGCTGTTGAGGAATGGAAAGGTTGCCTTCTATAGGGATAGACATGTCCAATTCAATGAGAACTTCCTCACCTCATCTGTGTGTAAGCAAGGCACAAATATTGAAACAAATATATTTGTACCGATTATATAGTCAGTTCAGAATATTGGAAACAGCCACCCTTCTCTGATGACTTTTATCTTTAGAATTCATATTTTGGGCTCAATAAAAAACAATTATTTTCTCTTTTTTTTCACTCTGAATACAATCATACCAATGTCTCTCCCATTTTATGACATAGATGCTGATTCCAGGTGGTTAAAAGCAGAAGAAGGTAGCTTCAGCATTATGTTTAAATTATATCTCAAGAGCTGCATGAAAGGGAATTTTTACCTCTACCAAATTAAATCAACTTTATTGGTTACATGTGACCTTCTCTCTCAAATTCTTTGAGAATAGCTAATTGTGAAAGGCAAAAAATATATGTTCAGAGAGATTTAAAAATTTTAAAGCTCTATAGGAGTTTATGAATTTTAAATATAAACAATTATATGAGGATAACTGCAAATAAATCAGTGTGCTGTACTGCATTTTGAGTAAGGAAACATTGAGTTGTGCTAACTTTTCTTTCCACCTTTACTTATATTTGTTTAATTAAGAGATGAGTAACAGCCCTCTCACCCCCAAAGAAATATCTGTCTCCCAAGACTGTCTGAATGAAAGTTTAGAAATTTATAAACACACACACACGCATACTCTTCATTACCTGCATCCAGCATACGTGTGTGTGTGCATACTTATATATCTCTTTCCCAAATCCTCTTGGAGACTCTTCTGTGCAGAATACCTTCAAGCTTAATTTCCAAAGTACCAAAACAGATATAAACAGGTAATTGCCACATAATATTAGAATGAATATTTTAAAAAATAATTACAACCTAATTAAATTATGTATTTCTCTCCTAGGTCAATGTAATTTAAATAGAATCAAGGAAGGAAGTAAATGGGTTCAATTCTCACATTCAAAACCACCTCACAGTGACCACTCAGGTGTGGAATTTTCTAATTAGGAAAAGTGCTCCAGACTAAGAGTATCTCTCTAGGAAAAAGAGTAAGATAAACAGCAGATATTTCCCTTCTATGTACTTTGTTATTGCCATAATGTTTAACTAGAAAAATATATGAGCTTTGAGTTTTGAGTTTGATATGTTTATGAATAATATGTGATTAATTACATTTAAACCTGAGTTCTACTTGCTTTCTCAATTAATAAATATAATTATATGCCTCATAATGATATTTTAGTCATCAATGGACCTCATAATCTCATATACGATGGTGGTCCCATAAGATTATAATACCATATTTTTACTGTAACTTTTTTTATGTTTAGATGTTTTGACACACAAATACTTACCATCATATTACCATTGCCTACACTATTCAGTACAGGAATGTGCTGTGCAGGCTAGTAGCCCTGGAGCAGTAGGCTATAGCCTATGCCTAGGTGTATAATAGGCTATACATCTAGGTTCATGTAGGTGCACTCTATAATGTTTGAATAACGACAAAATTGCCTAATGACGCATTTCTGTAATGCATCTGTATATAGCAACTGTCTTCTGCAGAGGCCAGAGCACTTACAAACAAAATGTGTTATCAATTAATGTAAGCTGTATATTTAACAGCATTACTTTATTTAAACATTCAATATTTTTCTTTCTAAACAAATTATTTTAACTTACTAGTGTTGATATTCTTAATTATATTGTCATTTCAACATGGTTAAATGTTTTATCTTACTCATTTAAAAATAATTTTTCCTACTCTACACCAATTTATATTTGAAAATAATTGTTTTACTATACATCACATGGGTAATAATATTTATTTATCTAAAATGTAATGAATAAATAACTTCTCATTAACAGATTAAAAAAACAAATTGAAACTTTTCTGTAAGTATTATTTAAATAAACAGGTTAAAGAAATATACCCTTTAAAAATAAGGAAGTTAATATTTGTTATATATTCAATAAATATCCTTGTGTAAACTTTAGAAATGCTGTTAATACTTTGCAAAATATTGATTTATAGACCATTTGGGAAAAGGAAGGAATGATTTATTATTTATTTATCAGAGATGGAGATAGAGTAGCATTTTAGATATTTCAGAAATGGTTTTCCACTTGGATGGTAAAGGCAGTGAATGAAATTTGTGATTGTATTTTTTTGCATTGAGGCACTGTGTGCTTTATTTTTAATTTGGTGCATAGAAACAATACTGCACAAGCACTTCTAGTCACCAATCATTTTTGTGATCTGTAATGCAGTAATACATTTTAATATGAAGGAAGGTAAGGAATTAGGGTTACCATTTCATGTGCCTATATGATTCATCAGTTCCTGTGAAAGGAAGTGGTATGAATAAAAAGTAGCTAAGAAGTGAATAAAATAGCAAAGGGAAGAAGGAAAGGATTCAAGGAATAGAATTAGAAAAGACTTTTAGTGAAAGAAAGCAAAGCTAAAGTGGAACTTTAGCAGGAACAGAGGTTCATTTAGTCTGAATTAAAGGCCCTTAACAATTTGTGGAAACTCACATCCTGTCACAGACTAAATATAAATGTGTCCTCAATTTATTAAGTTATATATATATATATATACACACACACACATATAGAAAATATGGATATTATATGCACATATATGTTAATATGTATCACAATATCTATAACCAATTAATAAATATTTTTGAGCTCCTATTATAAATAAGACATTGTCCTAAGAACTACGGATATGCTTGATGAAAACAATGAACAGCTAAAATAGATGAACAATAAAAACCTAAACACCTAAAGGCAAAATGGATGATGAGTTTTCCAAGGATATCCATTAGAACTAGACAAACATTTTGAAGCGCTGTGTAGAATTAAGAAGTAATTTTGGTATGTAACATTTTTCATTTAATTTCTACTTTCCCTTTCAGTTAAAAGTATAAATTCCATAATAAAAGCTACCATCTTAAGAACTCATTTTGTACTGAGAATCTGCAGAAAATTATGGTCTTCACCTACTGTTCTCCAGAGGATATTGTTTCCTTTATATCATAAACAGAGGATTGCTTCTTCATTGCCAGATCTCAAAAGAAAAAGAAACTGGTCTTTCTAAGGGCATGGTTTCATAATAGTCAACGAGAAAAATATTAGCTAAAGGAATTGCTGCTTTTTGTAAAAAGTTTTTCAACTTTAAAGTTTCTTTATTTAAAAAAAAAATCCCTTAACCGCTAGCTAAATCTGGAACACTTTTTAAAAAAGCCTAAGGATCTTCAATTACTATAAATCTGGAAGACCTACAGAAGTCATTGTACATCATTTTTATGCCAATAGATCAACACAACACTGTTTTACTATTAAAATGCATTCTTTAAAATCTTGTAAGTTTAATGTTCATCAAAGGGGAGGAAAAAATTATTAGAGTTTTATCAATGTCTTTATAATAAACCCAAATAATTTTTTTAAAAAAACTGTGCTAAACTCTTCTGAGAATTAGTGGCTGGTTCATGCCAAAAAATGGTGATATGTAAATTTGTGAAATTTGTTTTAGCTTTCCATATTTGCATCTTATGTAACCAATCACACACAGACATTGCTTTTTCAGAGTGTAATTTGTAATTCAGATATAAAATCAGTGTGTTCTAATAAATGTTTAATAACTGCAGCTTAAGGCAAGGAAGTTGATTTTTAATGTTTATGTAGGGCTAATACTCCCAGCATGGCTAACCTGAAGTCACCAAGTAACATCACTGGTAATGCTGTTGGGAAGAAATGCACACAATCCTAAGTCACTAGGATTCAGCACAGCACTGGGATATTTGATCTAATATAAATTGCTGTCCAACATCATTTTAGGAACCACTAAACAAGAAATAATGCTGCCAACTAAACTATGACAAATATAAAAAAAATTATTTGACTTTTTTTTATTATGCACTTATTGAAAAAACTCTTTAAAACATCCTCTGGCCCCAGAAGTGTTTCCTATCCGCTATTCAAATTCAGAGAAAGAAAGAGACATAGAGAGACAGAGACAGAGAGAGAAACAGAGCAAAAGAAAGAGACAGAGAAGAAAAAAGTCAGGATGGGTGTGCTATCACAGCCTATCGACACCAGATCTAAGTTGCTGCCCCCCGAAATCTTGGTTGCCCTGCGATGTGCTTGCCTTGTGTAAAATTCATTCCAAGGATGTTAAGGCTCACGCTTTACAGAGAGGGGTTAGTACAAAGGGACTGCATTGACCAGACCAGGGAGGTTCAAAGTGGAGAGGGGCAATTGCCTAGCCCTTACCTTAACAGTGGCTGGGCTTCCCCCTTGGGGGAGTCAGGGTTGGCAGCAGCAGATATCAAATGCAAAGTAATTGTAAGACATCATATCACAATTTCAGAGTTGTTGAAATCTGAAAAACATAGCCTTGGAATCAATAAGATATGATGTATTAAATGCAGCATTATTGATAGCTAAAAATGAGAGAACACTTAATATGTACAAAATGCTCTGCAGATATTTTAATTTTCTTTGCATTAAAAGCGTACTTCAGAGACTTCCAGTTTCAGGTCCAGCATGTAAGCAGCATGGAAACCATCACTTCTGGCTTCACAACAAGAAAAAAGAAGCAAACTAAAAATTAACAACTCTTCAAAGATTCTTCTGAGAACTGAGATCACAGAGCAAGCCACCGCCCCAACAATTGGAGAGAAAGACAAGCAAATACAGAGAATCTCAACTTATGGGAGCAGAAGCCAAGGAGCAAGAAACTCCGTGAGAACCAGTGTCGAGGTAAGAAAACTTAAACTATAATTGATGAATTGCTGGAGGCTTGGTGTGGACAAGTCTGAGAATTAAAATCTCCAAGGGAACCCAGTGAGTATCACTGCCAGAAGCCCTACGAGGAAGAAAGTAGAAGGCAGACGAGAGAGAGGAAAGGTGAAAACAGAGAAGGTAAAAATGGAAAAAAAAAAGGAAGGAACACAATAAAATAAAAGCATAAAAATAAATCTGTTGCTGACTTAGAACACCATTCTAAAATTTTGGATCAACAATGTGCTAAACAACTGCAGCATTTGTGAAATTAGAAACAGTCTTTAAGGTGAGAGCAACCAATATCCATTTATTTAGATAAATTATTATTTGAGTAGCAACATGTCTTGTGTGCAAAACCTTTCCTATGTGTTCAAAGGAAATGATAATGAGAAGGAAAAACTAGGGCTCATTTCTTTCCTTTATTTCTACAGTAACTAACATCTACATGCTTCAGATTGCAACACAAAATGAGATTACAAGGCAAATAGAATATTTTTCTCTTATTGAATAGTTACAGCATTGAAACCTAAGAAAACTCACATTCTAGGGGAATGAAACCACAAAAAGGAAACAGAAGCATTCACTCAGACTCCATAGACTCAAAACACTCTGGAAAGCAATTTAATCTGAAGAACATTTAGAACCTTGATTAAAGTCATTGGTTCCTGGCCATCACTGACACCATTATATCAGTGAGTCCAGGTTCACCGTCAGCCACATCAGAACAATACTGCCTTCAGGGAAATTTTAACACCCATCCAGTTATATCCTAAAACAGTTTCAATACACAGACTTCAAAATTATGATGATGAATACATGAAAACAGAAAAAGTATATGGCACATTGATGAAAGAGCTCCAAATTTTGCTGTCAGCTCCAAACCAATGAGCAGAGACAAACTGCTGTGCCCTAAGGAATTGCTAGAATAGCAGATAAAAATAGGAGAAGAATAAGCTTCTTGAGAAAAGCCTTTCTAGAACAAAAAGTTTAATGTTATTCTTATGTTCATCTCTTTTGCACCATTGTTTAAATTGCACAAAAGTGTTACAGATTGTTTTTTGTCTCCCCACCCCAGCTTAAAACAGTTCTCTTTCTCTTCAAAATGTCATAATGCCCCCAGGTTAACAAATATACAAATATATGAGTGCCCAGTGTATACCACAACACTATGATCCTTTGTTAATTAGATGGAATTTAAAACCACAAAATATAAAGAGATAAATGAAAGCAGCTTCATGTTTAGATATATATCTCCTTCTAAGTATATCATAAAATTAATTACTTCAAGTTAGCAGATGGATCAGGTTAAAGTCATAATTTAAGTTTAAGGCCAACATCGAAAAGGTGAGGAAAGAGGGAAGTCTTGTGTGTTAAGAAATAGATATTGTGAAATAAAACACTATAGATTGTTGGAGCCAGGTTAAATACACCTAATTTTGGCCTAAATCAGACTTCCAAGAACAGTTTTCTAAAACCTGTATTTATGAAAATGATTAAACACTTATTAACTAAATGTGCTTCTCCCAAAATCTATAATAAATAAGTCAGTAGTCAAGATGTGAAAAGTAAAGGACTGTGCTTATTTCATTAAAAAGCATGGTCCTGATGCAAGCTCGAGGCATTGCATTGTATGGAAATAGCATCCATCACTGCCACATCTGAACACAGGAAAAGAACAAATAAATAGACTCACTATGCTGGATGGGATCCTGAAAATCCGTATGTTTCCACCAGCTTTCACCTGTGCTGAGCTGCATTCTTACCATGCTGCAGGGGAAAATGTTTACCTTTTCTTTAAAATCTATAGTATACCAAAGAAGAGAATAAATCAATCTGTTGCCTCTACTCACACTACTTCCTGGCTTTTGACAACTCATATTTAGGAAAATTGTTTTAAAATTCTAAATTCAAGATTTTTTTTTCTGTATGCAACCCATGTTCATTGTAGAGAAATTTTTGTTTCATGGTTTGCATAATGGGCCTAAGAATAACCATAACACTTTGGAAGGAACTGAATTATTTGAATTGTTAAGCATTCACCATTGATGTGTGACTAGGTCAACTCTAGACATAAAGAAAACACTAATAGACTGAATCTTTGCTTGGACTCAGAAAATAGTTTGCCTTGTTTCTCTGGATATCTGAGTAGAAATATTTCCTCAGGAAAAGAAAAATATAAGATTATTTCAGAGACAAGTCAGAAAGGATTCTCCTTCAGGAAATAGAGGGACAAGGAACTGCTGAAGCCAGGGTAATATTTAAATGCTACGTACTCACTATATCTAAGCAGCCACTTTTGAGGATAGATGCCTTCCGCATCAGAACATATGCTAGCTCAATGCAGCACTGACTGTACCAGTGGATGCCAGTTGATATCCTGGCCAGATCACTGGTTCCAGGATAGCCCAGTTTATCACTTGGATGGGACCAGATAGACACCAGCCCAGCCAACATCAAAGGCCAGTGGGATTGATGGACACTCACCAGTACAATGAAATCACTATATGCAGGTTTGTCTCAAAGCTCTGGATTGCCCACCTAAATTGCTTGAGGTGCGTGTTACAAGTGCAGATTCCTGAGTCTTGGTCAGACTTTCAGAATAAGAAACTATGAGGCTTCTTCCAGGAATATGAGATATTATGATGCATTCTGGATGATTTTGATATTTGCTAATTTAGAGAACAAGTGTACTATATATATGGATCAACTTAACAGACATATTCAGGAACAAAGTTTCCAAGTAAATTATCTCTGTAGAGAAGAGTAATTGGCATTATTTAAGCAAAACTGACATAACCATCACATAGCCAAAAGAAGCAAAGAATATGTAAGTGTAAGAATATTGTTCTATGTTAAAGTGACAATAATAAAATTATATTGTGCTCCCTAAGTATTTTTCTATATTTTTCAAGTTATTAGATACTTCCATCAACTCTCTGCTTAGTATGATATGTTTCCTAAATTTCTAGGTAGAAACTTAAAGCAATTAAAATATTTAATCAATTACAGGAATATAACTAATGCATGTAATTTAAGTTTAATCCTTTTTCAATTCTCTGTGAAACTGAAAATAAATACTTAGAGTGTTTTATTAAGAATTCATCTACTCCATGCCACCACATCTGGTGAACAAGAACTGTCTAGTCCCTGGACATATGTGCTCTGTTATAACACTGGTTAATTCATACTAGAGAGAAAAAAAAGATTCCTAAAGTTCTAGTTCCCTGTTCTGATTTCCTACATTCCAAGTAACTGCACAGTTGCAAATTCCAAGTTTTCCAGATTATTTGATACTGGGAAAGTCTGTGTAGTGAAGGAAATGTTTATAGGTGTGAAAGTGGTTAATCTCCAGTGTAAAACTCTTAATTGGCATTGTCTTATACAACAGTCTCCCATGAGATTATTTTGTGTTGACTCCATTATATTGATTGACATTCAATAGCTGGGCAATAATCATGTTTTCATACCTCTTGTCTAGAGTAACAAGTCCATTTGATGACCCGAGGAATACACTGCTTAAGAATGATTTCTACTCATCTCTTCGTATCCCTAGATGGCATCACTAACTCTTCACTTTCTCAATGCATTATCTCTTCCATTGCTCAATAAATTTGTAAAGGCTCCAATAATAAAAATCTTTAACATAATAATATCAAAAATATCAACTTGAAAATAATTGCATGGGTCCCTGTGCTAAGGTACCATTAATGATATAATAAACCTTTTCAAAAGGAAACCATTCCTTTTCTCTTCTACTTTTACTTTAGCACCATGTTACTTGTTTCTAACATGTTTTAATTTTTCCTAATTTTGATTTGTGCAAACTTACTGTAATATATTTGGGGTTTTGAGATGCAAGCATCAATTTATTTTACTATCATCCTGTTTAGCAATAGTCACATGTACTTCTTAAACAATGTAAGAATATATATCTCATCTGTCCAGCCTAGAGTAATTTTCTTTTCTCACCATGATGCACTTTAATATTTAGAATCTACCAGCTACTTTTAAAATTTATTCAGTCATTGATTTTTTTTCCAGTAAACATTCATTCATTCAGTAAACGTATTTAAGCACTTACCAGAATAGCAGGTGATGAAGATTGAGTCAAACTATTGGTGAGGACTTCCTTTTCTGTTAGCATTCACAAAAGAAATAATATTTTAAAACTAAGGCTAAATGCATTCATTTGTTCATTGCAAAACATTTGTTGAGTACTTACAAGACTGCAAACTATTTTCTAGGCCTTAGATACATTGTAGATTTTAGGATCATATAACCTAGGTATTTCTACATCCATGTCTGTTTCCTCAACAAATGGTAGATTCTGGTTATCTCTAAGGAAATCAGGAGATACGGTCCTCTTACATGTCTCTGGTCTCTTGCATTATATAGTATTATGTATAGTATATACAATATTTATATTGTGCTTACATATACTATGCTTTTGAAATGTAGCCTTTCTGATATTTTGCCAGTGACAACCCCTGAAATGTGGGTTCTCATTTAAGGCAATTCAATATCCTTAGATTCTAAGTGTGAGCTATCCAGCACAAAAGATATTGTATTGGGTATGCTTTAAAATACACAAATGACCTTATAAGAATGTGTCCTAATAGCTATTTATTTCATTCCTGATCTTTCCTTCTCCAATTAGCACATTGCCCATTCTCCACAAAATGCCATACCTTCTTACAAGTGTCTGTATTCCACAAAAGTCTACTGCTTCCCTGGGGAAAATTTAACCTCCTCCCAACAATAGGAAGCCTTTTCTCTTACGTTTTCCTAAATCCTAGGCCTGAAGTTGAACTCAGGACTCCAGTTGTGTGGCAACAATAGTCAATTCGGTCAAGACTTGCAAGGTCTTAAGTGAAACATGAACTTCAACCTATGAGCAGAGCTTCCTGAGAGGAGTAGTTGTTGGTAACAACTCTCACATATATAAATATTCGCTCAGATAACACAGTCTCATTTCATATCAATATTTCAGTTACATAATATAGATACAATGGTCCTCCATTATTGCACAAGGCATTATTAGGTTCTTTCCTGCTCATGCTAAGGCTCAGTGTTACACACACACACACACACACATAAAAGTATCTGTAGCTTGCTGATGCTTTGCTCATTTACCCAATTGTACACTGAACAAATAGAAATTGGCTATCTACTGTGTGTCAAACACTGTTCTAGGATCTGAGTATCAATAGTGTCTAGAAGATAATTAAAGTCATAGTCTTGAAATAGATTTGGATATCAAACATAGATTTGAAATAGATTTGGATATCAAACAAGAAGAGTTATAGGCCTCAAATCATGACATGAAGAATTATAAGCTTTAAAAGCAATATAAGAGGCTAAGCCTGAAGAGGAGGCTAAGTTTGTTGTTGTTGTTGTTTTTAGAGACAGATCTTGCTCTGTCATCCAGGCTAGAGAGAGTGTAATAGTGTGATCATAGCTCACTGCAACCTTGAACTCCTGGGCTCAAGTAATTCTTCTACCTCAGCCTCCCAGACTGCTGAGATTATAGGCATAAGCCATTGTGCCTGACCAACATTTTTTTAATATAGGTATACAGTCCAGCAAGTAAAGAAATAGAAAATGTTCATTAGATTCACTGACCTGAAGATTACTGGTGATGTTGCTGAGAAATGTCTGGTCATGTAATGGAGGAGGTGGTGAAGCCAGATTGGAATAGAATGGAGAGTAATGAGGGATGAAGAAGTAGACTTGGTGAATACAGAAAACTCAGTTTAAGGGAGAGAGAAAGCAGTGGCTATATGGAGACAGGTTGATGAATTAGTTTTGCTGTTCTTCTCTTTATTCTTCATAAAAGCTAACTTGTATTAAGAACTTACTCTGTGCCATGCACGCTTAAGCACTGTGCATGGATTATCTCATTCAGTCCTCTTAATCACTCACAAAGGTAAATATGAATTTTATCCTTACATTAATAAGTCACAAATGAGTCTACTGCTTACAGAATTGATGCTTGAAATGAAATGCTAGAATTTCACTAATGCGGCCCACAAAAGCTAGCTACCTTAACCACCACACTCTCTCAAAGATAGGTTCTGTGGAACCCTGCTACCTCCTTATATTGTTTTCTTCTTACTCAAGTCACACATTTGAGCTTCTTGTTCTTGGATTGTATTCTGTGTCTAAGCTATTAGCAAGACAGAATAAGACCCGACTATTTCCTGCCTTAGGAAAGCAGGATTCATAATAAGGAACATTATCTGAGCAGCAGAGAGGTTTTTAGAATATCCTGAGAAGCCACACAATGTGGCAAATGGCCTCTAAAGCCCCAAAAGATGTTACACAAAAATAAGGGAAAAAATGACACTATAATACATTTTTTCATAAAGAAATTGAAATAGTATGAAAAATAAGTATATTTGGAGTCAGAGGATCAAGGATGGGATCCTAAGTCTTCCACATGGTAATGGCATGACTTCAAAAAAATTAAACATTCTAAGGTTTACTTTCCTCTTCTATAAAATAATTTGAAATGATACGTGAATTAGATGTGCTATATAGGTAAAGGAGAGGAAAAAAACTGCTGATTTTAAAAAAGCTACAGGTTCTTCACTCTAGGGCTTAACTAAACTCTGTCTTCAGTAAGTTTTTCATGTGAATATTTCATTGTAGAGATGGAAAACATGGACTTATTCACGGCTTTTTTAGAAACTGAATACAGGGAGTAACTGCGGGTTAAGACTGTACTTAAGAATTCTGTTTCATAAGTAAGATGTTATGATAGTCTTTTTCTCTGAAAATATAATTATAATAATGTTTTAAAAACTTGCAGTGTCTTAAATAGGGTTTGTTAAATGTGCCATGTTAAAAAAAAAGAAAAAAAGCTTCTTATCTTATTTGGGGGAAGAGGGCAGGTTGCATCTCAATAACACAGAAGCAGAACAGGGAGAAAGGCAAGGCAGAAGCTCAGTCTAAGGCACAGCACAGCAGAAACAATGCACCCAGGAGCCATTTAGTTTCCCTTTTCTGCTTTGTAATTCTATTACCTTCTATGAAAGATTTGATCGCATGTATTCAATGCACAGCCTTTTATTCAGTGTGTTGTTGTGATTAAAGAGAAAAGCCTGAACCCACCTCTAGCGCAAAGCTGACTAGGGATGAGGGCTATGCACGGAGTAGTCATTACCACACAGATGGTCAGGGGGAGCTGAGGGACAGACTCAGGAGTCACAGTGAAGGGAAGGGTAACAATAAATGGCTGTGAAAAGACAGATTCTTGCTGCGATTTTTAGAAACAACTGCTGGGGGAACTGGACCTTTTGTGCTTACACAGAATGGGTCTATGGCAGACACTGGCAGTGTCCCCTTAGTCCCTTGGGCCTCACTGGTCAATCTCTGTGCAACCACTTCCCAGCTCCAGTATATTTTGCAGCTAACTACTTGTACCTTCCACTCTCAGAGGACTGGCACCTCGTCCTTACAGAGAGCCACACGTGCAGGGGATTGAGGTAGGTCACCCAGCCATAAGCCCTAGCAATGACTGAAGAGTATGGGAGCACAGCTCCGCTACTTGGTTGAAAGTCTGGACAAAGCCCGGCTCCCCTAGGAGTTCCCTGAGGGTTCCCACTGAGTCTGGGATTCAACTGAACTCAAACGATGGTCTGGCGGCCTCATCCCAGTCTGGACTCTCCTGCTGGCCCCTAGGGAACTTCCTTAACAAATTGCTTGCACCTGTATCCTTGCCTCAGGGTATGCTTTAGGGAGAACTACTCTAAGACCTGGGCTCTGCTCAAGCTGATTAGGAGAGTGAAAGGAAATTGCACCCATTACTGGAGAACTTAGAGACCTTGGACCCTTGGGATTAGTTAGCTAAAGATGCCAAACCTACAGTGGATATCGATCATCACATCTCCTTTCCTGTGCCCGCCAAAATACTTGTGTAGAAAATTAATCAGTTCCTGGCTTTCTCTCAATAAAACGGTGATAGTTTGGGGATTGACTTAGTGTTTTATAGTAAGATATCTGCAAAACATTTTTAGGTGCTTTTTTAAATAAGGAATTTTTCAAACACAAATATTTAAATCAATATTTAAATAGATTCTGGATATACCTTATTTCAAAAATGGAAATTGGGAGAATAATTTTCAAAATTAAAAAAGTTAAAAATCCAAAAGCTTCTTACTTTTTATGGTATTTACTATATATTAGTCGTGTTTTTAACTACAGTTCCCCTCTTTTGCATGGTGGCTACCTGAAAATCTAGACATGAGGTCCTAGATTTCAAAAAACGCAAATAGATGTTTGCCAAATAAATAGACAAGGCTGTTTGTACATCATGGTATATTAAGTATATTTTATTTTCCTCCTTTCTGCCAAAAATTGACTAGTTCTTGTATTAATCATGTTTGTATATACATAGACCAGAATTATATATGTACACCTTACTTTTTAAAACAAATATAGTTATATTAAATAATTTGAAAGCTGAACTTTAAAAGTAATATCAATAATGTATTGCTTCTCTCCCTTCTCCTATTTTCTTTCCCCTTTTCTTTGTTCATGTACATCACCATAGACCTATTACATGTAGATTATTTGAGTGACATAATATTATCCTTTTGCAATATATTAGTTTACTATTACTCATGAACAATCCAATTATTGACAAAAAATATATAGCTTTCATTTCAACCTGGTTATCATCCAAAATTACATCTAAGCTTGTCTCTATCACAAATATTTTTAATGTTATTATGTTATGACAAAATACAGTGCTCTATTATAAGCTTCCAGCATCCTACAGAAAATAATGGACATCACTGAAAAAAAAAATACAAGTTTTCAAGTTAAAAAAAGGACCAATAGAATTTAACATGTTATAATAGCGTTTTCACAACCCCACAAGTTGTTCTTACATTTTTTAGCACGGTTATAAAGGCAGTTAGGGATTACCTTGGTGTTCCTCTATCTCTTTAGGATGAAGTAAGAAGCAAAGGCACTAGTATCACTATAAGAGGTATACATTTTTTCATACTGCTGCACCTTTGATGTCAAACACTTAATACTACTACCTGTGATATTAAACTTTGGTTATCTCTACCTGTGACATTCAAAGTTACTGGCCCATGAGGCTACCACCAAAAAAAATGTATCTGCTGGCTTTAGCAGCAGCTCCTGCTTCTCCTGGAAATATCATTTCCTGGGCTGCCAAAATAGTACATATCTTGGTGACAGATAGGATGGACTTGACAATTAAGGCATCTGCTTGCTGGCTTCTCTGATTTCTCTGCTTCTCCTCTGCACATACTTCTCCTCCACATGGCTGCCATCAAGAAGGAAGACCAAAGAGACCAATCTTTACCATATTTTCTGGATGGCTTTAACTGGAAGTTCCCAAGCTGAAAGGGAATGATCTGCACATGGCATCCTTTGCTAAGACCACCAATGTGTAGAAGAGATGTTAACTATGTTTAAACAGGCTGACACATGTAGAAAAAATTCAACTGGAAATTCAAATAAAGATGCTTCTTGGAGGACAAAAATAACTAAGTCACTTAGAGCCGATTCTTCTAATTAGGAATGTCTGTCTTTCTCAAGGAACAATTTTGAAACACCTGTGAGTAGAGGAAGCAGTCAGAAACATAACTCCTTTTATTTTCTGCTTCAGTTTATTTTGTAGGCAGAAATATGCCCCCAAAAACCCTAAAAGGAGAAAATATTTACTTCGTTATATTGACTTTCTTAGAGTTAGCAATATGATGCCTGAACACTGAATTTAATATGGCTCCTCATTTTCTCTCATAAGATGGAATTACTTAACTGATTATCTTTTTTTTCAAACATTTTTCTAGCCCACTGGCCTGTTCCCTGATTGTTTCCTAGGGAAAAGTTGGCAGTCATTGATGTATTCTAGAGTAGCAGCTATCAATCCATGGGAATTCAGTAATATTACACTATGATTGTGTATTGATTTAGAGACTACAGTAGAATTACCACTTTTGGGTACATTTTTTTTTTCTGTTGGCAAGAAAAATAGTTTATGGACTTTGGAATAGCACTGTAGCTTTAGTTACTGTTTGAAAATTCAAAAATTACTTTAAAAATATTTATTTACTCTAAAAGGAACAACACCAGTACAAATATTACACAAAAGAAAACATCTGTACCTGAGAAAACTATGCATTTTTATATAATCAAGAAAAAAATTAATATTAAATGTATCACTTTATAGACAAAATGCAAAATAAAAATTCTACTACTATTGTAGAATTTGGAAAAATTGAAATTTTTGACATTTTATTCCTTTAGACCACAAACACTTAACAAGCACCTTCTTTGGTTTATACAGTTACTCTAAGTGTCAGAGGCACTTGAACGAAAGCAACTTCATCTTGAATAGGGCTTGGGTGAAATAAGGCCGGGACTTGCTGGACTGCACCCTCAGTAGGTTAGGCCTTCTTAATTACAGAATGAGATGGAGGTAGGCACAAGATACAAGTCACAAAGACCTTGCTGATAACACAGGATGTGATAAAGAAGCCAGCCAAAACCTGTCAAAAGCAAGGTCATGATGAAAATGACCTCTGGTCATCCTCACAGCTCATTGCATGCTAATTATAATGCATTAGCATGCTAAAAGTCATTCCCACCAGCCCCATGACAGTTTACAAATGCCATGACAACATCTGGAAGTTACCCTATATGGTCTAAAAAAGAGAACCTCAGTTCTGGGAATTGCCCACCCCTTTCCTGGAAAACTTATAAATAATTCACCATTTGTTTAGCATAAAATCAAGAAGTCACTGCACATATATTCATTTGAGCAGCCTATGCTGCCCATGACTATGAAATAGTCATTCTTTCATTCCTTTACTTTCCTAATAAACTTGCTTTCACTTCACTCTATGGACTCGTGCCCAATTTTTTCTTCCATGGAGTCCAAGAACCCTCTCTTGGGGTCTGGATCGGGACCCCTTTCTGGTAACATAAGGTTGAGAGATACAAGAATAAATCAAACACAGGTGTCTCCCCCCTACAAAGAACTTATGTACAATCAAGCAATAGAAATGAAAATGGTATACAATCAAAATTCTAGATAGAAAAGGGGAAGAAATTAAGTTTAATTTCCTTTTTTTTTTCTTTTTATTATCTTTGTACACCACAAGTAAAATCCTAAGGTCCCTAATTGACTGAACAGACTCTCTATTAGCCAAGGGCAGCCCAGAGGAACATGAATAATGAAATTCCTCATTGTAACAGGATGCGAGGTGAGACATGCTTCATCATACCCCCTCTCTTTTAGAGTTTAGGCACAGCTGACCAGCATTAATGTTAAAATGGAGATCATAAGACTAAGAACAGACTCTTTGTTGAAATAAGATACCAATGAATAAACAAGACCTGGGACTATGCAAGGCAAGGGTTAAGTCACACCCTACAAACCATAAACTCTCATTAAATTTTTGTTTTGTTTTGTTTTGTTTTTAATAACCAGGTATTAATATAATCTGATTTGCTTTCCAGCCTCACTCTGGTATAACATCTCATGATAGATAACAGACCCTGAAGGAAATCAATATATTTTACCCCAGAATATATTTCTTTGACATATTTTGAAATGGCTACAACAAGGCCAGCAGGTTGCAATGGCCACGCAGAGCCATCTTTTGTGAAAGAATTTTGCATCTGTAGAGAATCCTTATTATGTAGCCAAGCTTTTCCTTTCTAGGCCTTTCCCCAATCTAAGAGAGTCTGATACCTTTAAGGTCTGAAAAGTGACATTTACCATCTATTCTCTCTGAACACTGTTACCTGTAAGCCTTCATCTACATAACAAGGGCCTTGGCTCACACAACCCTTAATATTTTAACTCAAGCATTCTTTTCTACTGACTTCAAGTTCTTAGACAATAGCTTAACTGTCAACCAACTGACAACTAAAGAATCCCCCAAACCCATCTATGACTTGTAAGCCCTCTGCTTTGAGATGTCCTGCCTTTTGAGACTGGACTAATGTACACTTTTGTTCAAAGGAAATCTTTAGCCAAATTAAATTTGACAGTGTTTAATTGAGAAAAGAACAATTCATGAATTGGGCAGCCACCCAAGCCAGAGTAGGCTCAGAGAGACTCCAGAGCAACCACATGGTGGACGATTTATGGACAAAAAAAGGAAAATGACAAGAGAAAATGGAAGTGAGGTACAGAAACAGCCAGATTGATTACAGCTTAGTGTTTGCCTTATTTGAACACATTTTGAACAGTTGGCCTCCTTTGATGGGCCAAAACTCGATGATTGGCACATCAAGTAGATTACGGTCTGTTTACAACTCCATTTAGGTTATAGCTCACTATGCAAGAGAAATTCTTAAATAAAACTCAAAATATGGAAGAAGGCAGCATTAAGCTAAACTCTATTTAACCCCCTCCATTTATTGATTGATATATTTTTCTTTTACTTCTGTGTCCCTAAAATGTATAAAACCAAACTAACCTGATTGCCCTGGGACCACTTATTCAACACTTCATGGGTTTCTGTTTTCTCTGGACCACAGTCACTCATATTATCTCAGAATAAACCTCTTTAAAATATTTTATAGAGTTTGGTTTTTCTATTAACACTTTCAGAATGGTATATCTCACATGTTCTTTATCGGTAGAGAGTAAATCTTTGCTTACTGGTGGCACAATTAGGAGTTAACCCTGTGTTAAATAGATATACAAAGAATCCTAAGTCCTTGGAAGGAAAATGAATTATACAATGTGGTGTGTTAAAACCCGTAGCAATATCTGAAGTACATGCATTTAGCAATACACTCTAAGTATTCAACTTGAGCAGATGGTGTGAAAAATTAGAGAATAAAAGAGTTCCAGCACATACTGTATAACACCATTATGGTATAATTAATCAGTAATACTGATATCTAATAACTAGTGTGTTACTCTAACTACTGGGCAAAAGGAAACCATTATGTTTGTAGGTATGGACATCACTAACCCAAATGTTAGGCTGTTGTTTAGATTCAACATTCCTAAGGATTACTACTTTTTGCCATATTTGTTAAATCCAGACGGATCATTTTGTTCAGTGTGCCATCCGATCCTTTGTTGTCATTATCATTTTTTAAAAATACAGATATTTCATTAAAAATTTGATTTGTGACTGACAGTTTTAACTAAACCTCTCACTAAAGGTTTACAACCCAATTTTAATACCCAAATGAAATAAGAACTGGAAACTTGATTAAATCCTAAATTATACCAAAAAATACTGACAGCCAAAAGGCTAAATCCACTTCACAATGCCTCAAAAATTGTGTCTACTCAAAAGATGTACAAAACATTTACTAGATATCCACAAAATCTAGCAAGTTCTGTAAAAGCTCCAAAGCCATATTTTGAAACAATTTTCATGTACCCAGAAGGCTTAAAGATATATTAAAATTCTATATCAAAATATCATTATTTTAGCCTAGTAAACTACTGAGACTCACCTGCTTCAAATATAAATAAGGGTGGTAGACTAATAGCTTTTACATTGTTGCAGAAAATGTCAAGTTATTATCTGTTACAGAAATTCTAAGACTTTTCACCTTTCCTTGTATTTTTATTCTAATTAGGTTTTAGAAGATTGTTTATTGTATCTATTTGGAGGAATGTGTTTCATGCTGTGTCCTTCATTAAAAAGATTATGTACTTGATCAATCCTTAACCTCTTAGTGCATCTCATTAGTTTGGTAATTTATTCATCAAAAATGCACTCCAAGATGTGGTGGGATTGAAGAACTGGTGTTGATCCAAAAAAGCACGCTGTGTAGTGCCGTGAACCTCATCACTTAGGGTAATGTGCCTGCCTGAGAAAAAGGAGCAGGGTTTCATTATAATAGAAGAGGTATCTAAATGTTTATATTTTTCTGCCACAAACCTAAGTAAATCTTTTGAGAATTGCCCCTCTGTAAACTTTTTAGAAGTAAAAATGATTTAGTGCATATAGCATGTGGACAGTTAAATTTACAGAAGCCAAGAATTCCAAAACCTGTTTGAAATCAGCATTTCTTTTTAATGAGTTACTTGTATAAATTAAAGGAATATGAAATAGAATACTTCTCAGGTTAAAGAAACATCATTAAACTGAAACCTTCTTAAGAATTTTAATAGATTAAATTTCCCCTCAATTTAATAAGGGAGTTATATATTTTATATATGACTGTGTGTGTTACATGTATGTGTGTATGCTTGTGTGTGTGTGTGTAGAGAGAGAGAAATTTATTCCAGATTCAATGGAAACAAATTAAAATTTACACTCACAAACATACATGCATTCATATATATACTTTTAATTAAGTTGCATTATTTTGGTCCTCTTTAATCTGAGGAATTGTATAGTCAGAAATGAATATGTATGAAACACATACACAGTAACATATATACTTTTATTTAAGTTGACTACTTTGAACCTCAATAATTCTGAGGGAGATTATTATCAGGAACCTCAAATCCAGGCTTTCCTAATAACAAATCCAAGTTAAATTTTTCTATTATATCTTAATGCTACGTGGTCCTTAGAATGCTACTCAGCTCCGAAGCAGTATATTTTTAGTATGCTGTTAATCTTTTCTTTTCTCATTTTAGTAGACACATGCCCATCTGCTACTCATCATTCTTACCGGTTTAGCAAGGCAAGGAATGTGTCTGATCTGATTCAAGCCTCACCTTGAATAAAATCTGAGAATCCCTGTGGATATCCAAAAAAAAATTAAAGAAAAGAAAGTAGACAGGAGGAAAAAAGAAATAGAGGGAGAAAAGGAAGAAGAATGGGAGGTAGTGTCAAAGACAGGAGCCAAGCAAGTAAGGAAATTGATTTTATTCAAAGCTTTTCCATAGGGAGGGAGATTTAAAAATCAGGGTCTCAGCAGGAAGAATTTGACAAGTTAAATAAAGGTGGGGTGATCCACAGTTGGGATTCTTATTTTTTTCCAATCAGGGAATTCTTAGCTAAAATAGAAATATTTATCCCTGTGTCTAGCTAGTTTCACAGGGGACAAAAGTTCTAATCTCAGCTGATCATTCATGAGACCATAAAGGGGAAGTTGAAAGGTCTGTCTGGTTTTGTTGTCAGGTTGAGGCAAAGTGGGGGAAGGTTGTGTTTGGCCTTATCACAGATAAACAATGGAGCCATCTGCAAATCTTACAGGAGTCAAGAGAAAGGATCAACACGTGTTCATATGGGGAAGTTAGTTCTTCCAGATAATCCATTTCCCATAACATACAAAAGAGGATTTTAGATAAAAAAAAGACTAGGGGGATTTCTTAAGCATCATTGTTTTCCAGAGCATGAGGCTGGCATGAAATTCAACATTATCAGCAGAGAGGCTAGACAGGAGAAAGAAAAGAAAAATTCAGCTTTCTATTTAGGAACACTTCATTCTTTCTCTATGTTAAATTTGGTGAAAATTAAATTCGTGTTATGAACTAAAACTTTCTCTTTGTATCCTCTTACTTATTTAAACCTCTGTTAATTTCCAAAGGGATTTTCTAAATTTACACAGTTAGCTGCTCTGAGAGCCAGGACCAGTATTCGTACTGCCCGACTCCTAATGTAGTTCACATTGCATTACAGCATGCTTGTACTCACATTTTGGAAATGAATAGCAATATTCTCTTAATATGACCATTAGAAAAGTTTAAAACTAGAGCAGAAGGGCCAAAAAATATCGAAAAGCTGTTTGTGGCTAAAGGACTTAGAGCAAAACCTAAAAATCAGCAACATTACTGAAAAATACACAACAAAGAAAAGATCTACTATATGTAGCAGTCAGTAAAAAATAGTGACAAAGTAAGACCAAACCAAAGATATTAGCACTTTGAACAGATTAATATTAGCTTCAATTTCCTAAATTCTTGTTTTTAAAGTTCATAAAATCTAGCCTAATATTGACAATTGCTCACCTAGAGTAACACAAGAATCTGAATCTGAGGTCAGGTTGCTTTGACAAGCAGGTCGAAGGCAGCTAGAGTTCTCCTAAGGGCTTTGCATACCTAGTGCTGATTTGTTTTAGTCAAGCAAAAGAAGGGCAAGGGTGCTCTTGGCATAATCAATTTCAGCTCAACAGTGGCCTCTGGGTAATTTTCTAAAGCTGAGAGTCTGAGGCAAAGAAACTTGAATTCTTTACTTTCCTTAATTACAGTCATACTTAGGGCAAAATCATACCTGGTCAAAATCAGAAAACCAAAATCAATCACAAATCCCAACATCTTTTAGATTATTTTATTTATTATTGAATTTGTTATTCCTTCACTCATAGGTGTTCTTGAAGACAAGATATTAAAGAAAAAAGAAAAATATTCTTTAAAAATAATATATAGAAACATGAAATATCAGTATGGCTAGCAGAAATGGAAAATTAATTAGATTAACTGCATTGGCATCATGTTTTCATATAATTGATACGAAGATTAAGCTTAGTTTTCTCCTACTAAACAAAATAAACCTAAACAACTTCCAACTTTCCTACAACAGCAATTTATTAGAAAAAAAAATTGGGGTTCACCTGAAAACTGAAACCATGTTTTTCTGTTCCCATGCTAATTAATTCTGGGACAAAGTATACAATCTTTTATTTTAAAAAAAAAACAACACTAAAAAAAAACCAAAAAACTAAACAACCTAAGCAACACTGAGACCAGGTAAAACTAGCCTAGCTGCTTTGTCCAGGAAATAGTTGGTCCTGGAAGCTTTAACAGTGAATTACTAACATAGCCTACTTGTCATTTTGCATTTGAAGACTTTCTTCTTGCTGTGGCTGCCAATCCAAAGCTACTATGTCACAAACTCTGCCAATCTCAAGCACTATGCCGTATTGCATAACCCACCCTAAAATCAACAGCCCAGGTCCTAAAACCCTTGAAAGCAACCACTCAAGTCCGGAAACACCATAAATATTCCCCCTCAGGGTTTTCACTTCTGAGGCACAGCTAAGATATTGACAAAGGGGTATTTACCCTACTGTTCTAAGTCTCATTAACTTTGTTTTGTTGAATCAACAGATTTTCCTGCTGATATCTTTGGAGTATTGTCAGCCAATGTAGCAATACTATTTACCATATTTAAAATATCTGAGTCCCAGCGTCAGAGGCGTGTGAACCAGAGCAACTCCATCTTAAATAGAAGCTGGGTAAAATAAAGCTGAAATTTTCTGGGCAGCATTTCCAGATGGTTAAGGCATTCTAAGTAACAGGATGAGATACGAGGTCAGCGCAAAATACAGGTCATAAAGACCTTGCTAATAAAACAGCTTGCAGAAAAGGAGCCGGCCAAAACCCATCAAAACAAAAATGGCAACGAGAGTGACCTCTGGTTGTCCTCACTGCTACACTCCCACCAAGGCCATGACTGTTTACAAATGCCATGGCAACATCAGGAAAATATACGTTCTAAAAAGGGGAGGCATGAATAATCCACCCCTTGTTTAGCATATCAAGAAATAACTATAAAAATGGACAACCAGCAGCCCTCGGGGCTGCTCTGTCTATGGAGTAGTCATTCTTTTATTCCTTTACTTTCTTAATAAACTTGCTTTCACTTTGCACTGCGGACTCGCCCTGTATTCTTTCTTGCGTGAGATCCAAGAACCCTCTCTTGGAGGTTTGGATCAGGACCCCTGTCCTGTAACATCAATACTGTTACACGAAATTGGGTATTGTGATAATCTTTTGTGTTGTTAACTTATAATTTTGTATATTTTGAACAGCAATTAAAGTAGTTCAGATTAAAAATTGCAGGTGTTTAATCTGCATTGTTAACTTATAATTTTGTACATTTTGAACAGCCATTAAAGTAGTTTAGATAAAAAAATTGCAGGAGTTTATACAGTTTTAAACTTAAAAACTTTTTTTTTTTTCAGACGAGTCTCACTCTGTCGCCCAGGCTAGAGTGCAGTGGCACCATCTGGGCTCACTGCAAGCTCCGCCTCCCGGGTTCACGCCATTCTACCTCAGCCTCCCGACTGGCTGGGACTACAGGCGCCCGCCACCACACCCGGCTAATTTTTTGTATTTTTAGTAGAGATGGGGTTTCACCGTGTTAGCCAGGATGGTCTCCATCTCCTGACCTCGTGATCCGCCCGCCTCTGCCTCCCAAAGTGCTGGGATTACAGGCATGAACCACTGCGCCCGGCCTAAACTTACAAACTTTTACAAAATGTTTATAAATTCTTCTAAACTTCTTTTTTTTATTTGAAATAAGTTTAGCATATCAAATCAATTGCAATAGCAAGTCATGTCATGGTCAAGAGGCAATTTATAATACAATGATAATTTTTCTTTTTCCTTTTTTTCTTGGCTTAAAAAAATAGCTGTCTTCCTGCAAGAGTCTTTAGTTCCATCTATAAATTAATTGCCAAAAAAAATCACAGATGGAATTTTCATTATCTTGTGAAGGTGCCCATATATCCAATTGATTTAAAAAAATAGATAAAAATAGTAGCCAACAATGAAAGAAACTGAATTGCCTGTCAATGCATATTTCCAAGAGGACTGAAGATGGCAGGTGACAGGTATGCTATAGAAGGTATTGAGAATGTGAGCTTCACATAAGCAAGAACTTAGTCTGTTTTATTCACTAATATATCCCAAATGTCTTCACTAACACTTGCAATATAGCTCAATAAATACTCAACAAATGAATGAACAAATCAATCATAAATAGTCTAGGCTGGGTGAAGTGGCTGATGCCTGTAATCCCAGCATTTTGGGGGGCCGAGGTGGGAGGATTACTTGATCCCAGGAGTTTGAGTCTGTATTGAGTCATGATTGTGCCATTGCACTCCAGCTTGGGTGACAGAACAAGACCCTGTCTCCAAGAAACCAGAAACTTAGACTATACAGTATTTAAATTGTAAGAATCCATCCACTTAAGATAGCCCCATGTCTTCCTGCTTTGGTTCCTGTGCTTTGTCAAGACCTGGCCTAGTCTTTCTCTGCAGGGCAAGAATTCCCCAGGCAAAGGGGACAGTCCTATAAGAGCCTATGGCACTCCGTGAGAGCACACTAGAGAATTCCACACCTTAATAGCCCTTAGCTTACTTCCAGGGACTGCAAGAGCTGTATCTCAAGGTACAAATGTGGGGCCTGAGGATTAGCCATGGCCAAAGAGCAGCTCCTGGTGTGTCTGAGGATAGACGTTACCTGTATGTATGTGATGTGCTATCATCTCCCATGTTTGCCCACAAACATCTCCTATGTTAGGGAAACATCACCCATGTTTGCTCCTATGTTGCTTCACCCCCTAGAGTGCACACAGACAGAGATAAGAAGGGGTTGGCTATGAGTTGGAGGCTGAGAATCTGGAGCTGGCTCTGCCTGTGCTATCATGTACTAACACAAAGCTTTAAAAAATCTGAACATTCTAGATGGGACCTGGCTTCTCAGGACATTATAAAGGAATAGTTATCAAAATAGAAAGATAAATAAAGATATTTTATTTAACAGGTTTTTTAATTTATCACTTGTAAGTGTCAGGCCTCTGAGCCCAAGCTAAGCCATCATATCCCCTGTGACCTTCACGTACAATCCAGATGGCTGGTTCCTGCCTTAACTGATGACATTCCACCACAAAAGAAGTGAAAATGGCCTGTTCCTGCCTTAACTGATGACATTGTCTTGTGAAATTCCTTCTCCTGGCCCATCCTGGCTCAAAAGCTCCCCCACTGAGTACCTTGTGACCCCCACTCCTGCCCACCAGAGAACAAACCCCTTTGACTGTAATTTTCCTTTATCTACCCAAATCCTATAAAACGGCCCCACCCCTATCTCCCTTCGCTGACTCTCTTTTCGGACTCAGCCCACCTGCACCCAGGTGATTAAAAGCTTTATTGCTCACACAAAGCCTGTTTGGTGGTCTCTTCACATGGACGCACATGAAAGTAAGTATTCAGGTACAAAGCATGTGTGCATCTACTTGAATGTCACAGGTGGGCCTGTGCCCAACACTCATTTCCTTTATTTGCCCTGAGAATGAAGACATCGCAGAGATTCTAAGTGAGTGAGTTTAACTCCCTGTAAGATGAGTTTAACTGCACATAAGTTTGAATAACTACTCTTGTTTTCCTTTGATACGCCTTTTTCAGTCTCTTCGTGCCTCAGGGGTAACTCCTCAATTACCCCCTGTGAGGTCTTCTTGGGCAGATGCTCACAATTGTGTGGCATTACCTCCACAGTGTTGAAGCTACAGATTCCCAGAAACAACCTCAAGAGATTCTGAATCATCATATGTGTATGGGGTGGGAGTAATGAAGATGAAGTATGTGAATTTCTAGCATGCATCCCAGATGACTCTGTTGCCTATGAACTCTCAATCACATTTTGAGAAACACTATTTTAGGGAAAGTAATAAATGACGATAGTTTGCCTGCCTTAGTTTGTGGCTTATGCAAGAAGACAGATCACACATATTCTTGAGGTTAACATATGGACCAATTCAGTTCACCAGTGTGAGGCCCCACCACATCTAATATGCAAGCCAAATCCTTAGTTAAAATCTGTACTTGTCTTGAAGGTCATCCTTGGTCAGCTCTGGGGTGGACAGCTCACAGGAGCCACCTTTTCCACTTACTCATTGTAAAGTATTAAGAACTAGAAGGTCAATATCAGGGTGCAGTATTTGGAAAGGAACAATGAGGCACACTTTGGGTGTAAAGAAGATGATAAACTCTTAGCAATAATTGAGTAGTTAACATTTTTTCTGGATTGTCCCCTGGGTCTTTAGTTTCTTTTAGTCTTTAGTTATAATAACAATAATGAACAACTATGTACAAAACTATGGGATCTGTATGCTCTTAAAGTTTTATTCTTCTTCTCTACATTTCTTAAGCTCATTTCGATCATAGCATCAAAGTTTGAAAATCAGGGTAAAATAGCCTGGAAAATTATTCAACATCTTAGTCAGTGAGGAAAAATTATACAAGAAAGACTCCATCCTGAAACCTTATCCTTTCTTGTTTTGCTTACATTGATTTCTCCAATTTCATGCTAACATGTAACTTTTTACAAAAGAAGACTATTTGAAAGTATGAGCAAATTGATCAACTTGTACTTGGCACACCTCCTTGTCATGCTTTTGAACATGAGTTTTATTAGTCAAGAGTTGTATTAGTCAAGCGTTTAATAAAGTTTATTTAAAGTTTCTGAAACTTTTTGAATTTTATATATCTTCCTTCAGAAGCCTTGAAGAATATGGAAGCATGAGAATATTAGACACATGATTCTCTACTCTCTAGAATCACTTTTTCTCCTCCTATTTCCTGGTCAAGTCTTAGTCATATTTGACCCTCAATTTAGATGCTAAACTAAACTTTTCTGCGGTCCTGTTCCCACTATTAATAAAGAAGCCTTAAAGAATGTCTTTGCTTAAGTGAACTTGAAATTTTCTCCCCATAAAAAATAATATCACCTGACACAGTGTTGGGTACTTAGACATTCAAATATTGAATAGATTTGTATTGAATTCGAATAATATGATTGAGTCTAGGATCACATCACTGCACTCCAGCCTGAGTGACAGAGCAAGAACCTATCTCTAGAAACCAAAAATACCAACAAAAAACAAAAACCAAAAAGAATCTCAATAATTGATATGCAAATTTTATATTAATGTGCTTTCCAATCACATAAATGTCATGGATTCTAATTAACTTAAGAAAATTGGGCATCTTAAAAAAATTGAAAATTTGGCCGGGCATGGTGGCTCATGCCTGTAGTCCCAGCACTTTGGGAGGCCGAGGCGGGCGGATCACGATGTCAGGAGTTGGAGACCATTCTGGCTAACACGGTGAAACCCTGTCTCTAATAAAAATACAAAAAAATTAGCCGGGCGTGGTGGCAGGCGCCTGTAGTCCCAGCTACTCGGGAGGCTGAGGCAGGAGAATGGCGTGAACCCAGGAGGCAGAGCTTGCAGTGAGCCAAGATCGTGCCACTGCACTCCAGCCTGGGTGACAGAGTGAGACTCCGTCTCAAAAAAAAAAAAAGAAAAAAGAAAATTCATATCAAAAATTAGCAATCAATGAGTCAATTGTTACTGTTTTCAAGAATATTTATATGTATATAAATTATATAAATAAGCAAATGTTTTAACTGCTTATTGCTAGCATTACTCAGTTGATATTAGAATTGTCAAATAATTCCTATTGTTGGGCAGACTCATTCTTTTAATTAGCAGAGTAAAATTTTTATTGATTTTATCTCTGACTTAGAGAAGGTCTTCATTGGAAGATGCATATATTTGAGTTGAAGATGTGAACAAGAAATCTTGTTTCTTATCAAGGTCCTAAAGTTATTCATTCCAGTTATTTCAAAAGTTCATTTATATCAGGCATAATTAATATTAAACGTGGAAATGTATTTTCTGGAATCATTGGCTTATAATATTTTTAGGTAAATGAGGTTTCCTAAAACCTAGAGGAATATTTTAGATTCTCGAAATAATTTAGGTAGCACGTCTTCTCTTTAATCTATTTTTACATAGGTATAATTGAAGTAAAACCTGAAATGATGCACACATACCATCAGCAGCACACACAATCTGGAATCTTCCAAATATAGTATAGCTATTTTAATAGCACTACAATGTCTGGTTCATAGATCAAAATTCAAGGAGTCTCTTTAGATTTGTGAAGCAATGTATTGTCAGTGATATAGAGCTAGGACAAATATTCTTTCTTCAGTTCTCTGATTAAATCATCTGTTCATAATACTCTAAATAATTGACTTGCAAGGATCATATTACTATAAATTAAACATTTCCATTTATGTCCAAGGACACTATTTTACTCAGAAACATGATAGTAAGAATAGTCTCAAATTTTGACAAAGTAATTGTAGTAGGAACTTGACTTGGGTTCCTATTAAAGATTAGACTATTTTAATACTATTCTCGAAATAAAACCAAATTATGTGCTTGGATAAACAGTCAATGTTTCCAGCATTCCTGCAATATTGCCTTGTGTAATTTATTCTATTGTACACAGTACATTTTTAGGCCTGACTTTAGTAGGTGTAATATGATACAGAAACAAAAATCACTCTAATTTTTACATTAAAAACTAGTTTATTTAAAAGATGACCTGAGTTTTTTTTAAAGCTACTCTAAGCAGTTGAAGGCTATCCATACTGAAACTGTATATTAATAGGTTCCAAAGTCTCTTTTTCTACCTGGATGATCTAAGAGCTGTAATAGTCAATAAGGCAATAAAGTGGAAAAGTGCTGTAAATTATTAAAATTTTGTTTCCTACATGGTATATAAGTTAAATTAATATTTAGTTCACTGCTGTCAATTTGATAAAAAATCTTTATTCATTTTATGGGATACTGTGAATAGGTTTATTTGACTTCATCCTTCATCCCTTTGATAATCATAAAATGTCATTTTGTTACCTGTTTCCTAAGGTTAAACCTATTATGTCTGTCTAAATAAACTTGTATCAATAGCCTCTTTTATGCTCCTCTCTTTTATACAGAAATTAAGTTTTATAACTTTAAATTATAATAATATTACATATAAAAATTTAAGGCCAAAATAATGATTTTTTTAAGCATGTGTAAGTCTTCTAAGAAGTTAATTCCCTACTGCATACTGTTGGTGGTTTCTTGCAATAGTTTCATAAACATCTTTGCTTTTCAAAGCAGACACCAAATCTGAGTTATGCCTCGTTTTTTAATACAGCTCAGGGACATTGTGTCATTAGTCACTGGCAGGGATGGACGACTATTGGTGCTATAACATCACGTTGACTAAAAAGAGTCATCTACACCTTAACCTTCATTGATGGAAACTCATCAGATTTATGAAGGTATTTCATGTTATATGTTTTTAATAGAACACTTTTAGGAAATTCTGTATCTGCAGCGCTTGCTCCCTCACATCATTCAGCCGTCTGCTTAGTTGCCCACTTACCAGAGAAGCCTTTCTTAACCATCTGATCTAAAATAGCATCTTCTTAACCATCTGATCTAAAATAGCATCTATTCACTCCCATGTCCACCAGCATCCATCTTTCTACTCTGCTTTATTTTTTTCTACAACACTTATTACCATCTAAACTAGTATTTTTTATTTATTTACTTCCTCAACTAGAATAAAAGCTGCATGATAACTGTCTTCAAAATTGTCTGTTTTCTGCACTTTTGTACCCCAAATTATAGAGCATTGTCAATTACATACAGAGCATTCAAATAAACACTTATTGAACAAATGAATGCATAAACTCTATGAAATATTTCATAATTTTTGGATTTTTGTTTCTCAATTTAAAAAGTTTGGGAAGGGAGTTGAGCACATAGAAGTTTTTATTTTCTTTTCTGTTTTTATTTTTGTTTTTGAGACAGGGTCCCATTCTCTCGCCCAGGTTAGGGTATAGTGGAGTGATCACACCTCACTGCATCCTCTACCTCCTGGGCTCAAGGCATCCTCTTGCCTCAGCCTCCAAAGTGCTGAGATTACAGGTGTGAGCCACCATGCCTGACCTAAAAGCTAATGTTTCATTCTGCAAGTAGGTGCCCTTATCTGATCCTAGTGAACACTATACCATCAGTATTGATTGGTTATGTCTAAATTGTCTCCTTGAAAGTGACAGGGAAGCTTTGATTACAGATGGCTAAGGTGTAGAAAAATGCAGACATCCTAATGTTATATGGCTAGTTCACATTCCCTAATTTACTGATGATTAAAATAGGATACTGCATGTGAAAATATGAAATGAAGTGATTGTGTTATACCCTCTAGTGGATGCTATTGGTGATGGGCCCAGCTCCTCCTTACCAACAGGTGCAGTGTTCCCATAGCTGCTGTACATGTTGGCTAACAAATCAGATAACTTCTATCCAGAGAATTTCACTCAGCCAAATATAATTTCAGGAGGCTTTTCCCTCCTCCACAAATTAACTAAGGACTGACTGTCAGGGAGTCTGAAAGTAGTTTTATTTGCCTCAAGTGGGGCTAACTCTGCCCTATAATTTGAGCTCTAAAGTGTTCCTTATAAGAGAAGACTAAAGCTAGTCTCCAGCTGAGACCACAATTTTATTTCTTTCCTCCTGTCCTGTTCTGCTTTCTTACTCCCAGGCTCTTGTGAATAGCCCCCACTACATAAATCACCAGAACAAGAATTAGGTAGAAAATTCTGACTCAGTACAGCCACAATCTCGACACTTTTTACTGATTTTCAGTGCTTTGTGTATTGGTCTGAAGTTTATATATTTGATTGATTATTTTAAGTCCACCTATAATCAAAATTGATTCAAAGCATATGGTGAAGATAGACCTACAGGCCAGAAGCAGATGGACAATAAATCAGATCTCCTGTTAAATCCGGGACTATGTGTGTAGCTCTGTAGACCAGCAATTAGCTGAAATTCACCCAAGGAATTCTGATATAATGTCACTATATATTATCTAGCTTTCTAATAAACTGTTGCAACGTCTGGATCCGTATATAGGTATATCCAATATTAATATAGAGAATGTTGTCAATATTTTAATTACTAGTTCATCAGAGAATACCTTAATCTGTAAATTTCCTTTATTCAGTTTGTTTTAATGATCAACCAATTGGGATACAGATTTCTGGTGCTGTAAACCCCTGGAGCAGAGCCCTGAGGCACTTTGTCCCCGGAAGCTTCTGAATAGGATACAATTCTAGTGGCCACGTGAATACTCAAGCAGGAATCCATCCATGTGTGGTATACTCTTGCAAAAATTTCTGAGCTTGTTTCTGGTGGATTTTCAAGGATAATTACTTTAGATTATTCTAATATGGTACATATTAAATTGCTCTATATTAAAATTATTTAGGGGAACTTTTCAATAATAAAAATGTCTAAGTCCACCACCAAAATGCCTGATATAATTTATCTAGATTGTGGCCTAGCACAATATTGTTTTAAAAGTCCCACAGATTATTCAAATTGTTCATCCACAGTTGAGAATCACTTCCTAGGATGGTTTTCTAATCAGAGTATGCATGCTAAATTCCCCCATAACAGGAGGGTAGCCCCTCTTACCAATGTAAGAGTAGTACTTTGTTTTTTCAACTTTATCACACACCAATATTTTGCAGTGCGCACTTTAAATGTTCTACTAATTTCATTGTCAAGAATCCCCTCCTATTTACAGTAGTCATTCCCAACTGAGATTTTTTTTGCTTTTTAGGAGATATTTGACAATGTCTTAAGACATTTTTGATTGTCGCAACTCTAATCGTGCTACTGGCATCTAGTAAGTAAAGGCCAGAGATTCTAGTAAACATCTCACAGGGCACAGCTCTGTCCCCATACACCAAGCAAAGAATCACCCATCCCAAAATTTCAATAATGCCAAGGTTGGGAAATTCTGATTTATGTAAAATGATTATTTCAGAGCTTTATCTTGGAATTTCAATAACATATGTGACAATATCACTAGTCACAATATTTCTTAAGGCGCTGTGAATGTCAAAATGATTCAAATAAAAGGGATCCCATCACTAATAAAACAGATGAAACTAAACCAACAAGTATTTAATCAGGCATTCAATTATCTTCATAAAATGAAGACTTCCGTGCAATGACTGATGGTACTGTCAGAGATATACTTTCAAAAGTCACTAGTTGGACTGAACGAAAAAAATATTTGGATCTCTCAAATTCTCTGGAGTGTACTTCTACTTAGGGTCATCTCTTTGATTTGATTCAAGATAGAAAGAGTAGAAGCCACTTAGAATGAATCCTAGATAGAAAGTTACCAACATAAGACTCTTCATGTGCCTTCAAGTAATCTTTAAAGCAGATATGTTCAGGTTCCAGCAGGAAATCAATTCATTCATTATTGTGGTAGTGGATTTACGCTGCCTGCTATTTCCTAATCCTTCTCTCTTACTCCTGTAAAGAGTACAGGTCTCAGATGCATACATAATTTATGTCTCCTTGCACTATTTTCCTTGTAGAATGCCACTAACCACCCACCCCAACACCCATGTATTTGTAGTGAGGCTTTTAATTAACTGACTTCCATTCCACTTGCCCCTCCCAGCCACCAGCAAAGGAGTAGGTGCTCGGCACAAGCTGGACCAATCTATTCTACCTTGCAGACTTTGTGAATAAAAACTCATGAGGCAAAAGCCTGAGGCATCAGAAAACTTTCTCTAGGTAGCAAGGTCCTACATCTCCTGCCTAACCCTAGTTCCTGACCCTCTTCTTGATCCTCAAGACCTGTGATTAATACAATTTTTTCCAATAAAAACCATTTGTATATATATGAATCAGCCAGAGCTTCTATAGACCTTTGCACTAGTCATAACCACCGGTTTTATTCTTAGTGGCCCCAAGCATCTGTAGTGTGCTGCAAGATAGGTAAGACAGAAGCCATTTGCCTCAGGCATCATCTAGAAAAGTTGGAGTGTTCAATTCTACACCAAATTCTTTTTCTCCCCATGGAGAAATTAGAAACTGATTATTATTACTATTATTTCTCTCTCTTTCTTGCTCTACACTGAGCCAGCGAGCAGGAGGCTTAGTGGATGGCCCACTGTAGTTCAAACTGCTGTTTTTGTTCTCTGTAGGCCCCAAGGATCGAACATGAGCTTGATCTCATCAGAGGCCCAAGGAGGGTGACATAGGAACTAGTCTCTCAGGAAGCACCAGGGAAAGCTAGGATAGTGGGTATATGGTTCAACTCTTTCCCTTGTCAGATGGAGGCCCAGAGGTGGAGGCTTCCTCCTGATTATATAGTACTATGCCAGGGGTAAGGATTGTGATGAGAGAGTATTTCTAATTTTTTAATTGAATTTGATGTGGCTGGTTGTGTGCTAAATGATGCAAGAGGCTTAACTGGTTTCTAGATGTATTCACAAAGGGAATTGATCTGTGTATTGTTATTGAATCAATGTGTCCATGTAGGAATGAACCAGAGTCCTACCATCTTGCTTTAAGGTAATCTGTCAGTTTTTAAGTTATTTAATTTTTATCCTTTTCGTCTTCATTCTAAATTTTCTTAAGTTTGTCTTACAATTCAATAATTTTTGTGGGGTGCGTATTTGAATCCTCCATTAAGATTTTATTTAGAAAATTGTGTTTTCATCTTAATGTATTCTATATGATAAATCATTGATCATGTTACATGATTGTTTCAGATTTATATATGAGACATCCTGTAGTAGTCAGTGGAGAGTCAGAACATTCACCATTTTCCAGTAGTAATGAGGCCACACTGCCAGTGATATCAATTATGGCCATGTAGAGAACAGTAACAGAGCATTCCAAACCCTCACAGCCACTGCTGGTATCAGAAGTAGTCCAATGGTGAGCCAAGAATTCCATCTCCTACCCGTACTAATGGGAGGGCCCTTCCCATCTCTGGTGTTAACCAAGGCCAGTTAGGGATTCTGCATTACCATCCCATTCTGGATGTAATGAGGCAGTACTCTCCTTCTCCTATAAGCATGAGGCCAGAGAAAGCCAAATAAAATAGATATTTAAATAAGACTTAGAGTCAAACTACACAATACCCGACATATCCAGATTTTAGTAGAAAATAACTTTTCATGTAAAAAACCAAGATCGCTAACAATTACCCCAATATCAGAAAATAGCATATTGCTATAGTCTCTACAGAAATGAAGAAAAATAGGCTGGGCGCGGTGGCTCAAGTCTGTAATCCCAGCACTTTGAAGGCCGAGGCAGGCAGATCACAAGGTCAGGAGATCGAGACCATCCTGGCTAACACAGTGAAATCCCGTCTCTACTAAAAATACACAAAAAATTAGCCAGGCATGGTGGCGGGAGCCTGTAGTCCCAGCTACTCGGGAGGCTGAGGCAGGAGAATGGCGTGAACCCAGAAGGTGGAGCTTGCAGTGAGCCAAGATGGCGCCACTGCACTCCAGCCTGGGCAGCAGAGCAAGACTCCATCTCAAAATAAATAAATAAATAAATAAAAATAGGGCAGTACTATAAAGTATTCTACACATGCAAATTGGACAACTTGATTAACTGGATTAATTTCTTAAAATTGCAAAGAGCCAAACTTATCCAACATGAAATAGATAATTTGAATACATCTGTAACTATTAAAGAAAAATTATTAACAATTTCAAACCTTAAAAAAAGATATCTCCAAGCTCATATAGTCTACTGAAGAATACCATTGAGATTTAAGGAGGAAAAAAATCAATGCTTTTGCCCCAAGAATAAAAATATAGCAAGGATATCCACTGTCACTAATTTTATTTGATATAGTACTGAAAGTTTTTATAATGAGGCAAGAAAAGAAAATAAAAGGCATATGAATCTGAAAAACATTGTCTCTATTTACAGATGACATGATTGTCTATGCAAAAATTTCTAAGAAATCTAAGAACAAAGTTTTGGGAACTAATAACTGAGATCAACAATGTTAGAGGATGCAACATCAACACATAAAATCAGTTATGTTTCTGTATACCAGCAATGGACATGGAAACACCAAAATTAAAGGTACAATGCCACTTATCAACCTTCAAAGTAAAAGTATAAATCTAAAAAAAATGTATAGGACTTGTATGTTAAAACTAGAAAACATTGATGAAACAAATCAATGAAAATTTAAATAAATAGACATGCTGTTTTCAAGGATTGGAAATTTAACGAAGTTGTCCGTTCTCCACAAATACATGTGTTTTACAAAACTTCTATCAAAATATTAGCAAAATGTTTTGTTAATATGGACATTATTGTTCTAAACTATACAGTTGGCCCTTGAACATGTGCAGGAGGTTAGTGGTGGCAACCCCCCCGCCACACTGTATAGTCAAAAATTTGTGTAACTTTTGACTTTCCAAAAATTTAACTATTGATAGCCTAATTTTGGCCGGAAGCCTTAACAAAAACATAAATTGTGTATTAACACATTTTTGTTATATGTTTTATATGCTGTAATCTTACAATAATGTAAGCTAGAGAAAATAAAATGTTATTAAGAAAACCACTAGGAAGAAAAGGTATCTTTACTATTCATTAAGTGGAAATGGATCACCACAAGGGTTTTTTCCTTTGTTGCCTTTGTATTGAGTAGGCTGAGGAAGGGAAGAAAGAGTTTGTCTTGCTGTCTCAGGAGTGGCAGAAGTGGAAGTGGTAGAGGTGGAAGGGGAGGCAGTAGAAGCAGTGACATTTGGTGTAGCTTTCAGTGAAAAAAAATCTCCGTTTAAGTGGAACTTTGCCCAATTGATTTTTGATGAAAGTGTAAAATCAATTCAATGAGGGGAGAATAACCTCTCCAACAAATGGTGCTCAAACATTTGGACTTCTTTAGGGAAAAAAAAGACTAGATGGAAATCTCAAACTTCACACAAAATCAACTCAAATGGACTTAAATGAAACACAGAGAGGGAAGTAGGGGAAATTTGTTAAGATCTAGGATTAGATTGAGTTCTTACACTTGAAGCATAAAAGAAAAAAACTGGTAAGTTGGACTTTGTCAGTATTAAAATCCTTTGCTCCTCAAAAGACCCTGTAAGGAGGACAGAAAGACAAGTCACAGAGAAGGATAAAATGTTTGCAAACCATTTATCCAACACGGGAATAGTGTCAAGAATACTTAGAGAACATTCAAAAGTAAGATGGTACATCCACTGTGAAAGCGTTTGTCAGTTACTTAAAAGTTAAGCATACAATTGTCATATGACCCAGCAATTGCATACTTGGGCATCTCTCCCAGAAGAATGGAAACTTATTTTCATGCAACAGCCTGTATATCTCTCCAGATAATTATCCTAAGAGAAAAAAAATTCATCCCAGAAGGCATCTCACATTGTAAGATTTCATTTATATAACAATGCTGAAATGGCAAATTTATAGAAGTGAACAAGTTAGTGATTGCCAGTGGTTAAGATGAGGGGTAATTGTGTTTATATAAAGGCAATAAGAAGGATGATTGTCCTCACACCTGTAATATCAGCATTTTGGGAGACCATGGCAGAAGTACTGCTTGAGTCCAGGAGTTGCAGACCTGCCTGGGCAACATAGAAAGACTTCATCTCTACAAAAAATTTAAAAAATTAGCTAGCATGGCAGCACACAAGCAAGTGGTTCCAACTATCCCAGATGCTGACTTGGGAGGATTGCTTGAGCCCAGGTTGTTGAGGTTGCAGTGAGCTATGATTGTGCCATTGCACTTCAGCCTGGGTGACAGATCAAGACTCCTGTCTACCTCTCAAAAATGAAGAAAAAGAAAAAAGGCAGCCTTTAAAGAATTTGGATTATAAATGAAAATGATTTGATTTCCCTAAAATAAAGACTCAGTTTTAAATAAAAAGTATTTATCATACAATTCAAGATTAGTACAAATACAATTTTATAGATTTTCTAAAAATTTTTTAATATGAGTATTATTAGAAGTATTTTAGTTTACTCTTTAATAAGCTAAATTCCTATCATTAATGGTAAGAAACTTTCTTAATTTGGTTACAATGAGTAATTCTTTACAACACATTCTTTCAATGATCACCATTCATGAAAATGTGTAATTGATTGTGTACTATTTATACTTCATGTAATTGATTATGTATTATTTATACTTTGCTGGAGAGGAGTTGATCACAGCCCCAGTATTCTTTTATATCTCTCTTAAGTTTGTAACTAAACTTTCAGAAGAGTTATCAATATAAAATGACAGATCCTAAGCAACCACTTGCTATTTGGTAGAGGAATCAGGTAAGATTAAAAATGCGAAGATACATGGTTCTTCTCTTTCTCCTTTAGGGTTTAAAACACTGTTTTTTTATTTTTTAGTTTATTAAAGCAAGTCTATATATTAGTTCTGTTTTATTTACTAATATTACAGATGAAAAACATTACTTTTTTTTCTGAGTATTGCTGTATGAAAGAAGGATGTTGCTATTTAATGAAGCTTCCTATTAGCTTAGTGTTAGTTTTTAGTGTTAGCTAATTTTTAGTTATCGTTAATAAAGGTGAGAGCATTTTTACAGTTTGCAAAAGCACGTAACTAACAGCTAATTGAATAAAAATGGCTGATGCTCCATGAGTATACATGATTAAAACACATAGTAACCCACCGATGGACAGACATGGGAGACAGCTGGTTTTATAATTATGCCCTAAAAAGACCATGTGCAAAAACATAGTTAACACTCCCATCCTCCCCCAAAAAAAAAAACAGAAAAGAAAAAGAAAAAAATACTAATGGGGAATACTAAATGGAAGAAGTGAAGCAACAATTTTCTCACATGTTTTAAAGAACCAAAATCTATTTCATTTTTGTTTCAAAGCAATTTTCACAAAAGAAAAACAAAATTGCCATTTGATAGAAAGCATTTATATAAAAGAATATTATTGACATCTGCATAAGGCAAAGCAAATGAAAGTACTTTGGCTACAAGGCAAAGCAAATGAAAATGCTTTGACTACAACCAGAGTTTATTTGGTCATCATGAAAAAAATTGTCTTTGGCAAAAATCAGCATGGTGATACTGAATCAAATGTGTATTTAAAGATGGCTGTTTTATACATGAAAGTGCTATAGTCATTTTCTAGTTAAGCATATTGAACAGAGAACATTAAGCATACTAATTGTTAAGAACAGAATAGAGTAATATTCCTATACATATTTGGTAACATATTCTTTTTTTATTTATTTTTAAAATTATACTTTAAGTTCTAGGGTACCTGTGCACAACCTGCAGGTTTGTTACATATGTATACATGTGCCATGTTGGTGTGCTGCACCCATTAACTCATCATTTACGTTAGGTATATCTCCTAATGCTTTCCCTCCCCCAGCCCCCCACCCCACCACAGGCCCCGGTGTGTGATGTTCCCCTTCCTGTGTCCAAGTGTTCTCATTATTCAATTCCCACCTATGAGTGAGAACATGCGGTGTTTGGTTTTTTGTTCTTGCGATCGTTTGCTGAGAATGATGGTTTCCAGCTTCATCCATGTCCCTACAAAGGACATGAACTCATCCTTTTTTATGGCTGCATAGTATTCCATGGTGTATATGTGCCACATTTTCTTAATCCAGTCTATCATTGATGGACATTTGGGTTGGTTCCAAGTCTTTGCTATTGTGAATACTGCCGCAATAAACATACGTGTGCATGTGCCTTTATAGCAACATGATTTATAATCCTTTGGGTATATACCCAGTAACGGGATGGCTGGGTCAAATGGTGTTTCTAGTTCTAGATCCTTGAGGAATCACCACACTGTCTTCCACAATGGTTGAACCAGTTTACAGTCCCACCAACAGTGTAAAAGTGTTCCTATTTCTCCACATCCTCTCCAGCACCTGTTGTTTCCTGACTTTTTAATGATCGCCATTCTAACTGTGTGAGATGGTATCTCATTCTGGTTTTGACTTGCATTTCTTTGATGGCCAGTGGTTATGAGCATTTTTTCATGTGTCTGTTGGCTGCATAAATGTCTTCTTTTGAGAAGTGTCTGTTCATATCCTTTGCCCACTTTTTGATGGGGTTGTTTGTTTTTTTCTTGTAAATTTGTTTGAGTTCACTGTAGATTCTGGATATTAGCCCTTTGTCAGATAAGTAGATTGCAAACATTTTCTCCCATTCTGTAGGTTGCCTGTTCACTCTGATGGTAGTTTCTTTTGCTGTGCAGAAGCTCTTTAGTTTAATTAGATCCCATTTGTCAATTTTGGCTTTTGTTGATGTTGCTTTTGGTGTTTTAGACATGAAATCCTTGCCCATGCCTATGTCCTGAATGGTATTGCCTAGGTTTTCTTCTAGAGTTTTTATGGTTTTAGGTCTAACATTTAAGTCTTTAATCCATCTTGAATTAATTTTTGTATAAGGTGTAAGGAAGGGATCCAGTTTCAGCTTTCTACATATGGCTAGCCAGTTTTCCCAGCACCATTTATTAAATAGATTCGAATCCTTTCCCCATTTCTTGTTTTTGTCAAGATTGTCAAAGATCATATGGTTGTAGATGTGTGGTATTATTTCTGAGGGCTCTGTTTTGTTCCATGGTCTCTATCTCTGTTTTGGTCATATTTGGTAAAATATTCTTATTACAAATGTTTAAATTCATTTAAATGATCAGCTTATCATTTATATTTTTAAGCTTATATGTTTAATAATTATAAATTATTAAACATATTATCTTCAATGTCCCCTTTCCATGGTCTCTATTCCTAAATTTTATCATGAAGTGCTGTTTTAAATCATTCTAGCACCATCAAACAGGAAAATTCAAGAGTTTTTAACTAAAGATTCATTATTTTCTTATTTTTCTGTAAAGTTTTATTCCTTTTATTACTCATAATAATTTAAATATAAAACTATTTTAAATTTTCTCCATTTTCAAATAATATGCTTTGCAGAATTCCTATTTTTACTTTTGGTTTTTAAATATCAGCAATTCACCTTCAATGCTCAAGCTTTGCATATATATTTTTAAAATACCATTACATTTTGTTAAGCAATCTCTAAAGACACATATAGAAAACTAATTTATGTGTTCTATGAAATTATCCCCAAAAACTATAGTACAAGATGTTAATACTTAATTGGGTCAGGATTATCTCTGCCAAATTATCGATGTACATGGATGAACGCCAATACACTATTTTTATAATATTTATACTAATGAAAATTTTATAAAATTTATAATAATGAAAAGTTTTACTTTTCTTCTTGTTTTGACCCTTCATTGCCCCAACTAACACACTATTTTGTATGCCTCTAGGTCTGTCCCTGCCTTTTATTTGGACAACACCCATTATCACAGAAATGTCCTTCATCATCTTTAAACCAATTCCCAAAGAACATCAATTGTCATTTTTCTCTCAAGTTACAGGAAAAGTGAAGGAAATTAGACTAGACTCTCAGCAGGGGAGTACATCATTTTTCAGCTGGTTCATACCAATCTTTTGCCAAATCTTTCGCCCAGCTTTCATATGTACACAGAACCTAGTTTAATAGAAGAAATGATACAAACAATGAGGTGAGACGCTATTTATAAAATAGTCTTTTATTCACTGTCTAGAAAATAGAGCTCCAACTGGAAGTTTAAAAATGGGGTATTACCTCTGCTGCTTACATTGCTGAACAATAATAAGTTTTTATGCTGGAAGATAAACCAGAACAACTGAGAATCACTCTTTCTACAGAAAACGTTTAAAGAGCAAAATCTGCAGAAGATACAGGGAGAAATTAAGCCTGATTATATCCTCCAAAATGAAAAGGGGAAAATGTTCTAAATCCTACACAAAGAGAGTATGTGGTCAGATAAGTTTAACTGCTGCCAAAAACAATTTAATCAGCCATTCTTTCTAAGATGTCTATATGACTTCTGAGAAACAGAGTACTTTTGAACAAAGATTAAATTGCCTCCACTGTGAATGGTACCAGCTAGTCATATCCTGATGTGTCATAGAGGACAGACAGGGACTTAAACCCAATACAAAAGGAAGAATATGAAGAAAAAAAATAAAGGAAGCATTGATGATCAAACAGTTAACTGTTCACAGCAGTGATTTTTTTTTTTAAATCCCCTTCTACAACTAAGCAATAGAATGACCCCTAACAATGTGCAACAAAACACTGCAGAAAATTGTTTACCTTGAAGCAAAAACGAAGATCATTCATTTCAAAGCAAAACTGCAGCGCACAGCATTCTATGGTAAAACTTAGATAACCATGTAAGCATTAAAGAACAATTCCTTTGCACAATAGAAGGGGAAAATATTACCTAGAGAGTTCTACCTCTGGCCTACTAAGTCTAAGCATGTATTAAAGGCAGGAGAACTCTGAGGAAAGAAATATTAAAAAGCAGAGACCAGCAATATTTGACAAGAGCTAAATTCTTTAAACCAGTTCCTGTAAGATCCCATTTAGATTTCCACGTGAGACATAAACAGCTATGGAAATCGTTTTCAAAAATCATTAGGTCTACGAAATTTATCTACAGCTTGCAAAATTTGCATTAACCAAGTTCACATGTAACAATTCATATTTATTCTTTCATCCTGCCTAACCAATTCTAACTTCTATAGTTTCCCTCAGAGTGAAAGAACATTCAAATATAGTTTACATTCCTGTGCACAAGAAATTGAGAATGTCTTGCTAGGTTAGGTTACACAAAATATTAAAAGCACATTATGTACTTTTAATATGTAAGTACATACATGTATATATAAGTACATACATGTATATACAAATGTGTCCATGTACCTACAGACTAATGTATCAGAATTTGTACTTAAATGCAGTGTGAAATATTGCATACATATACAAAATGTGTATAACTATGTCTATATATGGTTATATATGAATATGTATTTAATTTGTGTGTGTGTGCTCGGTATGAGTATGTGTGTATACAGTTATGTATCTATTTATATCTATCTATCTATCTATCATCTATCTATCTATCATCTATGGAGAGAGAGGAGTCCATGCCCACTGAATAAGACAAATATGTTTGCTTCTTTAGGTAATATGTTCATCACGATTCTGCGCAGACACTGAGGTTGTCATCGTGGCATCATAAACATTTAAAATTTTAACTGATGACTTGCAGATATACATGTTTATTCCCCTGCTTCCTGATTGATTATATATTGTAAAGAAAAGTTTGCTTTATTTATAGGTGAGCTCTTCAAACATGAGACAATGAAAAATTTTGAGACAAATTAGAAATAAAAATAATAAAACAGCATTTTTTAACTAGCCTAAGTTAATTTTTATGGATCAATTTTCCTTCTCTCACTCCACTGTAAACAGATACGGATATCTCCATGAAGATAAGTAACCTTTATCCAGATAGATCATTATTTGTTACCTTGAGAGGTAATAAGGTCAATTTCATTTATGCCAAAAATTGTTTGTAATTTAAAATTATGTAAGTGGAAAGGAAATAAAGTGATGAGAATAATCTCAAAGGAATTATATAGCAATAAAAATAAACTAACTGTTGATGGATAATGTAAAACACATAATCTTCAGATTACCTAGCTACACTTAGCATATTAAAGTAATAATTTTGAGAGGCAGATATTAAGACAAATATTAACCAACTGGGCATTTCTGGATTGAGAGAGGAAGATAAAAATTTCTTTAAAATGTTTATTGAAGATATTTGAAAATCACTATGAATATATAAAGCAACTAATTCTGACCAAGAATAATGTCTAGCATTCAAGGACTTACTTACCTTGGGCTGGCTAACATTATAAATATCTTAAATGCATTAACTTGTTTAATTTTCACGAGAATCTTGTGAAATGGATATTATGTCTAAACCAATTTCAAAAATAAGAGCATTATGTCACATGGATATATATATGTGTGTATGTATATATCATCTACATTTTTAGGTAAGTAATTTGCTATTGTGTAAAATATTTAATTTCAATGTTTGTTTTTACCTAACATTAATATATACATATACATACATACGTATACACACCTACATGCACCAAATCCAGATATTTTTCTGGGTAAGAAATTCATTGTCCTTACTAAGATAATAAAATGTTTTCTTAGTCTCTCATGAAATTTTTAATGAATGTGCTATACTAGGGCTTCATGTTTTATAACTCTCCATCTAATTCTGGAAACTATCTCTGAACTTATACTGGATGTACTTAGAATGTACAATTTTATAAGTTTTGACACATATATACATATCTGTGAAACTATCACTATCATTAAGATAATAAACATATCAATACCCTTAAAGTTTCCTGATGTCCATCACCCCCAGATGTTTCCTCATGTTCTTTGTAGTTTCTCCCTCCCAATCCTCCTTGCCCACTTCTGCACAGCCAACTACTGTTTACTTTCTGTCACAGTCATTAGTCTTGGTTATTTTTTTGGTGTTCCAACAGCCGTATAGTGATATCTTATTGTGGTTTTAATTTTGCATTTCCCAAATGACAGATGATATTATTCATTGCTTCATATGCTTATATGCTATATGTGTCTCTTTCATGTGTGAGTTTTAAACAGTTTTTTGACACCTTTGAATTTATTATTTAATAACAACTAAATTACAAAGGGCTTTGTATACATCAGGCACAGTTCAAAGTCCTTCCTTATATATACTAATTCTTTTATTTCTTTTTCTTTTTAATTTTTTTATTATACTTTAAGTTCTGGGTTACATGTGCAGAACATGCAGTTTTGTTACATAGGTATATACGTGCCATGGTGGTTTGCTGCACCCATCAACCTGTCATCTACATTAGGTATTTCTCCTAATGTTATCTCTCCCCTTGCCCCCCAACACCCGACAGGTCCCAGTGTGTGATGTTCCTCTCCCTGTGTCCATGTGTTCTAATTGTTCAACTCCCACTTATGAGTGAGAACATGCGATGTTTGGATTTTTTATCTTGTGTTAGTTTGCTGAGAATGATGGTTTCCAGCTTCATCCATGTCCTTGTAAAGGACAAGAACTCATCTTTTTTTATGGCTGCATAGTATTCCATGGTGTATATGTGCCATATTTTCTTAAACCACTCTATCATTGATGGACATTTGGGTTGGTTTCAAGTCTTTGCTATTGTGAATAGTGCTGCAATAAACATACATGTACATGTGTCTTTAGCATAGAATGATTTATAATCCTTTGGGTAAATGCCCAGTAATGGGATTGCTGGATCAAATGGTATTTCTAGTTCTAGATCCTTGAGAAATTGCCACACTGTCTTCCACAATGGTTGAACTAATTTACACTCCCACCAACAGTGTAAAAGCATTCCTATTTTTCCACAACCTCTCCAGCATCTGTTGTTTGCTGACTTTTTAATGATCGCCATTCTAACTGGCGTGAGATGGTATTTCATTGTGGTTTTGATTTGCATTTCTCTAATGACCAGTGATGATGAGCATTTTTTCATATGTCTTTTGGCTGCATAAATGTCTTCTTCTGAGAAGTGTCTGTTCATATCCTTTGCCCATTTTTTGATGGGTTTGTTTTTTTTTCTTATAAATTTGTTTAAGTTCTTTGTAGATTCTGGATATTAGCCCTTTGTCAGATGGATAGATTGCAAAAATTTTCTCTCGTTCTATCAGTTGTCCGTTCACTCTGATGATAGTTTCTTTTGCTGTGCGGAAGCTCTTTAGTTTAATTAAAATTTTTTGTTTTCTCTTTTTCAGTTTTTATATTCTTGATGCAGAATTTTTTAATACACTGGATACAAGTCCTTTTTCAGGTAAATAATTCATTATTAAGTATGATATTTTGTTTTATTTCAATGTCTGATTCTTTGTACCTAACATGAATTCCTTTTTTTTTTTTTTGCGTATTTATCATGTATCTTGCAAGCTTGCTAAATTCACTCATTAGTTCTAGTAGCACTTTAGTAAATTCCATGTGATTCTCCACAAAAACAATTATCTTGTCTGCAAGTAAACCACCATGGCACACGTATACTTATGTAACGCAACTGCATGTTCTGTACATGTATCTTAGAACTTAAAGTAAATTTAAAAAAAAATAAACCTAAGCTTACGTCTTTTTTTATATAAATGTATTTTATGTATTTTTCTTATGTTATTGTACTAACTAGAAGCTCTGGTACAATGTGGAAAACAAGTAGGGAGAATAAACATGCTTACTTTATTGCTAATCTTAAAAGGAACGCAGTTAGTTTTTTCTCATTAAGTACTAATTAGGCAGACATCCTTTACAAGCTTGAGAAGCTTTCCTTGTATTCTTAGTTTGCTAAAAGTGTTGTTGCTTTTTCTTTAAGTCTTGAGGGGTTTTTCTTTATTTTAATTTTGTTTTGGTAAAATGCATTTGCACATTTGTTGAGATGATCATATGGTTTTTAAATTTGATAATGTAGTAAATTACATTGATTTATTATGAAACGATAAACCAAACTTGCATCTCTGGTGTAAATTCCACTTTGTCACGATGTATTATATTTTTTTATATATTGTTGAATTTTATTAGCAAAAATTTTGCTAAGACTTTTTACATCTATGTTCATGAGGAATATTGATCTATGCATTTTCTTTCTTGAAATATCCCCATATAATTTTTGCATTAGTAATAGTATTAGTAATATAATATTTATTTCTTCTCAATTTTGGGGGGAAAATATGGATAGAACATACATTGTTTATATAGAGGTCACCAGTGAAAACATTTGAACCAAGATTGTTGCTTTTTTTTAAAAAAAAATTAACAACAAATTATATGTTTCTTATAGATATAAAGCTTTTCAGGTTTTAATTTCTTGTAGAATGAGAGATGGTGGTTTGTACATTTTAAAAAATGTATTTTACTAATATATATATATATTTGAGTAAATGTTTTCATAATACTCCTGTATTATACTTTTTAATGTCTGTAAAATATGTGGTGGTATCATTTCTCTCATTCTTGGTATTTATAATTTATATTTTTACTTTGTTTCTTGATCAGACTGGCTAAATCAATATTATTGATCTCAAAGAACCTGGTTTTGGTTTTCTTTAATTTATTTGTATGTATGTTTTGTTTTCAATTTTATTAAATTTCACTCTAATATTTATCAATTTTTTTCTATTGTATAATTGATTTCATTGGCTCTTCAGTTTTTTTGCTTATATCGTAGAAACTAGGGCCATTTTCCTGTTTTAAAATACGTGCTTAGTGCTGTAAATTTCTTAAGTGCAGCTTTACCTGCATACACAAATTTTGATAGGTTGTGTTATGAATTTTATTCCATTCAAAATCATTTCTAACTTTCCTTTGAGTTCTACTTTGACTCATAGATTATGAACAAAAGTGTTATTGAATTTTCAAGTATTTGGAAATTTTCCTGAGATTTTCTGTTGTTGATTTCTAATTTAATTATATTTTATGATAAGAGAATTTCTTTAGTATGATCTGAATTTTTGAAATTCTATTGGGACTCATTTTATAGTCCTAAATATGGTCTATTTTAATAAATGAGTTTTTTTTTTTTTTTTTTTTTTTGGAGAACCTAAATGGGTGTGCATTCTGCTCTTGTTGGATGAAGTATTCTGTAATATCCATCCGGACAAATTATTTTATAGCATTATTCAAGTCTGTTACGTACTTGTTCATTATCTTTTTATTTCTCCTATCAGTTACTCAGAGGAAGATAATAACATCTCTGACTTTATTGGTAGATTGTCTGTTCTCCTTGCCATTCTATGAGATTTCGCTTCATGTATTTTAAAGCTCTGCTATCTGGTACATAAACACTTAGGATTTTTATGACCTTTTATAAAATTTACTTTTTTAACTCTGATATATTCTTTATTCTAAAGCGTACATTCTCTGATGTCAAAATAGTAACTACAATATTCCTTTAGTGTTGGCATAGTATTTTTTGTTTTTCCTACTTTTCACCTATTTGTGTTTTTATATTTAAACTGGATATATTGTACAATTTATATAGAGTTGAATCTTGCATTTCTATCCACTCCAACAATCTCTGCATTTTAATTGGATGTTCAGGACATTAATATTTAATGATTATTGCTATTATTGGGTTTAAATCTACCATCTTTCTATTTTTTATTTAAAGCCAATTTTACTTTATTTCTTCTATTAACCTTTAAATCAACTTTTTATCACACAGTTGATGCAAGTTTATTGTAGAAATATAAGAAAATAGAAGCCAATATTTTTTACCTAAATTTTTCTTGATTTGTGAAAAGTCTGATCTATATTTATGAAAGTCTTTGAGTGCAGTGCTACAGGAGACAAAAAAGACATCATTGATCAACCTGGTTCTTTTACATTCTGTTTTGTGATATATAACAGAAAATCCATGTCACTCTCCCTGGGTGGACTTTTTCATTAGAAATAAGAAAAAAAAAAGCTAAATTATTATGGTTGGACTCTTCAGTTTAATTAACTACAATGAATCAAGGTTTTTATATAAGCTGTCATAATTAGATTTTGCTGCCAAATTTTGAGAACCTAGAGAAAAGAAAATATATTTTTCTTTGAAGAAATCTCCTTTCTGAAGTCTAAAAGTTATACTTTCCAGTTATGGAAAATTAACCATGTACCAGACATTGTGCTAAGTATTTCATACATATTTTATTTAAGCTTCATAAGTAGCTCAAGATAAGTATTACCCACTCTTTAACAAAAAGTAAAATTAATACAGAAAGATGAACTTGTTCCATGTCACTAATCTTTTCCTCTTAACCCTAGGCTAGATTTTTCCTCTTCTTTTTCCTTTGTGTTACTTTCTTTTTCCAGCATGAGCATGGTTCTACCTCATCTAAATTAGAATAGGAATTTCTTAAAATTTCAGTGAAAAATAGCTGATATGAAAATAAGTCTACTTCCTGAACACCTGAACATCACCAGTGAAATGTCCTACAGTTGAGCGACTCATGGTGGCAGAGAAATAGATGAAGTGCTTCATCTCTGTTCTAACTGAGGCTGAGCCAATATATTGTTCTGCTTCTGGAGATTATTTATTCCACCTCTCTGGCTAGGCAGTCTGTGGTATGGTCATACAATGAATCCCTTCTACCTCTCTTCATTTCCACCTACTCCCCAGTGCAATTCTACTCAAGTTTATGAATTTCCACATTACTGTTCTTCATTTAATACCTCCTCACAAGTCTATGTCTTAAAAGAGGGCATATATACCCTTTCATCTCCACACTGCTATATATGGAGTCCTTCTTCCAAATCTTGTTTAAATCTTGCGGATAATATTTACTCACTTATTTTTAACAGCTCTGTTGAGACATAATTGATATGCAACAAACTGCACATATTTAACGTATGTGATTTCATGAGTGTGGAGATATGCACACACCTATGAAACCATCACTGCAATCAAGGTAATAGACATGTCCTTTATTTCCAATACTACCCTTGTATCCCCTACCCATTGTTTTAATAGTAAGAACTTTATATGAGATACACTCTGTTAACAAGAGTGCACAATACAATATTGTTAACTCTAACAATATTGCTATGTTGTACTGCAGATCTCTAGAACTTACTCATCTTGCATAATTAAAATTTTTGATTTTTTCTTTTTGGTCTTAACTATTCCTTCATTCCCTTTTCCCATGTTTGGACTGTGTATTATTTATTATTCAATTTTATCGCCTTTGTTGACTCATCAACCATTATTCATGTTTAGTTGTTCTGTAGGATTTATTGCGCATATCTGTAACTTATCTGAATGTATATTAAATTGATATTGTGTTACTTTACATATGCATAACAACTTCCATTTTTCTCTTCCAAGCCTTTGTGCTATTGCTATCATCTTATTTCCACATGCTATAATCTCCACAATACATTGCTCTCATTTTTGCTTAAAACATTGAATTATGTCTTCAAAATATTTAAATAATAAGAAAAAAATCTCTGTATTTATAAAGGTAGTTATCATGCCTATTGCTCTTCCTTCCTTTAAATCCTGGTTTCCAGTCACTGTCACTTTCCTTCTGTTTAAAGGACTTACTTTAATACATTTTTGCAAATCTGATTGTGATAAATTCTTTTAGCTTTTTTATTTCTGAAAATGTCTTTATTTCACTTTCATGTTTGAAAGATATTTTTGTTGGGTAAAGTATTCTAAGTAGATTTTTTATTTCTTTCAGTACTTTAAAAATTGTGCTTCACATCCTACTTACATTACCTCCAAAAAGAAATCTGTTGTCATTCTTATATCTGTTCCTATTTATGTGATATCTGTTTGTTTTTCTCTCTGCCTGTTTTAAAGATTTTCTTTACATTCTTTGTGGCTGGCTGTTGCAGTTTTATTATTATATGCCTTGTATAATTTTCTTCATGTTTCTTGAACTTGCAGTTAAGTGATTCATTCACATTCTTGGATCTGTAGATATTCACTTTCATCCAAGTTGGAAGATTGTGAACTAATATTTTTTACAAATTTTTTTTCTACCTATTCTTATTTCTCCAGGACTCCAGCTACACATATATTTAGCTTTTTCACAGTTCATTTATGCTTTTTTATGTCTTTTGTTTAATTCTTTGTGTGTATGTGTGTTAACGTTGTGGATTGATTCTGTTTCTGTCTTCAAGTTATCAATTTTTCTTCTGCAGTTTATAATCTGCCATTAATGTCATCCAGTAAATTTTTTTCATCTCAGGTATTAGAAATTCAATCTTTAGAAATCTGATTTGAGACACTTTTATATTTCCATGTCTCCATTTAATATGTCCAATATATCCTCTAGATTTTTGAACATAGGAAACACACATATAATATCCTTTTAAATATTTACTTTTTGCATGCCTGGCAATTTTTTAATTAGATCCCAATCATTACACATTTTGCCCTGATGAGAGCTGATTATTTTTGTATTCCCCAAAATATTTTTGGGTTTAGTTCTGGGCTGTAGTTAATTTAAAAAGGGTTTGATTCTGTTGGGTCTTATTAGGCATGACCAAAGAAGCATTTCCTCTAGGATTAATTATTCCCTCCCAGAAGACATAACCCTTCTTAATATTCTAACCAATGCCCAGTGAGTTATAAGGGTTTCCACTCTGGCTGTGGGGAATAAGTACTCTTCTCAGCTTTGTATGATTTGGGCATTGTTCCCTTAGTCCTTTCATGTGGTTCTTTTCACCTCAGGTATTTAGTGACATATAAAGATTAATCAATACTCAAGAAAATACTTGAGGAGAACATTTACAAATCTCTAGAGTTCTCTCTTTATTCAGCTTTCTCTCCCATATTCTGTCCTGTCAATTCTAGCCCCTTTGGCTTCCCTGAACTCTTAGCTTAGTCTTTTCAGTTCTGGAAGACAGATAGTCTCTGCCAGGATATTGCCCTCCTTGGCCCTGCTCCACAGCATAGAAAGTTGCTCTAGACATTAAGCTGGAGAAATCATAGCTACATCCTTGTTTGTGTCCTGTCTCTCAGAAATTACTGCCCTTTATTGCTTGATGTACAATTGCTTAAGAACTGTTGTTTCATATACTTTTCTTATTGTTTAGTTGTTTCAAGAAAGAGGGTAACTCTAGTTATTATAATTTCAACTCTGCTAGAAGCAGAAGTTAAATACATTTACTTTTTAAATAATGAAACTGCATTGTATATGCCATTTTTTCATGTTTCTTTTCACTTGTATAAAATTTCTTTGAAGTTAATCATGTTTACTGATGTTTTAAAGAAGATTTTTAAAAGAAACTATTTCTGTTCCTTTAGAAAAGAGCAAAAATTTTTATAAAGGTAAGTCTTCCAAAGAGCATAGTATCTGGAAACACAAAACCAAGAGAAAATAAAGATTAAACCTATTAAAAGGTCCATGGATAAACCTTTTGTTTTAGTTTACTGAGACACTTCTGAGAGCCACCATGATCAATAAATGAACATATCTTTGTAATTTCCATATTTTCTCTACAATCAGTAATTTGGCATGTAAGGCATGGGATCCCTTTCAAGGACAAAAGCAGATTGGCACAAGTGTGATTAGAATCTAATTATTTGGAGTTGCATGGACCAGAGATTGAAGAAACAGCATATGTACTATTACACTTTGAGTTTATTTCAACAAGCAAAAGGTCCTTTAAATGCATTACAACTTCTTCCTGTACATTCATAATACAGGATGTGAAAACTGTAAAGCTGAAGACAGTCATTAAACTACCACTCCAAGTGTGTGTGAATCATGTAAGGGCAGTTCCATTGCAGGAGAGATTGTTCAATGGCTCTGTTTTAAGACACATTAGCGATAATCTTTTGAAGTAAGGAAAACCTAGATATTTTATTTGGAAAAAGCATTTATTTAGCATCTATCTATCTATCTATCTATCTATCTATCTATCTATCTATCATCTATCTATCTAATATGTATCTATTTTCTGTGTTTGATACCTCACTCCTTGGATTTGAAGCCCATTGGAATTGCGTACCTTCAATGAAACAACTTAATTTCTTCATGTTTCTATTTTCTCAATTTAGAATATGAGAAAAATCATCAATTTTTTCAATAGACTAAAAAAGAAAATTGATGGAAGCCCATAACACAATGTTTGGTCTATTTCTGCAATAAATTTTAGCTATGAATTCCTGCTGAAATCTTGATCTTAATCATTACTAATTTTCTATGATTTTTCTCTCTGCCCTGTGTCAGTCCAGAAAGGAAGCAGGTTTTGTTCATTTCTTTGTTTATTTTCATTCAACCGCACTTAACACAAAATTATTTAATGTTAGCATACTTGATTAATGTCTTGAGGAAACAGAAAGGCATTATATTACAGCACTGCCCAGCAAACATTTTTAGAAATTGAATTTTAACTGGTCATAAATATCTGTTACTCATTCTAGCTTCTGAGAATTCTTCACAGGTAGCTATTTCAGAACAATTGCTCAGATCCTCTTCCCATCTCCCATCTGACTGTACCCACACATAAATTCTGCTAATTTCTCACACAGAACAGTCTAGCTCCAACTCACTCTTTCTCTTCAGCCTCATATTTTTGTCTACATAGCTTTATTAAGTGTACTTCTAAATGATTCCTGAAATGGATTCCGTAATTAGCTTTTAACTAATATTTATCTTATAGAAGGAAGGAAGTAGGAAAGCAAGAGAGAGAGGGAGAGAAGGAGAAGAGAAAGAGAGGGAAGGAGAAGAGAAAGAGAAGGAAGGAGAAGAAGAAGGAGAGCAGAGAAGGAAGTCTTGAGAAATTAGCCCACTTCAATGTAAACAAAATCATTTTAAGGAAATCTCTTCATTTGATTCAATATAAATGCTGTGCTTTCTTGCAAAAGGCATCCAGCTCAAAATGATCTTTTTCGCTGATTAAAGCATTTTGTCTGAACTTGCTATATAAATTGTCATCAAAGTGCCAAGATGCTGAGCTTCTTCCCAAGTTACCCATTGTATGCAGGTCTTCAGTAGAGAACACTTGATAATAATGCTTTTCCCAAACAACTCATTGCAAAAAAAAGCTGGATCATCTGACCTCTAAGGTCCTTTCCAACCTTGAGATTTTAAAAGGCCATGATTTCCTTGTGTGTATACAAACCTCACAGAAAATTTAGAAATTTTATTAGGTCTTATTCAAATTCATGGAAAAGGCTAAATAAATGCTGAGTTTTTAATATTTCACTCAAATGGATTTATATGCAAATGTTAGCATAGACGTAGCCTGTCTGTATTTATTGACTTGATGACTATTATCTATGTGGACTTCTTTAAAATATTCATTATCATATTATCTAAAAGAGCCCGAAGTGTGAAGACTATTTAGGTTCAGCATTATCTATGAGTGGGTGTATTTGTTTCATGTGTTTAGAAAATGATCATTTGAAGGCTTACCGTAGTTCTTGGAACACAATATGTCTCCTTGAATTCACCTTTCAAACATTAAAATAAAGACACAGTTACCTGGTTTATCTTGCCCTGGTTAGGATTCTACCAGCGCTGCAGTATTGGGTATGCTACGTTTATTTATGTCTTTTCCCGGGGCTTCTTTCACTAACTGTTCATATTTTTCTTCCTTTGTTATTTTGTGCCCTGTCGCATAGCTCAGTCAATCAGCTATTGCAGTCAGGGCTGATGCTGCAGGATTCAAACAAAGGCCCACTAGCAACAAAAAGAAACAATGGCAAGAGCAAGCTGTAGTCTGTATATCACTGGATCAGCTGATCAATCCATGATTGAATTGTTTTTAAATGTAAGTCAATTCAAGAACAGGGCTCAGAGATATATATTTGAAGCATGAAAGAAAGGGAGAGGTGTGGTTTCAGAAGGGTTTTCTTCATAACGGTGTTAAGCTGACCTTGCATTTACAGATAGAGGATCAGGGAAAGCTATATGAAATTGTGAGCAGTATGAATAAGTGCTGTTTATAGGATGCTGTTTTAATACCCTTGCTAAAGCTGAACAAAAGTAAGAGACAAAGCTCTGAAAAATGCATGCCTTTCCCTGTGATTGATCCTTTTATCTTCCCATTCCTGCAAGATGATAAAAAGCATTTACAGGGCAAACAAGCATTAGTGCCTTTATTTTCCTCAAATATGAGAAATCTTCCTTATTTAGAATTTTGCTATTAAAGCATTCACCATAGGATGTTATTTTTCTCCTAGTTTAAAAATAGAAAAGAATTTAAGACTGTGAAGTGAAAAGCTGACTTTTGTATAAAAGCCTTTCATTTTATTTGTATTTGTAACTAATGAACTCATTCTTGGCATAAGGGTAACTGGAACGATGGTAAAAGTAAAATAGACTTTGAAGGAAATGGGCTTGGTTCAAATCTAGATAATATTAGATGAAAATACCCAGGACCGAATAATAAATGGGGAAAAGTAAGCTTTCAGCCTACATTGATTCCCACCACTCTTGTTTTTACTTTGCTACTTCTAGGCTTCTCTATTAAGCCATAATTCCATCATTGCACATTGTATATTGAATGGGAAAAATGGTATTTATTTAATATCAACATTGTATCGAATAGCGACCTAAATGCTTGTCACTCAATTCTTGCAGCTATTTCTCCGGATACCCCCACCTTCCTTGCTCAAGAAAACTGCATTATGGAATCATTAATAACATGCTCACTGCACTTGGCTTGTAAGTGCCAAAAATGAGGTGTGAAACAGATATGATTAAATCCAAGGATTGTGTTTCTCTACCTCAATGATTCTCTCAATGTTAGGGCAAATCAAAATTCCTTGGAGAGCTTGTAGAAAGACAGGTTGTGAGGCCCCATCCCCAGAGTTTCCATTCAGTAATCTTGGGTGGGACTGGAGAATCTGTATTTCCAACAATGTCCCAGGTGATGTTGATGCTGCTGGATTGAGCACCACACTTTAAGAATCACTGCTCAACACTGAGCTGCCTCTCATCAGAAAGACCCACTTGGGGTATTTTACATTTTACTGTGGACAAGATTTGCAATTCAAGGCTAAATGTTTGAGAATCATTTGAAAGATGAAATACTACATGCTGATGAATTAAATTTTATTAAATTCTTATTTCATATGCATCTAGAAATTTGCATGCTATGGGGATTAAAATAATGAATAAAATATAATCCTGGTCTTCCAAGAGCTCATCAACTAGCTGAGATTACAGTCATAGGTAAATACTTAAATCTATCATTAGAAAGGCAAACATCGTAAATGCTTTAGCAGAAGTCTTTTTAAAAATGTACTTTGGGAATATGAGATAGGAAATTCTTTCTTAAAAAAAATTGCAAAACCTCCTTACATGCAACTGGTTTCACACTCATGCCACTTTCTCCTGTCTCTTGCCTTCGGATGAAACTAAATATACTCCATTTACTGTGGCTACATCTTCAAATCCCACTTACACCTAAGTCACAAAATAAGACTTTCACATCAAACACACTAGTAAAGTTGCACTAGGAAAATTCACCACAACCTTTTAATGGCAACACCTAAGAGTGTGAAAACACCTCTTATGTTTCTGCAGCATTAGACATGATTGATCACTCTCTTCCCTGTACTCAACCACCTTGGCACAGGTGACCCCATCCTCTCCCTTCTCCACCCACCTGAACTTCTCAGCTCATTCCTCTTCGTTGGAACAAAACTACTCTTGCCTCCATCTAGTCTTTATAAATTTTCCCTTGGCTCTCATACCAACCAAGTCACCCTCCATCCTATGGAGGAATGATTTTTATTAAAATGCAAGTCTATTCATCTTACTCTCCTGCCAAAAAACATCCACTGAATCCCAGTTGCCTAAAGGCAAACAAGGCTTCTAACCGTCTGCTCTGATTCTCCGTCTGATTCCTTGCTGCTGTCTCTAGTTTCCCTTCTGAAAGCTGCACCTAAGCTCAAATCATACTTGCTAAATGAAAATACCCATAGGCCCTAAAAGGGGCCACACTATGGTATGTTCTATGCCTTTAATCATTCTTACTTCTCCTTAAGAGTCCCATCCTGGAACTGCTCAAGTCCAAGATCTCCTTTCCTAAACAGGTTTTCCTAACAAACTCTGCCACTTGAAGAAATTATGTAACCTTTCTGTTTTGCCATCAGTACAATGAGGATGATAGTATTGACCTTACAGAATTCTTATATTCTGGACCTAACAGTGCCTGGCAGAGCATGCCATCCACAAATGGTGGCTACTGTTGTGGGACTCTATTTCACCAGCCTTCTGTCCTGTGGTGGAGAATCTTCAGGTATTCTATCAAATCTCCATATAAGACTGGAAGATTACCCATCTCTAGCAACTCATATCTGTTTTGGGGGATTATAGACATTATAGACAGGGCCAGCTACATATTTGTAGGGCCCAGTGCAAAACAAAAAGGCAGGACTCTGAGAGGGGCAGGGAAATCAATATATCTTTTCATGGCGGGACTACTTCAATGCACAGATGATTGAAGACCCTCAGGAGATTGCAACCTCTGCTCTGGGGACACTCACCAACCTAGATCATGGGTAGGTGAGAGCCAAACCCTTGTGGAAGCACAAGGCTGGAGGGAATGGCCACTTTCTTGCCCTACCATCAAGAGGCCAGTGGCAGTGCAACCATGCCCTTTTCACTCTCTGCTTGCCAATGCCCAGCCTCCTCCAAGTGTGGAGGACTACGATGGAAGGTAGGCCTCCCCCCATACCATTGTGTCAAGAGAGAAGTTTGGGGAAGAGTAGCCTGGGTCAAGTGGGCATAAGGGGCCCACTTTATGTTGTGAAATGTGCCCTGAACATGCTCCCTAGTCTTACCAGACTTCATGTCCAAAACACAAACTTAAAAATAAAATTATTAAGAATTTGCAAAAGGCACTGCAAGCATGTGACCTTTCTGAGCACAGGCCTCCAGATACTGCACTGCTTGAATGCCCAAGAAGAATGTCCTGAGCATGTGTATCCCCGACTGATGAAGAAGTGTGTCTCACTCTATGGACCACACTGAACAGAATCCTGAGAAACATGAGACTAGTGCTTCTGCTCAATGATGAATGACCAACATGCAGGCATCTGTGAATTCTGACCTCCACTCTCTCCCTAAAAAACAGGTGACAAACAATCTCATTGCGTAGAGGAAAGCCATGTAAGATAGCAGTTCAGACAGTCAAACCAGCTCCTCTGAAAGGTGGGGTGTGCAGGCCTTGGCTGTTTTTTTTTGTGGCTCCCCAGCCCTGGGCATAAAAATTATTACTCAGTCTAGAGTCTGGCAGTCTCCAGATGCTCGTTTAGATTCTTTATATATCCATATAAAAGTTTTCAGTTTTCTTTAGGCATAATTAACAAATAACAATTGTATATTTTAAGGTATTTAAAGTGAGGTTTTGATATAACCTTTATGTTGTGAAATGATTACCACAATCAAGCTAATAGACATATCCATCACCTCATTTGTTTACCTTTCTCTGTGTGTGTGTATGTGCGTGTGTGTGTCTAGTGAGAACACGTAAGGTTAATTTTTTTTTTCCGAGATGGAGTCTCGCTCTGTCCTCCAGGCTGGAGTGCAGTGGTGCGATCTTGGCTCACTGCGAGCTCAGCCTCCAGGGTTCACGCTATTCTCCTGCCTTAGCCTCCCCAGTAGCTGGGACTACTCCACCACCATGCCCAGCTAATTTTTTGTAGTTTTAGGAGATGGGGTTTCACCGTGTTAGCTAGGATGGTCTGGATCTCCTGACCTCGTGATCCGCCCGCCTCGGCCTCCCAAAGTGCTGGGATTACAGGCATGAGCCACGGCGCCTGGCCCACTTAAGATTACTTTCTTAGAAAATTTCAAGTACCTAACACATTCTTATTAACTACAGTCATCATGCCGTACATTAGCTCTCCAGAACTTACTCATCTCACAGCTGCAAAATTGTATCCTTGGTTTAACACTTCATCTCCCTCCCTCCATTTCTGGTTATCATCCTTTGACTCTTTTTCTATGAGTTTGACCATATATAACTGAGATCATGTAGTATTTGTCTTTCTGTGTCTGGCTTATTTTGCTTAGCATGATATTCTCCAGGTCCATCCATTTTGTTGCAAAACACAGAACTTTCTCTTTTTTAAGGCTGAATAATATTACATTGTGCATATACATAAGGAGTGTGTATATATATAGAGCATGTGTATATATATATATATCATTTTCTTTATCCATTCATCTATCAATGCACACTTGGGTTACTTCCATATCCTGACTATTATAAATAATGCTGTAATCAATACATATAAGGATTGCAGAGATTTCTTCAAGATAATGATTTTTTGGACCTATATATATACACACACTCACACATAAACATAAACACGTATATATACACATGTATCCCCAGAAGTGACATTTCTAGAAATATAATAATAATATTTTAAAATTTTTTAGGATGCTCCATAATGTTCTTAATAATAGCTGTGCCAATTTACATTCTTGCCAACAATGTATAAGGAAGGTTTCCCATTTGTCTACATTTTCAAAAATGTCTCTTATCTTTTGGCTTTTTGATAATAGCCATCCAGTGTGAGATGACATTGCATTTTGATTGAAATCCCCTTGTTAAATAATGACGTTGAGCACCTTTTCGTATACCTCTTGAACATTTCTTATGTCTTATTTGGAAAAATGTCTGTTCATATCCTTTGCTCATTTTTTAATTGGATTTTTTGATTATTGAGTCGTAAGTTCCATTTAAAATTTAATATTAATCCCTTGTCAGATGTGATGGTTAATATTGAGTCAGATATATGATTTGCAAATATTTTCTCCCATTCTGTGTCTTGCCTTTTCATTTTATTGATTGTTTCCTCTGCTCTGCAAAAACTTTTAATTTATTTCTAGTTTAGTTGTTTATTTTTCTTCTCTTATTGATTTGGTTAAGACTTAAAATAACATATTTAATTGGCAATTATATTACCCCTTATAGGAACATCCTCCACTTTCCATCCCTGACCCTGGGTTGACTTATTATTTTAATATGCAATTTAACTGTACGTTTTTAATAAAATCTAAAGTTAACCACTTTCTTTACTGTATTCCCAAACATTAAGTGGCATTGTTTTCATTCATTTTTTAAAAAATGATTTATTGAGAATTAAGTCATTACATTCCTCAATTCACTGTAAATCTTCATAGGTACAGTATTACATTGACTCTTTCTAACCTAAGATACACATGGCTGAGTTAATCACATTGTCCATCTTCGTGAATAGACAAGAGGCTTCTTCTTTGCTTCTCTCTATCCTCTATCCCTGGGTTGCTTTGCCACCAGCTTTATGCTTCATCTCTCCCCTCTTTTTTTATACTAACAGATATCCACACTAATAAATTTAACATGTCCTTTGATTCAGTCTTACATATATTTAGTACAATATATGTTAACACTTGAAAAGCACACTATGTTTTAGTAATATTTTGTGTATTTTAAAATAATTGTTCATTGTATTTCCAAATTCTAATTTATTTCACTTCATGTTGAGGGCTTCAAAATTATTTATTTTATTTACATACTTCTGCTTTATTAATTTTGCCACAAATTTCACTATTTTAATTTACACTTAATCCACACTGCTCAATTTTCCCTATGTGGATTATTTTTCTTTTTTGCTGATTTTTTTATTGCTACTTTTTAAAACAAACATTTTATGACAAAACTCTAAAGCCTTTTTACCAAAATAATATTTATTCTATCTTCATATTTACATAGTACTTTATGCCCATAATGATAATCTATTTTTAAATTTTCCTTGAAAATTTGAAAATATTATTTCATTGTTTTCATTTTAACTGTTTATTTCTGTAATATATTAAATATAGATTACGAATTAAAAACACATTACATATTAAATACATACAAGAATATTTATAATGCATGTGTAGGATAAAATGCATAAAAGCTGAGTGAACAGTAATATATTCACTGCAGTCTAAGAAATAGAAATTTAGGTGTAATTAAAGCTTTATACCTTTCCATTCAAAAGATATGCAATCCTGACCTTTGTGTTTTTCATTCCTTTTATTCCTACTTTGTGGGGTTTACTTCATATGCCTACATTCAATAATGTTTTCAATTTTCCACTATTTTCAAATTTATATAAATGGTATTAGCTGTACATGTTAAGGACTTCCATTTTCACCCCACTTTATATTCCTCAGAGTCATCCATCTTGATTCCTATAGATGCATATAATTTATTTTCATTATTGTGTAGCATTTATTGTAGTATTGCTGTAAAATGTATTTATCTATTCTCCCATTGATTATGCTGTTTTCAGGGTTTTGGTTTTACTTTGTTTTGACAATGAAAGCTGTTATAAATATTCTTGAGCATGTCTTCTGAGATACATTTGGAAGGTTTTTCCTGGGTGAATGCCTAGGGTGGATTGCTGGATCAGTGTGTATGCCCATCTTCAACTTTGCTGGATGATGTTAAGTTATTTTTCAAAGTGATTGTACTCATTTATATTCCCACCAGCAGAATTCTTGTTGCTCACATGCTCATCAACACTTTCTATTTCTTGACATTTTATTTTTTATTAAACTGATGATAAAATTATATTTTACTATAGTTAACTTCTACTTTGCCAGTTAAATATTTTTAACATTTTTCGTTGGGGCTATTCATATATCCTCTTATTAGAAGGCTCTGTTCAATTTTTTCACATTATGTATCTTTTTGTTAATCATTTTTATAAAATCTTTACAAATCTATATTAAGCTATTATAAAAATATACATATATGTGTATGTAAGTACATACACACACAAACACATTTGTATATTACAAATGTCTTCTTCCACTTTTTGATCACCTTTTGGTCTACTGGTTAATATATGTTAGTAATTTTAATGTAAGTGAAATGCTCAAACTTTTAACTTATGTTTTATGTCTTTGTATTTGGTTTGACGAAATCATTTTTCCATTTCAAGTTTATATAGTCTACTGTGTTGTCTTATGAAGGCATTACAGTTATACATTTCACAATAGAATCTTTAGTTCTTTTGGAAATGGATAACAAAAGAAGGATGATATAGCGCTCTAATATAATTTGTCATATAAATAATCAGTTTTACCAGCGCTGTTTATTTAATAGTTCATCAGTTCTACAACTAATCTTCATTGCCATCTTTGTCAAATCTAAATTGTCCAAATATATATGAATGTATTTCTTTGTACTCTACTTTCTCATTGATCCATTTGTCTTGTTTTGCCCCAGTACACAATTTCCTTGTCAATCTCACTTAATAAACTTGGATATTTGGTATGGTAAAGCACTGACCTTTTTTTCTTTCTCAGGAGCAACTACGCTATTCTGTACCATTTGTTCTTACATATAAATTGTTAAATTATTAAATTTCATTTCAATTTCCATTAATATATTTTGAAATTTTTATTAGAATGAAAGTGAATATATAAATCAATTTGTGAGGCATTTGCAATTTCAAAATAGTGGTTTTTTCTCTTTATACGCATGGTACATATTTCCATTTATTTAAATATTTCCATTTTCTTCATTTGGACTTTGAGTACATCTTTTGTGAGATCCTAGTTGATGAATATCAGTAACATAATTTTTTTGATGACACATTCTGTTTTCTCTGGTATAAAGAAAATCAATGATCTTTAAATTAACTGTGCATTGATAATTTGGCTAAATATATAAATTTTAATGATTGATCTGTAAATCACTGTGGGTTCTTTATATACATAATCATGCTATCTTTGAATAATGAGTTTTGTTTTCCTTTATAATCATGTAATTTTATTATTTTCTTGTTTTACCATACTGATTAGATAGCAATCTTTCTTGATTTTTCATGAATATAAAGATAATTTAAAAATATATTTCACCCTTACACATAATGTGTGTATAGGTTTTTGTGGCTGTCCTTTATCAATTTTTTCTATACATATTTACCAAATTTTAAAGTCATAACTGGATGTTAATTTTTACTGACTATGATGTTTTCTACATCTTTTGAAATTACTAAAAATCCAAGAATCAGTCCTCACATAAATGGTTCAATGATTTTTTAAATAAAGAAATAGACATCTCAGTGAAACAAATTATACTAGAAAAACTGGATATCCATATGCCCCCAAATGAACTTCCATCTGTACCTCACACTACATAGAAAAATTAACTAAAAATAAATCTTAATGCAAATATAACATCTATAATAACACACCTTCTGAATTGTGCAAAGTTTTCTAACATATAACACCAAAAACACAGGATACAAAGGAAAAAAATGATGTTCTATTGCATTAAGAACGTATGCTCTTCAAAAGAAACTGCTGAGAGAATTAACAAACAAGACGTAGATTGGCGAAAAGACTAGCAAATCACACCTGCAATAAAAGATATGTCTGAGCTCAGAAAAGGCTATAATAAGAAAATGAACACCTTTTAAAGAATAGACAAAAGCTTCAAGACAAGTCACCAAAGACAATATATGGGTGGCAAATTAGCATATGAAAAGATGCTCAACCTCACTAGTCATTAGAGAAATGCAAATTAATGCCACTATGAGCTACCAGTATACACCAATTAGAATGACTAATATTTAAAAGACTAATCATTCAAGATTCTCAAGGATGTGGAGCAAATGAAATTCTCTTGTACACTGCTGGTGGGAATATAAAATGTATAACCACTTCAGAAAACAGTTTGGGAGTTTCTTAACATGCTCAGTTAAACCCTAGCCTATGACTTAGCCATTTAGCTGCTAGGCATTTACCCAAGAAAAATGAAACCATATGTCCACACAGAAACTTACACATGAATGCTCATAGCAGCTTTATTTATAATAGGAAAATAAGGAAAAGAGCCCATATATCTGTCAACAGATAAATGGATAAGAAATATTATGTTATATCCATAAAAAAGAGTATCACTCAGCAATAAAACAAAAGGAACAACTGATACATGCAACAATGTGGATGGATCTTTAAATAATTGTGTTAAGTGATAGAAGCCTAACAAAAAAGATCACAAGTAGTATTATTCCATTTACATAAAATTTAGAAAACACAAACTTACCAACAGCGATGGTTGGTTGCTTAAGGGGTGAAAGTCAGGAGGGGTAGGAGGCATGGTTTACATGAGAAAACTTTTGAGGGAGATGAATATGTTTATCAATCTGGTTGTGGTGAGGACGCCACAACTGTATATATGTCTCAATTTATCAAATTGTACATTTTATTATGTGTAGTTCATTGTATGTCATTCACACCTCATTAAAGCTGTAAAAATAAAACCACTTATTGGTAAAATATGGAATGCTTTTACTCTAAAACTGAAAAAAGAGCGAAACATCCAGTTCTGTGACTTGTATTCAACATTGCACTCCTGGCAATAGCTAACGGCAACAAGGAAGAAAATAAAAGTATTTCTGTGTAATTCAGTGAAGGAAGGCAAATCTTTTCATCATATGGTGCTGAATAAGTTAGATAGCAATATGAGGAAGAAAATGAACCTTGACTATTATTCACATTGGACACAAACATTAATTTGAGGTAGATTAATTAATTTGATTAATCTTAGTAGCATTAAAATTTGAAGAATTGTAAACTGCACTTTATCAATATTAAAAACTTCTGCTCCTCGAATGACAAAGCTAAGGAATAAAAAGTAGGAAACAGAGTAGAGAAGAATATATTTGCAGTGCATTTATCTGACAATAGACATGTATCCTAAATATACAAAGATTCTTGTAAACCAGTGATAAAAAGATAACCTATTTTTTTTAAATGGGCAAAAGATTTAGAAAGGCATTTCACAAAAGATAACATATAAATGGCCAACAGGCACATGAAAAGATGCTTAACAATTATTGGTCTTCAGGGATTTGCAAATCAAAAACCACAGAAACTATTAAGCACACGTTAGAATGGTTAAAAAACGTGAAAACGACGTAATATCTAATGCTAGAGAAAATATGGGGTATCTAGAAAACGTCCGTAATTTTGGTAGGAGTGTAAAATGACACAATGTGTTTATTAAACATACACTGACTATAAGATTCAGCAATTCTACTCTCAGTCCTGTTTCAATCAAAAGAAAGAAACTACGAACAATTTGTCCAGGGAAAGTTTAATATAAAAATAATGAAATATAACAAGAGATTATAAGTAAAGAGAACTCTAACGAATACAGGAATAGCAGATAGAATAGGCAGCCACTACCCTTAAGCGCCAAGCTAGAGAATTCAAGAACCTCAGGAAAAGGTGCAGTCCAAGCTCACTGGGCAAAGAAGAGCGGAGGTTGCTGTGTCTGTGAAACCCGCTGGAAATCGACTCCTTGGAGTTGGTCTACAAACTATTCTCAGGGGTGCTGGGGAAAGCTGTTCCTGGAGCGATGTCTCATTGGAAGTACTTGCCTACAAAACTGTCCAGGGCAAAATGGCCAGGAAAAGGTGTTGGTTATTGGGTGCTGCTGCCTGTCATGTAGGGCAGGAGTTGGATGCTTTAGCTCCATGTGTTGTAGGAGGTGAAGGCTGGAGAAGTTGCCCACAGGTAGAAACCTGCTAGAGGCACCCTCTAGCAACCTCCCTTCCTCCTGCAATGTGTTCCTGGCGCCCTCTATTGACAAACTTTAACATTGTGTCAATTGAAATGACTGAGATCCATTTTCGCAAAGCAGGCTACATTTGTGAATTTGGAACTGAGAGTTATAAATCAGTGGCCGGCACACATTCCCAGCTATTTAGTCTATAAAGTAAATTAAAACTTACATTTATCATAATAACTTTTAACAAAGATGTTTATTACATATTCATTCATAGTAACCAAAACAGGGAGAAAACCTGGAAATAACAAAAATGTTAACTAACAGAAGATTGGATAAACACAATGTGGGATATTTACACAAAATCATACTAGACAACAGGAAGGTACCACATAATAGACGTGATAACTTCAAAAACATGTTGAGCAAGGGAAGCAGGATGCAAAGCAATACGTATTGTATGATTCCACTTACATGAAGTCACAGAACGGGAAAAACTAATCTTTGGGGCAAGAAATCAGAATAGTGGCTGAGGCTGGATCAGGAAGGGTGAATGGGAATTAATTGCAAAGGGGCAGAAGGGAACAATTTAACGTGGTAGCAGAGTTCATTATTTTGATTGCATATTAATTAAATGACTGTATACAGTTGTTAAAACACATCAAACTGTACCCTGAATATGTGTGCATTTTACTCTTTATAATTTTGTGACAATTAACAAAATCTATAGTACATCTGAAAAGATAGCCTGAAGAGTTTAGATGAAAATGGCTAACTAAAGTTGTAAGAAACAACAACAAAAAAGTATGTATACATTCAATTTTTTTCCTTACTGAAAAATTCTAACACAAAGAACTTTAGTATGATTCAGTATTATTTTAGTTTTAGGTCACACAGTTTCATGTCAAAATGCAACATGAACAAATTTTTTTAGGATGATTGAAAAAACTATAGTATGTTCTATATCCACTATTATGCAGCCTCTCTCTCTTTCTCTGTCTCTCTCTTTTTTTTTTTTTTTTTTTTTTTTTTTTGAGACGGAGTTTTGCTTTTGTTGCCCAGGCTGGAGTGCAATGGCGCGATCTCAGCTCACTGCAACCTCTGCCTCCCAGGTACAAGCAATTCTCCAGCCTCAGCCTCCCAAGTACCTGCGATTAATGGCATTTGCCACCAATGCCCGGCTAATTTTGTATTTTTAGTAGAGATCGGTTTCACCATGTTGGTGAGGCTGTTCTCAAACTCCTGACCTCAAGTGATCCACCCGCCTCGGCCTCCCAAAGTGCTGGGATTACAGGTGTGAGCCACCGTGCCCGGTCCTGTAGCCTCTCTTAATTGCTAATTTTTAGTGGTTTTTATATCACTAGAAACAAAGCAAATGGGCACATGTATGTAAACAATTTTTATTTCTGTTGAAAGATTAATGTTTTAGCCTTCAAACAATAAACAGCTAAAAGGATTTGCTAACAAATTCAAACTTCCCTAAAATATGAAGCAAAGTAGAACATGGGCCACATTTGCACTGTTTTTTAGTTATGAGTCACGATAAAATGAATCATAAAGGTTATCCCATTATTGTGACCTATGTAACACACTATTGCCAAGGGAAATAAAAGGGAGTTTAATCTATTTGAAGGTATAGTCGATGAAGAGTTTTTTAGAAAACTGTTAAGCTGATAGCTATGAATAATTATACAGAATAAATTTATTAGAGACAGAGTCAGCATAATTTTTACAATATAATAATATGGCCATTAGAATTACAACAATCTGTCTAGCACATATTTTTAGAAGAAAAATCAACACATTTGTTGAACTCATTTGCTGGGCTCAATTCCATTTGCCAATGTGCACATTGCCAAGACATATTTTTGTAGAGCAAAACATGAATAAAGGTGGGCTATGCATATAACTGATGTAAGTAAAGCAGTAACATCAAGTAAATGTTTGTTTTTATGTCAAAATAAAACAAGAGTTAGAGTGGAGATGAAAGTCTTGATATTCTTGTATTTTCTATCTTTGTTGAAATGTGTGACCGTGATCAAGGTTTCTGTGGTGACAGGCAAGAATATTATCAGAGTCATGATATAGATACATTGCCTCTCATATATCTTTCTATTATTTAATATAATCATACAAGGATATGCATGAGAAATAAAGTTACAGCTATAATTAAAGAACACAGCAAAAACTGTGTACCACTAACAGACTTGTGAAGGTACAAACTTGCCAGCATAGAAAATGCTAACAAAAGTACTACTATTCTGTAAAGAAAAACACAAACATTTGCTACTATTATTTCTATGTGTCATTTGGTTATTTTTCTTGCTTTCTATACCATTGTCTTTTAGAACTTATAGCAAAACTTGAAGATGTCTATGTTGAACCCCTGTAATGGAATGTAAATTGATTTCAGTAAATTAGAATGTGTATTTTATATGAAAGGTTAAGTGAGATCCACATTTTGCTTTTCATTTTCAATAGATATTTTCAAATATGTGAGCAGCTGAGTGAAAAAGTATTTGTATAAATGACATGTCTCTATAGGTTCTTGCATTTTTATAAGACTTTTTTGGATTTTGGATTTGTATTCTTAAAAAAATCATGAAATTATTTTTTCGAGCAAAATCTAATTTTTAACATATAAATATTCTGTATTAAAAAGTTACCATAGAAAAATCCATATATGATATTGAATAGTTATTTTAATATTCTTCTCAGGATTTTATGATATCACAAAAACTCAAAGATGATATTCTAAATGTGGAGCATTCAAATACTATTATGAGGACAAAAATAGGGGAACTCTAAATGTTATGCTAATGAAGGAATTAAATATTTCAAGATTCTTATTAATTCTTTTTAGTAAACACAGTTTTATATAAAATTTATTTATTCCCCGATTACATCATCATCATATCATCATCTTGGTATAAATTAGCAAGGAGATATAAAATTACACAGAAATCATCATAAACAAGTTGCTTTTAAATACATTAAAAGACGTATAGGCAAAAACCTCAAAAACCATGACTAACATGTGATATTTAACCTGTTTCTGCTGTATGCCATAAAAACCTCCTTTGAGATTTACCTAATTTTAGCAATCAACCAAAAGACACTACAGGAAAATGGAAAGTTGAATTGTCTTTCTTGGTCTAAAGTATTATTATCATTAATATTTGTAATATAATAATTATTTTAATCCACATGTATTTTCTACCCTCAAGTATTGTTATTGAAATGTGTATTCTAAAGCATTTGCCTTAATTGTGTATTTACTATTCATATTAAAAAGCGAAATTTGTATTTAGCATAACTTGTTCTTAATGAATTAATACTGACTCCAAGAACTCTGTACACTCTTTTCTAAAGGTACTCACAAATAATCACTTCAGTAATTTATTCTCAGATTGGCTAGCCTTTTGCATAGTTCACTTTTCCCTAGTTTCAGAATCCTTTTTTCTTCTTTTAGGATTAATGAACAGTTTCACATTGTCAGTTAATACATATATATTTTTCTGTCTCTTTTTTCCTTTCTCCGAACAGTCTCTAGGATTGAGAATATTGACTTTCCAGTTACATCTTTTAATTCTTCCAGTAAATTTTGATTCATTGTATCTGAGTCTTAAGAATTGAAATTATTTTAAACTGCCAATTTTTTTTACGATCTCACATACCTAAATATTGAATTTTCTCTTGAAGGTACTTAGTTTATTATTTGTAGTATTATTATTATTATATAAGACATAAAACAGGAGTTTAGTATTTCTACAGTTCTCCTGTGATATCTCTTTTTAACCTATGCTCCTCTACACACTCTTTTAATAAATTATTGTTGTTGTTATTATTATTATTATTATTGAGACGAGGTCTCTCTCTTTTGCCCAGGCTGGAGTGAAGCGGTGCGATCTTGGCTCACTGTAACCTCTGCCTCCCGGGTTCAAGCGATTCTCCTGCCTCAGCCTCCCGAGTAGCTGGGATTACAGGCACCCGCCACCACCCCCAGCTAAATTTTTTTTTTTTTTGTATTTTTAGTAGAGATGGGGTTTTGCCATATTGGCCAGGCTGGTCTGGAACTCCCGACCTCTGGTGATCCACCTCCTCGGCCTCCCAAAGTGCTGGGATTACAGGCATGAGCCACCACACCTGGCCATAAATTATTTTCACCTTCTTTATGATTCTTCCTGTGGAATCATACATACTTAGAAAAGCATTCTATTTATCTCAAGCATCTTCTTTATTAATTTTATTATAGATAACATTAATTATTGATTCAAGTTGCATTCATTTAAGGAACGCAATTTGATCAGTCTTGTGAATTGTGTACAGTCATAAAAACACAACCATAAACAAGATACAGAACATTTCCATTCCCCACGAAAGATTCCTCATGCTCTTTTTAAAGTGCAAAACTCATCTGTGTCTGGAACCAGTCACTGATTTGCTTAAAGCCACTGTGAATTGTTGTGTAACTTACATAAGTCGAACAAAATAGCATGTACTCTTTTGTCTGGCTACTTTGATTAAGAGAAATGATTTTTAGATTCACACAATAGTATGTTTATTATTTTATATTATGGAGAAATATTTCTTTGTATGGCTACACCACATTTTATTTATCCATTCCTTTGTTGATGAGCATTTGAGATGTATTCAGTTTAGGGCTATAATTTTAAAATTCTACAAATGTCTCTGTGAGGACATATATTCTCATTTCTTTTTGGTAATACTTAGGGATGGCACCACTAAGTCATATGGTAAGTGAATACTCAACTTTTTCAGAAAGAGTCAAATAGTTTCCCAAAGAGGTTGTATCATTTTACATTGCCATTAACAGGATATGAGGTCCAGTTATTTTACATCTTGACCTTGCTTGCTATTGTTGGTCATTTTGATTTGAATCATTTTAATGGATCGATAATGGTAACTCATTGGGTTTTAGTGTGCATTTTCTTGATGGCTAACGATGTTGAACATCTTTCCCTGTGCCTATTGGCTATTTATATATCTTCTTTTGTAAAATACCTGTTCAAATCATTTGTCTATATTTTTGGCTGTGGCATTTTTTCTTATTACCATTGAATTGTCAAGATTCCTTAAATATTCTGGATGCGTATAAATGTCATAAATATATACATAATATTTTCTTTATAGAATATTCTCATTTTTATTTTAAGGATGTCTTTGAAGGATAAAATATTTTAATGTTAAAAAGTCAAATTTATTATTTTTCACTAATGATTTATGTCTTTTTTTTTTTGAGACGGAGTATCGCTCTGTCCCCCAGGCTGGAGTGCAGTGGCACCATCTCAGCTTACTGGAAGTTCTGCCTCCCGGGTTCACGCCGTTCTCCTGCCTCAGCCTCCCACGTAGCGCCTGTCACCACGCCCACCTAATTTTTTTGTATTTTTTAGTAGAGACGGGGTTTCACCATGTTAGCCAGGATGATCTCGGTATCCTGACCTTGTGATCCGCCCACCTCGGCCTCCCAAAGTGCTGGGATTACAGATGTGAGCCACCGCGCCCAGCCTATGTTTTAATTGTACTATTTAAGAAATTTTGTCTACTCCAAGGAAACCTAGACTTTTCTTTCTATATTTTCTTTTTCTTAACTTTTATTTGAAGTTTGGGGTACAAGTGCAGGTTTGTTACATAGGTAATTTGTGTCATGGGAGTTTGTTGCAGATTATTTTACATCCTAGGTATTAAGCCTAATAGCCATTAGTTATTTTTCCTGATCCTCTTCCTCCTCCCACCATTTAGCTTCTGAAAGGCCCCAGTGTGTGTTGTTCCCCTCTACGTGTCCAGGTGTTCTAATCATTTTGCTCCCACTTCTAAGTAAGAGCATGAGATACTTGGTTTTCAGTTCCTGTGTTAGTTTGCTAAGGATAATGGCCTCTAGCTCCATCCATGTCCCTGCATAGGACACGATCTCGTTCTTTTATGACTGCGTAGTATTCCATGGTGTATATGTATGACATTTTCTTTATCCAATCTATCACTAATGGGCATTTAAGTTGATTCCATGTTTTTTCTATTATGAATAATGCTTCAATGAACATACATGTTCATGTGTCTTTATAATAGAGTGATTTATACTCCTTTGGGTGTATACCCAGTAATGGGATTGCTCTGTCACATGATATTTCTGTCTTTAAGTCTTTGAGGAACTACCACAACATCTTCCACAATGGCTGAACTAATTTAAACTCCCACCAACACTGTATAAGTGTTCCCTTTTCTCTGTAACCTCTATAGCATCTGTTGTTTTTTGACTTTTTAATAATAGCCATTCTGACTGGTGTGAGATGGTATCTCACTGAGGTTTTGATTTGCATTTCTCTAATGATCAGTAATGTTTAGTTTTATTTCATAAATTGTTGACTGCATGCATGTCTTCTTTTGAGATGTGTCTGCTCATGTTCTTTGCCCACTTTTTAATGTTTTTTTTTTCTTGTAAATTCATTTTTCTTGTAAAGTTCCTTATAGATAGATGCTGGATATTAGACATTTGTCAGATGCATAGTTTGCAAAAATTTTCTCCCATTTTGTAGGTTGGCTACTACTCTGTTGTTAGTTTCTTTTGCTGTGCAGAAGCTCCTTAGTTTAATTAGATACCATTTGTCAATGTTTGCTTTTGTTGCAATTGCTTTTGACATTTTCATCATGAAATCTTTGCCCGTGCCTATGTCCTGAGTGGTATTTCCTAGGTTGTCTTCCAGGGTTTTTATAGTTTTGGGTTTTACATTTAAGTCTTTAATCCATCTTGAGTTAATTTTTGTATATGGTGTAAAGAAGGGGTCCAGTTTCAGTCTTCTGCATATGGCTAGCCAGTTTTCCCAGCACTATTAATTGAATAGGGGATCCTTTCCACCTTGCTTGTTTTTGTCAAGTTTGTCAAATATTAGATATTTGTGGATGTGCAGTCTTATTTCTGGGTCCTCTATTCTGTTCTATTTGTCTGTGTGTCTGTTTTTGTACCAGTGCCATGTTGTTTAGTTACTGTAGCCTTGTAGTGTAGTTTGAAGTCAGGTAGCATGATGCCTCCAGCTTTGTTCTCTTTACTTAGATTGCTTTAATTATTCAGGCTCTCTTTTGGTTACATATAAATTTTAAAATAGTTTTCTCTGCTTCTGTGAAGAATGTCAGTGGTAGTTTAATAAAAATAGCATTGAATCTATAAATTGCTTTGGGCAGCATGGCCATCTTAACGATATTAATTCTTCCTATCCATGAGCATCGAACGTTTTTCCATTTGTTTGTATCATCTCTGATTTATTTGAGCATTTTTAGTTCTCCTTGTAGAGATATTTCAGCTCTTTAGTGAGCTGTATCCCTAGATATTTTATTCTTCTTATGACAGTTGTGAATGGGAGTTTGTTACTGACTTGGCTCTTGACTTGACTGTTGTTGGTGTATAGGAATGTTAGTGATTTCTGCACGTGGATTTTGTATCCTGAGACTTTGCTGAAGTTGTTTATAAGCTTAAGAAGCTTTTGGGCTGAGACTATGGGGTTTTCCAAATATAAGAACATGTCATCTGCAAACAGGGATGGTTGACTTTCCCACTTCCTATTTGGATGCCCTTTATTTCTTTCTCTTGCCTGAGGGCCCTGGTCAGAACTTCCAATAAAGTGTTGAATAGGAGTGGCAAAGAGGGCATCCTTGTCTTCTGCCAGTTTTTGAGGGGAATGCTTCTAGGTTTTACCCATTTAATATGATACTGGCTGTGGGTTTCTCATAAATGGCTCTTATTATTTTCAGGTATGTTTCTTCAATACCTAGTTTATTGAGAGTTTTTAAGAAGAAGAGATGTTGAATTTCATCGGAGGCCTTTTCTGCACCTATTGAGATAATCGTGTGTTTTTTGTCTTTAGTCCTGTTTATGTGATGAATCACATTTATCGTTTTGCGTATGTCGAATCAACCTTGCATCCCAGGAATGCAGCCTACTTGATTGTGGAAAAGCTTTCTGATGTGCTGTTGGATTCGGTTTACAAGTATTTTGCTAAGAATTTTTGCATCAGTGTTCATCAAAGATATTGGCCTGAAGTTTTCTTTTTTGTTGTATCTCTGCTAGGTCTTTAAAAAAAGCCTGTCTTTAGTTTTCTGATATGGTTTTGCTCTGTGTCCCCACTCAAATCTCACCTTGAATTTTTATAATCCCCATGTGTCAAGGGCAGGACCAGGTAGAGATAATTGAATCATGGGTCAGTTATCGCCATGCAGTTCTCATGATAGTGAGTGACTTCTCACAAGATCTGATGGTTTCATAAGAGGCTTTCCCCATCACTCAGCAATCATTCTATATCCTGCCACACTGTGAAAAGGTGTCTTCTGCCACAGTTTTAAGTTTCCTGAGGCCTCTCCAGTCATGTGAAACTATGAGTCAATTAAACCTCTTTTCTTTATAAATTACCTAGTCTCAGGTATCTCTTCATAACAGTGTTAGAACAAATATAGTATATTGGTACCACAGAGATTGGGGTGCTGCTATAAAGATACCCAAAGATATGGAAGCAACTTTGGAACTGGGTAACAGGCAGATATTGGAACAGTTTGGAGGGCTCAGAAGAAGACAGAAAAATGTGGGAAAGTTTGGAACTTTCTAGAGACTTTTTGAATGGCTATGACCAAAATGCAGATAGTGATATAGACAGTGAAGTCCAGGCTGTGGTTGTCTCAGATGGAGATGAGAAACTGACTGGGAACTGGCGTAAGGGTCACTCTTGCTATGCTTTAGCAAAGAGACTGGCAGTTTTTTGCCTCTGCCCTAGAGATCTGTGGAACTCTGAACTTGAAAGAGATGTTTTAAAGTATCTGGCAGAAGAAATTTCTAAGCAGCAAAGCATACACGAGGTGACAGAGTATAAAAGTTTGGAAAATGTGCAGCCTCACCATGAGATAGAAAATAAAGACCCATTTTCTGTGGATCAATTCAAGCCAGCTACAGAAATTCACATAAGTAACAAGGATCCAAGTGTTTTTCACCAAGACAATGGGGAAAATGTCTTCAAGGTATGTCAGAGACCTTCACAGCAGCCCCCTTCACCCATCACAGGTCCTGAGACCTACGAGGGAAAAATGGTTTTGTGGGCCAGGCCCAGGGGCCTTCTGCTCTATGCAGCCTCAGGACATGGTGGCCTATGTCCAGCTTCTTCAGCTCTAGCTGTAGCTAAAAGGGACCAAGGTACAGGTTGGGCCATTGCTTCAGAGGGTGCAAGCCCCAAGTGTTGGTGGCTTATACATGGTGTTGGGCCTGTAGGTGCACAGAATTCAAGAATTCAGTTGTGGGAACCTCCACCTAGATGTCAGATGATGTATGGAAACACCTGGATGTCCAGGCAGAAGTTTGTTGCAGGTGTGGAGCCCTCATGGAGAGCCTCTGCTTAGGGCAGTGAGGGAGGGAAATGGAGCCCCCACACAGTCTCCACTGGGGCACTGCCTAGTGGATCTGTGAGAAGAGGGTCATTATTCTCCAGATCCCAGAATAGTAGATCCACCAACAGCTTGCACTGTGCACCTGGAAAAGCCACAGACACTCAATGATAGCCAGTGAAAGCAGCCAGGAGGAAGGCAGTACCCTTCAAAGCCACAGAAGCAGAGATGCACACAACATGGAAGCCCCAACTCTTGCATCAGCGTTTCCTTGATGTGAGACATGGAGTCAAAGGAGATCATTTTGTAACCTTAAGGTTTAATGACTGCCCTATTGGATTCGGGACTTGCTTGAGTCATGTAGCTCCTTTGTTTTGGCCAATTTTTCCCATTTGGAATGGGCGTGTTTACCCAATACTGGTATCCCCATTGTATCTAGGATGTAATTAACTTACTTTCGATTTTACAGGCTCATAAGTGGAAGAGACTTGCCTTGTCTCAGATGAGACTTTGGACTTGGACTTTTGGGTTAATACTAGAATGAGTTAAGAATTTGGGGGACTGTAGGAAGGGCATGATTGTGTTTTGAAACGTGAGGACATGAGATTTGAGAGAGGCCAGTGGTGGAATGATATGGTTTGGCTCAATGTCCCCACCCACATCTCACCTTGAATCCTCATATTTCAAGGGCGGTACAGGGTGGAGATAATTGAATCACAGGGGCAGTTTTCCTCATGCTATTCTTGTGATAGCAGGTGAGTTCTCATGAGAGCTGATGGTTATATAACGGGCTTACCCTTTCATTTGGCACTCATTCTCTCTCCTGTTGCCCTCTGAAGAGGTGCCTTTCACCATGACTGTGTATTTCCGGAGGTCTCCCCAGTCTTGCAGAACTGTGAGTCAATTCAACTTCTTTTCTTTATAAATTACCCAGTCTTGTGTATTTCTTAATAACAGTGTGATAATGGACTAATACATTTTCCACTTAAGTTTATGGCCTATATTTAGTTAATTTGTCTATGTTGTGAGAGGTAAGAATTTAAATTTAGTTTTTCCCTTATGGATATTTTGTTTTTAAGATTTCCTTTTCCCTGTTGAATTGTCTTGGCATCTTTTTTAAAAAATCAGTTGATAATATATGTGTGGATCTTCTTCTGAACTCTCTACACTCTTTTATTGACCTATGTGGCTCTTTTTTTCTCACAGTACACCATTTTACTTATGTTCTTCATTTTTTTAAAAAATGCTTAAGTAATTCTAAATTCTATGGAATTTTATGATCACGTTTTCAATTTCTACCAAAAACACTGCTGAATATTTTATTGGGTTTGCAATGAACCTTTGGATCAATTAGGGGAGAATTGTTATCTTAAAAACACTGGGCCTTCCAATTTATGACCACAGTATATGTGTCTACATATTTATTATTTGATTCCTTTCACCAGTGTTTCATAGATTTTGGAAAGAAATAAAGGCCTACACATATTTTTTAAGATTACCAGCAGGTATTTCAAAAATGTTGGTGCTACTGTAAATAGTACTATATAGGCAGTCCCCAAGATTATTCCCAGGTTCAGTGATTGACGAGGAGGACTCTCAGGACACAGCATATAGTTGTATCCAGGACTATGATTTATTACAGAAAAAAATGTATAAAGCAAAAGGAGGCAAGGGAAAAGGCACATGGGAGAAAACCAGGCACAAGCTTCCAAGAGTCCTTTCCTGGGGGAATTACAAAGAATATGCTTAATTCCTCCAACAATAAATTGCAACAACCATGGATAAAATATTGTGTATCAGGGAAGCTCATTAGATATCAAATACACAGGGTTTTTATTGGGAGCTGATCATGTAAGCACCTTCTGCCTGGAATGTACCAATTCTAGACTCCCAGAAAGAACGCAAATATTCAATATGAAACATATTGTTTTCAGAAGCAATTTTGGCCTTGTGAATAATGCTTCTCAGGAAATGATGGGAACCCTCCTGGAATCCAATTTCTCAAAATTTAGACAAGAGCTAACATTGCAAATAGGTCTTTCTAAGGATAAGAGTCTCACATCTGCTGTGTTAACTCTTTTTTGCACAAGTGGTTTTAAAAAATTTTCATGTTTCAATTGCTTTTAACTAGTATTTACTAATACTGTGACTTTTACATAATATTGACTTGGCATCCTGCAACCAAGTATGGCTCACTTATTAGTTCTAATAGGTAATGTTTATAGATTCTTTGGAATTTTCTATGTCATATGTAGACTATGAGAATCATATTTCTTTTATTCAAATTTGCACATCATTTTATGATGCTATCTGGATAAGGCCCAGTATTTTCACCATTAGTATAGTGTTAATTGTAAAGTCGTTGTCAATGTGCTTTATCAGGTTGAGGAAGTTTCTTTCTATACCCAGTTTGCCAAGAATTTTAACCCATAATGAAAGTTAGATTTTGTCAAATAGATTTTCTATTGAGATGATTATATATATTTTTTCTTCTTTGATCGGTTGATATGGTGAAATACCTTGATTAATTTTTGAATATTGAGCCAATCTTGCTTTCTCAAGATAACCCTATTTGGTCATAATATGTTATTTTTTAATATATTTCTAGATTAGATTTTCTAATATTTTGTTATGGATTTTGGCATCTATATTTATGAGGTTTATTGGCATGTAGTTAATCAGGACCAGAACAACAATTAATCTAGGACTAATTATTCCCCACTATAACGTAAGAACTTTCTGGGTATCATCTTCACTGTTCGGTGAATAATGAGGCTTTCTAGTCTAGGTAGTGGGAAGAAGGATTATTCTCAACACTTTCTGTGAGCACCAAGCACTAGTCTCTCTAACCTTTGTCAATGGTTCTTACCCTAGCCTTTGGTATTTTTCTCATGTATGCACTAATTAGTACTCTCTTGTGCTCTTAAGATAGATCCTCTGCAGATCTTTGGAGTTTTCTTTCTGCAAGTTTCTCCTCGAATATTCTCTTCAGCAAACTCTAGCACTCTTTGGTCTTCTGCAATCTCAGTTCCATATTCCCACTGGGCTCTCCTTGGCTTACTCCTTCTTGTACCCCTCCAAGAAACGCTATCAGAGTGCTCACCTCACTTGCTTCCAGTCTTTCAGGGATTATTGTTCAATACCTCATTTTCAGTATCTTAAAAACCATTGTTTCACAATATTTTATGTTATTTTTCTTTGTTGTTTCAGGCAGGAGGGTACATCTTGTCCCTGTTTCTACATCTGGGTCTGAAGCAGAAGACCCAATCTAGTTCTTAATGTTTATTGTAAGTGGATTCTAAATCATGTTCTTCTCACTTAATTTAATTTCTACAATATTCAAATAAAAATATCAAAAGTAGAACTAAAATACAGATATTACATACCTCTCATCTGGTTTCATTTTATGATTTAGTGGTAACCAGCCTTTCACTTTCCTAGTATCAGCACAAATATTGAGCTTATTATTCTCCCATTGCCAGTTTGGATTAAGTTTTAGGAAACTCTTTAGTTATATAACAGATATCTCATCAAGTGAGCTGAACTATATTTTTGCTGAAGGCATCAGTTTATCTTTCCTATCACTCACTAGGATGTGATGATCTTTGTGAAATACTTAAAACAAATTAGAGAAAGTTATTATCTACACTTCTAAGTCCTGTATTGCTATTCATACATTTCATTCAATATGAATATTTTTAGGATAAATATATTTATATTATTAATAAAAGGTATTTTCTCTAGAGTTCTTAATAAAATAAAACCTAAAGACATCATGTATACGTTAAGTAAAGCAAAAAAAGCCAAGCCATAAGTTCAATTTAGCAGAAATAGTAATATTCCCAGGAGACACTTTTTAAAATAATAACAAAATATAGGAAAACTCAAAGATTACATGTGGGCAAATAAACAAATAAATAAAAGAGACTTTTTGTATGTGCTGACAAAAATAGAATGTTAATTATAAAATAAAACTGTATAAAAATGGTTCCAAATAGTTTTTAGACCAATTCAGTAGCCCTGCCCAAACCCATGTTTTACTATCATAATTGTCTTTCATTCACCATTTAAAAATAATATCATTTACTTCCAGTTGTGCTACTCATGTATCAATTCATATTTGTATTTCTAAGCAGAAATATGAATATCAAGACTTTCATTTCTAATCATATGAAAGACTAAATAACATAATATTTCTCCCTCAGAAAACAATTTAAAATGCTGGATAAAATATTCTTCTTGCTTTGGATAGGCACCTCTGGCCCATAATAATAAATAGGGTTTCTAAATGAGATCATGTGATTACTTCACATGAAAGAGGTTATTTAAATTACTAAAACTTTCCATTTTATAACCCAGAGAGTTACATTGCCTACATGACATTCTCCAGGGACCCATTCTCTATAGTTTCTGAATCTAATTAATCTTTTAGCCAAGGATATGTTGCTAAAGGCATTCCAGAGATCACGTCTCTATCCCTGAGAATATATCATTAGACCATTTATTTAAATATCTGATTGGCAAGATTAGCTAGATCATTTTCTTTCTTCCCATTTCCCAGTAGCATCCCCTCAATTCTCATAAAGAGTATGAATGAATCATAAACTAGCTGTTAATTTTTTAAATTGTATTTATTTATTTTTTATTTTCTGAGACAGTCTCACTCTGTCACCCAGGCTGAAGTGCAGCGGCATGTTCTTGGCCCACTGCCACCTCTGTCTCCCAGGTTCAAGCGACTCTCATGCCTCAGCCTCCTGGGTAGCTGGGATTACAGGCGTGTACCACCATGCTTGGCTAATTTTTTTTTCTTTTAATTTTTAGTAGAGATAGGTTTCACCATATTGACTAGGCTGGTCTTGAACTCCTAGCCTCAAGGGATCCACCTGCCTCGGCTTTCCAATAAGCTAGCTGTTTAACTACTTCCTAAAATATATCAACTCTGTAGGAACATATATCAGATATAATGCAAAGTGGGTATGGTAGAGCATTTTAAAGTTTGCTTATATTCATAATTTTAATGAATAAATAGACCCAAACCTGTTTCTATCTAATGAACCCTCAGAAAAGGCTGATAGGGTCAGTCAAGTAAATGTTACCTCTACTTCTCTATGGCTCTGCACATTGTATCCTCACTGGGCCTTGTGTCTTTCTGAAAATTGTGTCCTCAGTGTTCCACAAATGTACAAAAAGCTTTCTCAAATTCTCAGAACATTATAAAATATGTAAATCCTTCTACTAGTTATTTGTGTATGCAACAAGATCAACACACCATAAATGCTTTCTTTCATACAACTCACAAATGAATATCATTTTTTAATCTTAGATCTCAGTTGAGTTCCCTGCCCCTCTCCTGAGAGGCGTATTTTCCAGTATCTGATTCTCATCTCATGTACGATTGCTAAATATTGTTCAGACAATTTTCATATTCTCTGAAGTCTGTTTTCCATGACACAATTCAATATATATTAATTAAGAAATTAGGTACATTGTACAGAAGAGAGGTGGAAATGCTTTCTAGGAATGGAGGAAGAATCAAGATAAAAATGAACAAAAAAATCTAGGTTTATGAGGATTCACAGTTTCTAATTATAATCTAGAGATCAGGAAAGGCTTTGCGAAAAAGCAAAATGTAAGTACACTTTGTAGAATAAATAGGATTTTAATGGAAAGAGGAATCAAAATTCCAGGCAGATTTAAATGTGTCTCTGAATGTATAAATCAGTAAGCACAGGATGTAATCTTGGAACAATAAATAGTATGGGGGGTTGTGGTGGGAAATAAAGTGGTAAAGTGATAAGATAGTGGAGAATCATAAATGTCAGTCTAAGGAGTTTTGGCTTTATTTTGAAGTTATGTATATTTACCAAACTATCCTGAATAAGATGAGCCTTCAACAGTTAAACGTTAGAATTCTCATTTAAGGAAAACAAATCAAAATAACATTTGTTGAGTGCCAATCAATGTCCCTGGCACTTACATTTATTCTAACACATTTAATCCTGGCCCTAATTCTATGCTGGAAGTGTGATATATAATTTACTTTCTTAGAAAAAGCACTCATAAAAGGTTTATCACTTACTCCAAGTCACATAAGCAGTAAGTGGATAAAATTAAAGTTGCAACCTATAGAGCCATGAAAACTTTAAGGAGGCTTTAGCAGCAATTCAGGTGAGAGATAAGAGGAGTCATAACCAGGGGAATTGTGGGAAATTTAAGGAGGTGATAGCTTTCAAGATATTCCAGGATTTTCATTAATGATGCTTAGAGGATGAGGAACAGTTAGAAGGCACTAAAATGTCTCTTATGTCTTTATTATTGTTGTCCCAAGTAATGCAGTAGAAATCCTGGCTTGTCCTGAAAAGTGAGCTTTGCCAAACCCCACTGCTGTTGACCAAGCTCTTTACCCACTTTGGACATATCTGGAGTAGTTGTTGTAAGGATAGGAAAATATTCATAGTTTGGAGTACTGTGTGCCTAACAGGTGACACTGAATAAGGCAAACAATTACCATTATGAAAGGGCTGCTTAGTTGTTCATCCGTTCTCTAATCATCAAACCTAGAGGAAGAAAACATTACAGTAATGTAACCACAACCTAGTTGCCCACCCATATTCACTCCATGACAACTATTTCTCAAAACTGTAGAAGATACATTATGCATTTTTCTAGTTTTTAATTACTGAACTTGCGGTGTGGATAGTTTGCAAAAGAAAATAGATTTATTATGTAGGGATAGGACAGGTGACCTGATCCCCTTTCCCCCTTTAGGTTTTAAACTATAAAAATTATACAAAGCAAACTGATGATCAAATGAAAATCATGGGATATGTTAGTGATGGGACAATGAGGTGACCATAAATCTAAAATTAAGGTCTAATAAAGTCAGATCTTGGAAAGTGGATGGGATCGGAGGCTAAAATGGGAGTCTCCTACTCCCTGCCTAAATAAACATTTGTTCATGAGGTATCACCTCACACCTGTAAGAATAGCTTTTAGCAAAAGGACAAAGGATAACAAATGTTGGTAGGGATGTGGAAAAAAGGGAATCCTTGCACAAAGTTGGTAGAAATGTAAATTAAGCCAGGTGTGATGGCTTATACCTGTAATCCCAAAAATTTGGGAGGCTGAAGCAGGCAAATCACTTGAGGCCAGGAGTTTGACTCCAGCTTGGGCAACATGGCAAAACCCCGTTTCTACTAAAAATTCAAAAATTAACCACATAGTTGGAGCTCACTTGTAGTCCCTGCTATTGGGGAGTCTAAGGCATGAGAATTGCTTGAACCCAGGAGGTGGAGGTTGCAGTGACCTGAGATTGCATCACCACACTCCAGCCTGGGCAACAGAGTGAGACACTGTCTCAAAAAAAAAAAAAAAAAAAAAAGAGAAAAAAAGAATTTTAAATTACTATAGACATTATGGAAAATAGTAGATGTTTCTCAAAAAATTAAAAATAAGAAACTCCCATATGATTATAGATTCAGCAGTCCTACTACAAGGTATATATGTAAATACAATAAAATCAGTATGTCAAGGAGGTATCTGCACCCCCATGTTCACTGTAGCATCAATTCACAATAGCCAAAATATAGAATAAACCAATGTGTCCACGAACAATTGAATGGATAAAGAAAATGCAGTATAGGTACACAATGGAATACTACTCAGCCTTAAAAGAGGAAGAGCCTATCATTTGTAACAACATGGATGAAACTGGAGGATATTATGCTATGTGAAATAAGCAAGGCACAGAAAGACAGGTAGGTAATTTTACTTATATGCAGAATATAAAAAAATTCAACTTATAGAAGTAGATAGTAAAATGGTGGTTAAGAGGAGTTTGGGGAGGGTGGGGTGGAGATGGGTGGATGTTGACCACACAGTACAAAGTTTCAGTTAGACAGGAGAAATAAGTTCTGGAGCTCTAATGTACAGCCTGGTGACTATAGTTAATAATGTATTATACACTCAAAAATAGCATAGATAGTAGGCTAAATGTTCTCAGCGAAAAAAAAAATGAGAGGTACGTGATGTGATGGATATGCGAATTAACTTGATTTAATCATTCCATAATGTATGCATATATCCACATCACTTCATACTCCATTAATATGTACAATTTTCATTTGTCAACTAAAAATAGATTTTTTTTGAGAGAGGGCCTCCTCTGTTACCCAGGCTTACTGCAGCCTCAACTTCCTGGGCTCAAGTGATCCTCCCACCTCAGCCTCCTGAGTAGCTGGGACCATAGTTGTGCACCATCACATCTAGCTAATTTTTAAAATTTTTTTGTAGAGACAGAGTCTTACTTTGTTGCCCAGGCTGGTCTTGAACTCCTGGCCTCAAGTAAATCTCCTGTCTCAGCCTCCTAAAGTGCTTGGATTACAGGTGTTAGCACTAAAAATAGATATTTTTTTTAAATCTACATTTGTGCACACACATGTGTTAATAGTTGGGTGCACAGCACAGATCTTGATTTACCAAGCTCATTCTATCATATATTGATTTGCTAGAAAGGAGAGAGAAACAAAGAGAGAAAGAGAGACAGAAGAAATTGTCGGTTTCCCTTCTCACTTATGAGACTTTGCTCATGTGATCCTCCTGCAAGGAAGAAGGAGACAGAATAGAGCCAGCTATGTTTGACCACAGGCAAGTTAAGTGAAAAACACAGCATGGTATGAACAAGTAATACTTTGCTGTGATCCATACACTCATATATCCCTTAGAAACCTAGGTCTCTTAATGTTATAGATATTATAGTTAACACCAGGCAACTTATCTTGGCTTAAGTAATAAGGAGTTTTAGGTGCTCATGCAACTATGAAGACTAGCAGTCAGGTGGATTTAGTGTTGATATTATTCCATAGGTCTATGTTGTCACTAAGAATATAGCTTATTTTCTTACTTCCACTCAGCTTTTCATGGGTTCAGTTATTCAATAGCCATCTTCTTTTGTGGTTCCAAGATGGCCACCAACAGTTTTGGAAACTGCTTGATTTCTCATCCATATGCAGAGAGAATTGAAGGAAGAGAGAGATGGCAGAGAAAAATCAAGATGGAGATGAAGAGGGCACATAACTGCACATAGGTCACACAGTGATTCTACTCTTGGAGAACAGTGTCATACCAATTACTAAATTAATTCTTTTTTTATATATATATATAAAGTTGTATTTTCGTTCTGTTGTAAATGTTTAGTAATTTCTATTGTGATTTTTCATTTAACTCATGAAAGGATATTCTTAATTTTCCAAATGTGTGCTTGTGTTTAGCTATCTTCTTGCTGTTGACTTCTAATTTTTTTTTTATTATACTTTAAGTTTTAGGATACATGTGCACATTGTGCAGGTTAGTTACATATGTATACATGTGCCATGCTGGTGCGCTGCACCCACTAACTCGTCATCTAGCATTAGGTATATCTCCCAATGCTATCCCTCCCCCCTCCCCCCACCCCACCACAGTCCCCAGAGTGTGATATTCCCCTTCCTGTGTCCATGTGATCTCATTGTTCAGTTCCCACCTATGAGTGAGAATATGCGGTGTTTGGTTTTTTGATCTTGCGATAGTTTACTGAGAATGATGATTTCCAATTTCATCCATGTCCCTACAAAGGACATGAACTCATCATTTTTTATGGCTGCATAGTATTCCATGGTGTATATGTGCCACATTTTCTTAATCTAGTCTATCATTGTTGGACATTTGGGTTGGTTCCAAGTCTTTGCTATTGTGAATAATGCCACAATAAACATACGTGTGCATGTGTCTTTATAGCAGCATGATTTATAGTCATTTGGGTATATACCCAGTAATGGGATGGCTGGGTCAAATGGTAATTCTAGTTCTAGATCCCTGAGGAATCGCCACACTGACTTCCACAATGGTTGAACTAGTTTACAGTCCCACCAACAGTGTAAAACTGTTCCTATTTCTCCACATCCTCTCCAGCACCTGTTGTTTCCTGACTTTTTAATGATTGCCATTCTAACTGGTGTGAGATGGTATCTCATTGTGGTTTTGATTTGCATTTCTCTGATGGCCAGTGATGATGAGCATTTTTTCATGTGTTTTTTGGCTGCATAAATGTCTTCTTTTGAGAAGTGTCTGTTCATGTCCTTCGCCCACTTTTTGATGGGGTTGTTTGTTTTTTTCTTGTAAATTTGTTTGAGTTCACTGTAGATTCTGGATATTAGCCCTTTGTCAGATGAGTAGTTTGCGAAAATTTTCTCCCATTTTGTAGGTTGCCTGTTCACTCTGATGGTAGTTTCTTTTGCTGTGCAGAAGCTCTTTAGTTTAATTAGATCCCATTTGTCAATTTTGTCTTTTGTTGCCATTTTTGATTAGGAGAAAGCCATTGCTTAGATGTTATTACCAGGTTCAATCTTGACCCCAAACCTGAAAAAGAGTGTAAAAAATATGCTGATTTGTTTAAGCCAGAAATGTTCCAACCTCGGAACTGGGTGATCTCTCCCATCTGAACATCAAGACTGGAAAATGCAGGGTTTTCTGAAAGGAGGAAGTGGAATGGGTGCCAGGAATATTAACTAGAGTGTGCACTGCAGCTAATTAACTTGGATTCGTGATGACTCACTTCTCTTGTGAGGGGAACCGAGAGACCCAAAATGTCCTCTCAAACATTCTCCACTTGTAGAGAGGAAAATGGAAACTCTAAGGGGCCATGAGATTTCCTTCCCTATCCAATAACTAATTATATTTTGTCTTAAGATGTAAACAAATATGATGTGCTACATTTTTATGTAGGAAAATAGTTTTGTAGCAGTTATATAGTAATGGTAGATAGCAGTAAGCATGCGTTATCTTTAGATTGAAAGTTAAAGAATAAAAATTTAAAAATTAAGAAATGCATAGCTATATGCACTACATTGGCCAAGGACCATAGGTAATTTTTTATTATTCAAAGTAATGTCAGTTTGTTAATCTTTGAAGCAATTCTACATGTCTTCATTAAATTTTCATTGCAACCTATGTAACATTTATGTTTCATAAATGTCAGAAAAAGGTCTTGCTTCAATTTGTGCTTGAACTTTCTACAGCCAACAATTTTCTCTACCAACACCTACTAGAAAATAACTTCACCCCTAAATATAACAAGCTTTTCCCTTTGGTTTGTATTTTGTTTTATGACCCAATTAACTTTAAATTAAGTAGGCTTTATGATGAAAGAACACCATCAAATTGGCATATAAATAATGTTATAAATAGACTCCCAAAGGATGAACAATGAAATCTGTTACTGCAACCCATTTTAAAAAACCAGCTCTTACGAGCTTGATATAAATGGTTTTCTTACCAGTTGGAGACTGCATTCTATTTGCAACAGTCCAAAGTGTGATGGACAATTAATTTTACTTTTTCCTCAAAAACAGGAATTTTTCATGACGCGTCGTGAATATGTACCAAGTCTAACTCAGACCTTTGGGGACTGTGGTATGAGCAATCTCATGAGTCTTCAGTTTTATTTATACTGTATACTTTACATCAAGAGCAACTATACTTATAGCACTTACTTTGGAAGAAATGTCTCTACCTTTAGAAAGAAAACTTTTCAGTACATAATTTTCTAAGTAAAATTTACATATATGTACTTAACGATCTATAATTTTTTTTTGAGACAAAGTCTCTTTCTGACACCCAAGCTGGAGTGCAGTGGCACAATCTTGGTTCACTGAAACCTCTGCCTCCTGGGGCTCAAGCAATTCTCATGTGTCAGCCTCCTGAGTAGCTAGGAATAAAGGTGTGCAACACCACACCCAGCTAATTTTTGTACTTTTTTAGTAGAGAGAGGGTTCCGTCATGCTGGCCAGGCTGGCCTCTAAGTCCTGGCCTCAAGTGATCCGCCTGCCTCCACCTACCAAAGTGCTAGGATTACAGCCATGAGCCACCATGCCCGGCCTAAACTTTTTATTTTACAATAATTTTAGATTTACAGAAAAAAATGTTAAGATAAAGCAGAGAGTTCTTATATAGCTTACACCAAGCTTGTCCAACCCGTGACCCATGGGCCTCATGCGGCCCAGGACAGCTTTGAATGCAGCCCAAGACAAATTTATAAACTTTCTTAAAACTTTGAAGGTTTTTTGTGATTTTTTTTTCTTTCTTTCTTTCTTTTTTTTTTTTTTAGCTCATCAGCTATCAGTTTTTTAGCTCATCAGTTTTAGTGTAATTTATGTGTGGCCCAAGGCAATTCTTCTTCCAGTGTGGCCCAGGGAAGCCAAAAGACTAGACACCCCTGGCCTACACCATTTCTCCAATTATTAATATCTTACTTTACTATGGTACATTTGTCACAATTAATGAACCAATATTGATACATTAGTATGAATGTGAGTCTATAGTTTACTTAGTTTATACCTAATATCCTTTATCTCTTTCTGGATCTCATCCCAAATACCACACACATTACATCTAGTAATTGTGACCCCTTAGGCTCCTCTAGGCTCCAACAGTTTCCTTAGCCTTTCCTTGTCGTTGATGGTCTTAATAATTTCGAGGCACAGTGTATTTTGTAGGCTGTCTCTATATTGGAATTTGTCTGATAATTTCCTCATGACTAGAACAAGGTTATAGATTTGCAGAGGAAGGCCATAAAGTTATACATGACATTTTTATCATATTAAATTAAGGGTACATATTCTCTATATAAGTTTTGACTTCATATTGACCTCAATCACATGGCTGAAATAGTGTTTGTCATGTTTTTGCATTGGTAGAGTTATTCTTTTATTTCTCTTTTCATCTTGTACTCTTTGGGAGGAAGTCACTATGCATGTAAAATGAAAGTTTTATTTCTGCTTTTCCAACTTACATATATATATTTTTTAAAAAAAGAAAATTGGCCTTATTTTACCAGCTATAATCTCAAAGAAACAGAAGTAGTAAGTGTGGGCAACTTGTGTTGTTCAGAACCTCAGGTAGAAAGTTTTTAATATTTCATCCTTAAGTGTCATGCTTTCTTTTTTAGACATACTTTCTTATTTGTATTTATTACTTATTACTATAATTTATAATTTATTATGTTGATATACTTTATTATTCATTATTATATATTTATTTAGTTATTTTTGATATACTTTATTCGTTATATATTTATTATTTATTATTTTTATATACTTTATTAAATTAAGCAGCTTCCTGATGGTGTCAGGAAGTTTTAAATTATAAATAGATATTTAATTGTTACAAAATTTTTATTCTATGTCTATGGATATATTCATATTAATTTTTTAATTTATTCTATATATGTGATAAATTACATTAATTTTTCAATTATGAAAACCATTCAATTTTTAACATAATTTTAATTCAGCTTAATATATAAACTTTTTGAATTTTATTTTCTAAAAATTCAATTACTAGTTTACTTAGAATTATCCTCTATGTTCATCAGAATAATTGGCCTAAAATTTTCGTTTGAAAATAAGTTGGGGCAATCTTATAAAGCAAGGTCAGTAGTATTTCCTCCTTTTTTAATTCTTTGGACAAGTTTGTAATATAATTTTATATATTCCATAAATATTTGGAAGACTTACTACTACAACCATCATCCATCCTAGAGATATTACTAGGTGACAGTTTTCAATGATGAATTCTATTTATTTAATAGTTAAAAAAATTACTTTTTTTTCTTTGTGAATCAATTTAAGTAAGTTTTGCACTTCTTGGGATTTGCCCATTTTATCTAAATTGTCAAATTTATAGCATAAGATAACATACTATATGTTTTTATGTCTTTTAAATTTATGGTGATGTCTCCTTTATCATTTGCAATTTGGTATTAGTTGGTCAATTTCTTTCTTTTTTATCAGGTGTTCAAGGAGTTTATCAATTTTTATTAGCCACGAATATGAGCCAATATTTAGTTTAGTTGATTTTCTTTATTTTACACATATTTTCTGTTTCAAAGATTTATGCTCTTACATTTTTCCCTCCTTGTACTTTCTTCATTTTAATTTTAAAAAATAACTTTTTCAGATACACATAGATTCTTGTCCTTTCTTCTTTCCTAACACATGCATTCATGGCTATGAAGTGCTCCCAAGCATTGCTTTTGTTGCCTTTTTTTTCATTTTGACATATAATATTTTATTACCACTCGCTTTAAAATATTCTAAAAATCCATTGCAATTTATCTTTTGGCCTATAGCTTATATAAAAATATGCTGATTTCAAAATATTTTGGAATGTTTACTAGAGATGGGGAGCAGAAAAATAAAGCTCTATGTCTCAGGGACACAGATAAGAGAAGAAACCATCCTGGGACATACCACTAGTTTTCCTTCAACTGAAGGAAGGACAGAATCTCTAAGAAAGCCTCATTCCTGAGTCCCAGAGACCCAATGCCTGCTTAAGACGGAGGCTTAAACAGAACAACAGAATACACGTCACGACTACCACTAGGCTTACAGGTGTTGTGTAACAGTAACACTTGTCTACTCATGGGACAACAGAAAGAGCATGTGGAGACTTTTTCTGAGGCCCAGGTGCAATGAGAAGACCTAAAGCTAAGGGTGGAACTCAGATGGAGAAAAATCATCTGACGAATGAGCCCCGTTATCAACACAAGATAAAAGTGGATACAGTTGAACCGTGTGATAAACTGAGGGTAACAAAAGCAGCAACAAAATCAAAATGTAGATGAATTTTTGCTTAGATTGAATCAACTCCCACCTAAAGACCTAGCAAAAGTTGAGGAATGCCCAATTACATGTAGTAAATGGGTTGAAATGTATTAATGTAAATTATGCAATGATTTAACAAAATAAAGGTGGAAATAAGGACAATTTCAGCTAGATAGCAACTGAAAAAATTATCATTACATCTACAACACAAGTTAAAAAGTTTAAGATGAAAAGAATATAACAGCAGATAGAAAACTGAATATGGAGATAGATCAAAGAACATCAGAAAGGAGAGAGGAAACCTAAAAGGAGAAAGGGAATGCTATCTGTTGAGAAGAAAGTAATCACTCCCCAGGACCTCTGACAAGTGGAGGGGTTTGCAGGGAGACAAGAACATAGCCCTTAGATTTTATTTGCTTGGCACCGGGAATCTGTGCTTTTTATATTCGATGAGCCACTTAGTATGTTTCTTCCATTTTCCATAAGGGTCCTGCTTTAAATTATGCTTAAAAAGATATTAACTAGAGCTCGTCAAAAAATGTGCACAGAGACTGAACTCATTTTAGAGCCACGGGTTCATTTTCTGCTTTACCCTAATGCTTTATTATCTATTCCTGCTGAGAACCACAACGTCATGAAGTTTTTGTACTAATTGTTTTCTTCTTTAGGCTTGCAAAAAATAAGTCATTACCTAAGCGAATCTAAAATATCCTTCTTATGAATAGATCCATGCCAGAGTTTTCCTTTTGGTCCCTTTTCTTTTTTTTTTTTTTTTTTTTTTTTGAGATGGAGTCTCACTCTGTCACCCAGGCTGGAGTGCAGTGGCGTGATCTCGGCTCACTGCAACCTCTGCATCCTGGGTTCAAGCAATTCTCTGCCTCAGCCTCATGAATAGCTGGGATTACAGGCGCCCACCACCATGCCTAGCTAATTTTTTTTTTTTTTTGTATTTTTAGTAGAAAAGGGTTTCACCATCTTGTTCAGGCTGGTCTTGAACTCCTGGCCTCGTGATCTACCTGCTTCAGCCTCCCAAAGTGCTGGGATTACAGGCATGAGCCACCGCGCCCAGCCTGTTCCCTTCTCTTAAACACAGTTTTACTCAATGTTATCTGTGTCTATGATACCCAAACTGTACCTGCTTTCCTTAGACAGTTTTTAGTACATTTCAACTTTCTTGGCTCTGTTGAGCTTAACTCACTGAGTTTGTCCTTTTTGTGTCAAAAGTTCCTGATCAATTATTAGGTGAAAATTGTAAATGACTCTAAATTAGTTTGAAATTACTCATTTTGACATGAAACCCTGAAAGTAATATGTAAACCTTATCTTTATAATCACTATTATCCATAAGTGAATATATACAAATTCTTTCAGAGCACGTATGAGCCCTGCTGTGTTAAGTGCACTAACATCATCCTTTTAAAAATCGGATGTCTCTATTTTTGCTAATATATAATCTTATTCCTTAAAATCTGAAACCCAGTTAGTTTAAGATCTTTTTCCCCTGCAGTTCTTCCCTCTTCAGATCTTCAAACAACTTGTTTACTTTAAAATTTATTTACTAGAAATCACTACAAAAACAAACACAAAAAAGAACTTCTAGAAGATAACTAACCCTATGTTTTGGTAACTGTTGGTGAGCATGCATGAGTTAGAAGAATTTTATTATTTATTTGTTAAATATTAACGGACATTTTGTTTTCTATATTGATTTGGAGAGTGAAATAAGATAGACACTTGCATGCAGGGTCAGGTCTAACACTTTATTGTACTCTTTTTGAATAACAGATTTAAAAATACACTCATGTTGTAGATTTAAAAGTGAGATGGTAGGAATCTATTTTTTTTTCAAGAAAGTTTTTACAAAAAGATAGCTTAACCTGAAAAACCCCATTTTCCACCTCATTTGGGAAGAAGGGTAGAGCGCAATAATATTTCTCCAACCTATGCTGAACGCACAGCTGAAGTCACTTTGATTTGTTAATAAAATATTCTGTAGCTTTCAAGTAACAAGAGCTCTTTCCTGACCCCAGAATTTTTTACATTTTCCTATTATGTAGATTGACTGTTTTGATAGACCAAAGTGACTGATGATGGCTGGGTCTCACAGGGTGGGAACGAATTTGATTGTCTGTGAATTGGGAGAGAAATGAATACTCAGAGCAATTGTCAGTTACGTTTTTGGCATCACATTAGCTCCAAATCCAATAAAGCTTTGAAGCCTCTAATAATTTTCAAATGGTCATTGAATGACAGTTTTAACTAAATTGAAGTGGTAGAAAGACAAAAATGAAGTGATAGGAAAATAAAAGGTCTTGGATATTATTTCTGATCCTCATCACTTTTATTGTCTAGCTCTGCACCATAATGTAATGAAACATTTCCATACACAGAAAGGGTTTTCCTACAAATGTACTGGAGATATTTCCCACAATGTCTTCTCCAAAGGACTTAAATATAGTAGAGATAATATGTTAATAATAGATAGTAGAGTTAACAGTTTCTGAAACATACCTATGCATGCATGTATACTCATGCATTGATAAAAGTATAGATTGCCTACTTTTTAAAAATCTTTTAATAAGAGAGATTTAAAATATTAGGAAGCATTCAGTCATAAAATATGACATGGTATGGGAGAGAGTAACAAGAAAAATTACTATCCAGACTCTCCCAGGAATGAGAACTTGGCTAGTCACCAAAATGTCACGACAAAGTCACATCAGTTTTCTTGGTCCTTTCTAACTCTGATCACTTTTGTGTTTACTGAACAAATTTCAGCTTATAATTTGTCTTCAAACATAAATTGGTACACAAAGTATTCTCAGACCACTAAACATGAAAGATCTGGTCCGTTCGGTAACTACAATTCTTACTAGAAATTTATCCCTTAGTATCTTAATTTAGACAATAGTCTGGTGTATTTGGAATCCATTGAAGAATTCTCCTTGAGCACATGGACACAACTGAATTTCTGGACATGAAAAGTAACAATCATGTCTTAGATTGTTGTGATTCCAACAAGTTACTCCAACTCTATAAGGCCGTGCCTAAGCAAACATTTGGCATCCTTTGATTTTTGTCAGGATATTATCACAAAATTCTTATTTCAAAATTCTCTGAAAATCTACACATAAATTAAGGTCACTCTAGCCTCTTAAAACATGTCTTTCGAAAATATTTCCCCATATTCTCACATACATTCCCCAAAAATTGATTTTAAAGCATTATAATGTATATGTGTGAGGATCTACATTTTATCAATTTTATGAATAACTAAGACAGTACGAGTATACATGAATGCCTATGTATGTTTCAGAAGGTGAAACACAAGAAAGAGAGAGACAGAGAAACTATGATTTGAGAAACCTTGAATATCTATGCCTCCAACTGTCGTACATACCCACCACAACAGTACCAAGTAGGACAGACAGAAAAACAAGATATATGGGCTCAAAGGAACACTGATATATAGTAAACAAAAATACAAATCAAATAAAATAACTCCTTCTTATCAACAAAAGAAGAGGCAGGGGGGAGTGAGCCATCGAGTCAGGTAGTTCCATCAAGAGGTGAGAGAGTACAGTGTAGCAGAGTGGTTAAGAGCACAGGCTTAAGACTGAGATTGTCTAACTTGCACCCCAGCTCCAACCTTGGAAGACTTATCAAAGCTCTTTTTGACTCAGCTTCTGATCTCTGTGATAGGGATGACAATAGTGCTTCCATGATGTTGTGGAGATAAAAGGAGTTTGTATAGTGAGAGCTCCTGGCAAGTAGTAAACATTTAATTACAGTTAGTTCTTATTATGGCGATAGCACATCCTAGGAGTTTGCAACTCTTAAAGGCACCAGGTTACAAATGACAGATTTAGGTTATTATGAAAGCTGCTGCTTTCCTGGAAAAATTTGGAGTCATCTTTGTTTAAAACAAATAAACAAAAACCATAATAGTTAATAGTAATTCTCTACCTCAAGATCCTATATGAAAGCATGGAAATCTACATATAATTGCTTATATGACTAGGAGATTCTTAATAAGAAGCTCCCTTTCCCCACCAAACTGTGAATGTCACCAGTAAAAAACACTATATTTCCCTTACTTAAAGGCTCTGTATGTATCTGATAGAACATACATTAACTTAGGTTTTCATGTTTTTTGTGCTTGTCAATAAAATAAAATAGTAGTATTCTAAGGTCTTTCCTTACAGTAAACTTTAGATATAGAAATGTTGTCATAGCAGATATTATTTCTTTGATATTTGTGACATTTTATTGTAGATTACAAGATTCTCCCAATACATGGAACAGTAGACATATTAATGCAGTCCAATTTCTTTCCACAAGCAATCTATCATCCAAAGCAAAATAAATGACTTTCAATGGGAGATTTAATCATAAACCAAAGAGAAATGGAAGCTTTAAGGATAAGATTTAAAGAAAAAAAAAAAGGACTCCATAGCTGGAGAGGAGAATAGGATATACAAAAGCGTATCCTGCCCAATTTTGTGACCCTAGATTTTCCGCATAGAGAGGTAGTGACCAAGGAATTGATCACTATTTGCTACTCACCATCTTTACCTTGTTAAATTCAAATTATTTGCAGCATAATCCCCCATGCTTCCCTGGAAGCTGATGTATCCATGGCGGGGACAGAGTAGCATTTTTTGAATATCAATAGGCCAAATACTAACTCTTTATGAATGAAAGAAGGAACGATCCATGGAGCATGAAGGGAAATAAAGAGATGAGAAATCCTAAGATATTCCACCGTCAATTATACCAGAAACATCCAGATAAAAAGTCAAGTGCATCAGGGGTCCCCAACCACTGGGCCATGGGCTGGTACGGTCCATGGCCTGTTAAGAACCAATGCACAGCAGGAAGTGAGTGGCAGGTGAGCAAGCATTAGTGCCTGAGCTCCGCCTCCTGTCAGTTCAGTGGCAGCATGAGATTCTCATGGGAGTGCAAACCCTATTGTGAACTGTGCATGTGAGGGATCTAGGTTGCATGCTCCTTATGAGAATCTAATGATAAATGTAATGTTCTTGAATCATCCCCAACCCCTCCCCCACTGCCAACACACACACACACACACACACACACACACACACACACATATCTGCAGAAAAAATGTCTTCCATGAAACCAGTCCCTGGTGCCAAAAACGTTGGAGACAGCCGAAGTACATATTTACCCAAGCATGGCTACGTTTTCACCTCTTCTGCCCCTGGAAGAGCCATGACAATGCCAGGAACTTACAATTTCTTTTAATATTCCTATTAACTTCTTTTCTGAGGATTTCCTATGTTAGGTTACAATTTTTTTAAAAAAAAGGACTGAAGAACTTAAAGCTCTTTACACATAACCCATAAAATTCTGATAATCATGTCTGTGTACTTTCTTATATGGTGTGTAACTGCTCATTTTAATAAGAACTTTTCTGACAAACATTTAAATGTTGTATTTGCAGCATAATCATGGGGTTTTAATCTCTATCATCCCTATACCCTGCTTTCCCACACTGGTATTATTAACACCAGTCCAACACATGCCAGCAAAGAAGAAAACAATCCCATTATAGGAGTCACCTCCCAAGAGTATCCTAGTTGCTGACTCCTGGCCAGACTCTCTTCCATAAAGCAATTGATTGTCAAATATTTATTATTTGGTTTCAAAGTCTCCCCTTCGCCAAAGTATAAACTTTTTTTTTAACACAAAAGGCCTGTATTTTTTTTCTAAAGAACCTTTAGAATCTTGATTGTCTATTAAATTATTTTTCTGTTTTGAAAGGCTGTTGCTAAAGCTGCAACCCCATATCAAAAGGCGAAAGGCCACTTAAAACTTCTACTTTGCCGGTTAAGTTAATGAACGGAAAGAGAAACCTGCCCCTTATGAAACATGGTTAAAATCTGATATAATTAGTTTTTCCTAAAGACCTATGAATTTTAACAAGCTACTGAGTTTCACCTTAGGTCTTCCTTTTCTTTAACCATAAAAAGTTTCTTCTATCTTTTTCTTAGCCGATTTACTGGTATTGAACTAAATAATGTATGTTTCAAGCACTATGTGTAAATTAATAGGGAAAATTCCCAGGTTAAACTGGTTGCATGTGTTGTTTTAAGAGAAATTTATATTGTAAATAATAATTTTTATTAGAAAAAAATGGCATAGAACCAGTTAGCATAACTTCTGAATAGGGAGCAATGTATTCCCCAAGAATATGCTATTTAGCGATAATAATGGCAATAAATTACCATTTGCTAGAGTATATATTACATTGTATCTTTTATCTCACACATATTTGTATATTTCAAGCCCCTAAACTTGCATAATATAGAAAAACTGACATTCAAAGCAATGTTTATGAATAGTTTTTCTGTTTCATAGCTTCCAGGTAAGAGCTTCCATCAGCTGCAGAAAAGTCTTTGTCAACAGAATCCACTTGATCAAAAAGCTTTTGTCAGTTATTAAAAGAGGAAAAATCCACAAATTTGTGACTGCATGTTATTTCTTCCATTTTCTGTTTGCAGCTTATACACTTTTTATGCTTTCAAATTGTAAGAATAGTTTAACATTGTAAATACATTTTTGGCACATCATTGAGGGAGCATTGGGTACATTTGCATTTTTTCTGTTCTTTAGAGGTTCATTGATGATTTTCATCACTCCCGATTCAACTAAAAAAAGTGTAGCCTTACCTTTGCCTCTACAGTTGTTTATCATTTCTAGAAATTTTGATTTCTCAGTAGAGTTAAATAACTGTCTTCTAGTTCTTTTCACCATATGCAAAAATGCTATTGCATTTAGGTAACAATCAGTTTGCTTAAGAAGATCCCAAGACATTTACAAAATGGAAATAAATTCCCTTTTCTGTGGGTGAACTTAAAATAGTAGTGTGATATGGGAGAAAGATCTGAAAGCTTTTTATGGCTACTTTTCTATAAAGTAACTGGAATAAAATAAGGTGCTATGTAAGGAAAGTAAAAATAATCACTTAAGAAAAAAAATTCCTCAATTTTTTCTTTACAAAACTAGCATGTTCTTTCTATTTTGATTGTGACAGCATTGTGGTAAAATTTGATGACTTTGATACAACGTTTTCCACGTGACTTTAAAACAAATCCTGATAAACTCATTTGCAATTTATTTCAATGGTGCATTCAAACATCTCATTTTCTAATCATTATCATGTAGTACAATTATTAGAGAGAACCTAACATCAGAAGAGTAAACTGTCTTCTGTAGGGTTTCCATGACTACTGTGTGATTGAATCTGCTCTAGGTAAAAACTGGCCTGTTTCACAAGTCTTCAATATTTCCCCATAACTTGAACAATTCAATCCAAGCTGCTGAACATGGATCATGACACCACGATCTGTTCTGCATGTTCGGTCTATGCACTAGTCATATCTCTATCCTCTGGCATGTCTAAGCTATTTTGGTTCTCAAAACTCACTGTATGCATCACCTCATATCATTTTCACACATGGTTCCTCTGCCAAGTAAGCTCTTGGCGAATTGTACCTATCACTGTTATTATTTTAATTTAAAGTTTTTTCCTAGCAAAGCAACACATATTTTTTTATTTTTTAAAAAGTGAAATTATATAGAAAACAAAAGATTCCCCTTTTCCTACCTTCCACACACCCTCAACTCTTGATTCTTGGAGTAGGGCCAGCTACATAACTGGTAGGAACCTTAGCAAAATGAAAATATGGGCCTCTTTTTCTAAAAGAAGGAAAAAAAGGCTGTTAAGGGTACTCAAATAGAAGCTGTTGTTCTTTCTTCTGTGCTCTCTCAACTTCTGGTATTTTATTTTGGTTATTCAATGGCATTTTATAGAAAGAAAAATTAAAAATGTAAATTGCTAGCATGAACTTCACCATTCATCTTCGCATATTATGCAACGGCAGTATTAAATGCATGTACACAGTCACTTACATTGTCCCAATGTAATTACATAATACTTTTGTTAAACTAATAATGTTCCATATTAGGACTTTAAATCTTACTTGCTGCTGAGCAAGGTAGTATGTTACAATTACATAATAATTTCTTGTATAACTATCTGGTTTCATTGGAATTAATAACTACCTTACTTACATGCCTTTTTCTCCTAATTTAACTCCAGAATCTTCGATACAATTTTTTCTTGACTTGGAAGGTAATTATCAGTAAATTTTAAAAAACCGGAGCCTGCATTTGTAGCTCTCTAGATTTGTACACATTCTCTACGACTTTCTACTAACATTTTCTTGGAATTCTCTTTTTTCCTCCTGTGTTGAATCCTCTGTTTGCTGATCCATTTTTTCCTTTTATCAGATTATAGTACAGTAAATGCACCAGTGAGTTCCTGAAAACAATATGGGAAGTAATGTTCTGAGATCTTGTACTCTGAAAATATCTTTTTTCCCAAAATTGATAGGTAGTTTTGGTAAAGAACTTAAGATTAGAAATCATTTTCTGTGTGAACATTGAGGACAACAATCCATTGCCTGCTAACATCAGATGCTACAGTTAGAAATACAATGCGTTTCTTAATACCAGCTGTTGTAATAATTATTTTCTCTCTGAGGACTTTCAGGATGATAGCGCTTTTTTTTTTTTTTTTTGGTCTTTTGGAATTTTAAAGATGTCTTTCGACTATTTTCCTGCCTTCATTGTTTTTGACAATAAATCTGCTGCCATCATTATATTTGTTTCTTTGTACATAGCTTGTCTTTTACCATAGCTGTTTTTAAAATCTTTTCTGTATTACTGGTATTGAGAATTTTGATTATGATGTGACTCAGTCTAGTTTCCCTTTCTTCCCCCATGTTTCTAGAGCTTAGGATTATTGAGTTTTGTGGATCTGTGGTTTTTGACTTTTCACCAAATATAGAAAATTTACAGCCATTATTCTCCAAATATTTTCTCTTCTCCCCTACTCCTTTCATAAATTCCAATTACATATATCTTAGGCCACTTGAAGTTGTCTTATATCTCACCGATGCTGTGTTAATTTTTAAATTTTTTTCTCTATGCTTATTTTGGATAGGTTCTATTGCTATATTACTAGGTTTGTTGATCTTTCTTCTGCAATGTGTAATCTGTTGTTAATCTCATTGAATGTATTTTTTATATCAGCATTTTCAGTTTTTACTTTTATGAGTTTTTTTGCCTGTCTCTCCTTAACTTTTCAAATATGTAGAATACAGTTTTAGTAGGTATTGTGTGTGTGTGTGTGTGTGTGTGTGTGTGTGTGTGTGTGTGTGTGTGTGTATGTTTTGTTGTTTCTTTTCTTTTCTTTTTTCTTTTCTTTTTGAGTTTGGGTCTCACTCTGTCATCCAGGCTGGAGTCCCATGGCACAAACATAGCTTACTGCAGCCTTGAACTCCTGGGCTGAAGCAATCCTCCTGTCTCTGTTTCCCAATTAGCTGAGACTACAGGCTTGCACTACTATGCCTGACTATTAAAGAAAAATGTATAGATAGAGTTCTGCTATGTTGTCCAGGCTGGTCTCCAACTCCTGGCTTTAAGCAATCCTCCCACCTCAGCCTCCAAATTAGCTGGGATTACAGGTGAAAGCCAACACATCTGGCTAAAATTGTTGTTTTAATGTTCTTGTCTGCTAATTCTAATATCTTATGTCAGTTCTGGGTCAGTTTTGATTGATTTTCTCCACCCTATTGGTCCTTTTCCCTAATTTTTATGCCTTTCGTCGGTTGCATCACCGTGGGAATTTTACCTCGCTTAAATGCTGGATACGTTTGTAATGATATAAATATTCTTAGTCTTTTTTTCTGAGATATGGCTTAATTACTTAGAAACAATTTAATCATTTTTCTTCTTATTTTTAGGGTTTGTTAAGTGAGTTTGGAGCAAAGCTCAATCCAGGGCTAATTACTGCTCATTACTAAGTCAAGATATTTCTACATACATTATTCAGTTTGCCACAAATCTTGAGGTTTTTCAGCCTGGGTGGTGAAAACAGGCATTATTCCCAGTCACATGTGATCTTTGGACATGTCACATCTAATGCTTTCAAGGGATGTTTTCTGGGCTTCAGATCGTTTCCTTGCACGTATGCACTAACCAGTACGCAGCTGATCGTGTGAGGGTGACACTCTGTGGATTCCCAGCATTCCCTCTCTTTTTCAGTCCTCTGCCCTCAAACTCTATCTGGATTGTTTCCCCAAGATCCTCAGTGCCTTTTGTCCAGTCAGGTAGTTTGCTGGGAGCTCTACCTGAGTTCCTTCTCCTGTGCCAGAGCCTAGAAACCCCTCATGACAATAGCTGGGCTTATTATAGGGTTCATCTCATTTGTTTCTCAATTTGGGGATTGTTGTCCTTTGTTGCCTGACATATATTGTCTTGCCATGCATTATTGCATATATTTTGCTCATCGTTTGATGGTTTGAAGCAGGAGGGTAAATCTGTTCCTTGTTACTTAATCTTTACCAGAATCAGGAGTCCCACATATCAGCTCTCATATTCTTCATTCTAGAGAATTTATTTAGTTGTTTGGGCATTTTCTATACTTTCTCTCTCTTTTCATTTTCATGGAATCAATGTCTTATTTCTCTGAGAATTAGTTTTCCTCTATTGCATATCTTGCTTCTATTTCTTCCAAGTTGCTTATATTCCTCTTTATTTCTCTGGGTATTTCTCTTTGATTTGGATGGTAATTTTTTGTATTTTTAGCAGAGACGGGGTTTCACCGTTTTTGCCAGGATGGTCTCAATCTCCTGACCTCGTGATCCACCCACCTCGGCCTCCCAAAGTGCTGGGATTACAGGCATGAGCCACTGCTCCCAGTCCATGTGAACCATTTTTTAATGGCTTCCTCCTCTAATAGCTTAGTCTTAGCTTTAGTTGGTAAGCAAAGTTAGTTAATACTTATCAGTTTACTTTTAACATATGGCCAAGTCATATGTTGAAACTCAACTGTCAGTCGTTTAATTTTTTCCCTCAAGGGTTAATGCTTTTCTTAGTCTATTTGTACTACTAAAATAAAACACTCTAAAATGAGTAGCTCATAGCAGGAGAAATGTATTTCTCACTATTCTGGATGCTGGGAAACCTAAGATCAATGTGCTTGTAAGTTCGGTGTCTGTTGAGAGCTTGTTCTCTGCTTCACGGATGGAACCCTCTAAATATGTCCTCAGAGGGTGAAAGGAGCAAGGCAGCTCTCTGGGGCCTCTTTTGTAAGGGTACTAATCCCATTCACGAGGACTCTGCTCTCATGACCTAATCAGCTCCCAAGGGCCCTACCTCCTAAGACCATCACCTTGGGGATTAAGTTTTAACATATGAATTTTGTGGGGACATAAACAAATCATACAGATGCTTTTTTAATGCTATATTGAAATCTATGTGAAGTCTTGTGGAGCAGCAGAGCTAACTACTTGTAATTCATTGAAAATAATTATCTGGAAGTAATGCCCAGTTTTCAGCTCTCACTTTTGATATCCTGTAATCAAGAGCATCTACTCTATTGGAAATTATCCAATTCTATGTTCTTTAATGAGTATATGAGAAACTACATTTCCTAGCCTCTGTACATTTCTCATCAGTAAAATGTGATATGTACAATGTGTGGCACATCTAGGCTCAGGTAGTAAAATAACCCTGAGTAATTCTCCAACTTCTATCGTCTCATGCTTGGGAGACCAGCAGATGGCCCAGCATCTCTCAGACTAGAAGTCTGAATGACATGTGGAACAAAGCCCTTCTAAAAACCTACAAGGCCCTTGGATGAGTGAGAAATGTAAGGTTACTTGCTAAGCTGTAAGAGTTGGAGGTTATTTTATATGCAGCTTAAGTCTAGTTTATGTTGACTCATGAAACTGTGCCCTATAGGGTTAAGAAAATTTGGTAATGAGCAAAATTTCTTAAGCTTGTCTTAGAAGACAGCAAGAATAAAATTCCTTTTATTTTCAACAAAACTAGCTGACAGGCTGAGTCTGGTTGGAACCAACATGACTGACTGGAGTCTACACTCAATGAGTGACCTTTTGACATCATAGAGCCAAAATCTCTTCCTCCAGATCAAGCTAATGCTGCCATTTTCTGAACATCTGACATATGAAGAAGCATGTAAGGGTAATAGCTCATGCCCAAGGATTTTTCCAAATTCCCTTTTCTTTCAGCCAACCACTGTCCAGCCCTGAAACCTACCCTCAAATATCTCCCTTAAATCCATGGTGGCAAGGATCCTATGGGGAGACAAGTTTGAGCCTGACTCCTGCCTTCTTGTTCAGCTGCCTGGTCATAAGGCTTTCTCTCTGCAAAAAGCAGTGCTTCAGTGTTCAGCTTTCCATTGCATGTGGAAAAATGAACCCAATTTAGTTTGATGACACTAACACTCTGACTCGCAGAAAAAGGGTGAGTTCCCATAGCACATTTACTTTCCTTTCTCTTTCTTTTTCTTTATCACTTTACATTGGTAACTGTCTATTTCCGTATGTGTTTTCTCCACTAAAGGCTTTTTGGAGGCAGGGGTAATGCCATGTATCCAAAGTTATTCAGCATATATTGGCTGAAGACATGAACGGCAGGGTTTAACTCTTTCAGTGTAACATGCTGAGTGTAATTGATGCTTATAATCATAACCACATGTGTTGAGATAATGGAGGCACATTAGCAGTAAAAATAACATATAATAATAACATTTCAGTTTTATAGAATATTTGGGAAAGATCTCTCTTTTTTTTTCTTTGGCTTCTTCTAATTCATCTATATGGGTAAGATTTATTGTGCACCTAGTAATGTGTCCCGGCCCTAAGAATAAGGGAGCATATTTGAATTGAATACCAGGACTGATAACCTTATCTGAGATTTAGGAAAAATGGCAAAATAGACTTCATTAAAAAAGAATATATGGCCATATCTGTTCAACACTTGCTGGAAAGATTATAAATGCTACTTTCTGTATTGGATAGATTATGTCCAAATACTAATGTATTTGTCTATGAGTTAGTTGTCTAAAAGCATTACATAGGGGTAAATGTCTAAACATATTAGTTCCAAAACTGTATATGGTAGAGTTCTTAGAAAAAGAACTTTCTTCTACCCCTTTTTTATGTTCTCACTCATGGAAATTAACTTTTACTCCAATAAAATATGCATTTGTTCCTCAAGAAGCATTTATCATTATGGTCTGACTGGTAAATTTTGAAAACTATGTTTTGTTCAATTGTTTTGATTTACCTTCAATATATGAACCCAGAAGAGCCTTAATTAAGCTATATATCATAATTTATTATATTTCTCTTACACATTAATATATAGTAAGTACATGCTATGTGCAGATCACTTTTCTAAGTGCAGGGGAAACAAAAAGGGAAAAATAAAGTAAAAATATTCTATCTCATGAAGCTTGCAATTCTAGAATATGAAGATTAAACTGTGGCAAGTGCTATGGATAAAAAGAAATCTGAAGAAGAAACAACAGAGTACCAGAGGATAACAATGATGATGCTGAAGACAAGGACAATGATGATGTTAATGATGTTTTCCATAATTTGATACTCTGAAGTCTTGGAATATGAATGAATATCTAATAGACTTTGTAGAGTATTGAACATAGATTCATCAGAAGGAGCTGCAGTCTATTTTCCTGAGACTGCTTATCTGCTGTCTTTTTTGATGTCTGTTTTTAAAAATCACGATAAATAATAGGTGAAGTACAATGACTCCTGGGTGGTTCCTATGAAATATACAATCTAAATAATGTGTTTTAAAAGCATTGGCTTTAAAAAGGAATATATATATATATGTATGTATGTGTATATATATATGTATATATACACACATTTATAGTGTATGAATATACATACATACCTACATACATAAATACGTACATACATGCACATTCATTGTATGAGTTATTTGGAATCTAAGTAATTAAAATGGTTAAAATGAGTTGGCGTTAAATCCAGAAACTGAATTCACATTTTTAAATTTCAGCTAGATATCAAGTACAACTTACACACTACTGAGAAGATACTGTCTGAATACTGCACATGCTATTTACTGTTATGAAGTAAATATTTTTCAAGTTATATAAGTTTTTAGCAGTGTCTGCTTTTTTAAAACTTTAAGTGATCAAAATCTGGAAGAATAAATTCAGAGATATTTCCTTTCAATTATTATATTTCTGCATGATTTGGTAACATGTCTTTTTGGAACACAAGTTTTGACCTTAGGAGATCTGATATTTGTTTTTAACCTGCTGATTTCTTGACTGATCTTACCCAAGTCACATAACCTCCTGCTTGAGTTTCCTCATCTGAAAAACAGAGATAAGAATAGTCTCTTGCTGTTACCAATAGGATCAAAATGTGAGTGGCTTTAAAGCCTTGGTATAGGGAAGAATCAAACAACAGTAATACCATCGGAAGACATAGTAACTCTAACCTGAACAGGCACATGGGTTACTTGCCCTCTACTGCCAAAGCAATTTTGTCCCACAAGTCACAGCTGTTACTTAAAGCTTGACTTTTTCAAAGGTCAAAGTCATCTGTTATGTTCTGCTGCGATCCCACTCTTATTCATTCTCTGGAATTTTAAGCTCAGTAATAGAATCAGGTAGGTAGAGGAGAATACAGCTGCATTATTAGTAACAAAGTTGGCTGTGCATTCTATCTTCCCCAGGTCCTTCTCTGTCCCACCACCATTCTTCGTCCAGCATCTATACACTCAAATATACAGCACCTCTATACCCAAATGGGCAATTAACTATGAGATCATTTGACATGTGTCAACTTATGTGCTCAGTCTGCGATATATGTGCTCAGTCTGATTGACATATATGTTCCTTTTACTTAGAGAGCTTAGAGTCAAAGTGGGGAGACAATAGTAATGTGTGAAACAGCAAAAAGTTGCCCAGGAATAAATTCTAAGACTCTAAACTGGGTGACAACTGATGTAGGCATTATCAAGTATATCTTGTTATTAGGTACCAGGACAAAATATATTGTTAACCATCCTACTCAATCCCTTTGAGTTAGTACTACTCATATTATTCTGTACAATTACCCTGTTCTCCATTGCCACTTCTTCTTATGTCTATAAATACACTTAAGATCTTCTCAACTTTCTAATTTTTACATTAAATTAAAATAATTTTAAAATATACCTTCAGCTATTATCATTTTTTTCTTTTCACAAGTTTCTAAAATGAAAATTCTAGATAACAACAGACTTGACAGCTTTCTTTTATTACAAATATTTTAACACCCAAATTTCTATTTAAAATAAAACGCACAGACAATAACCTTTGTATAATATATATGTACTTTAGAAATCAACACAAAGCCATACATGTAAGAAAAATAAAAAAACAAAGTACTTTATAAAAAAATAATATACATTTTAGTTTGAAAATGGTTATACATGACTATTCATAGAAGATACAATGAAATAATATGATGCTTACACCTGTACATAGAATATTTATTAATGGAACCACTACAAATATAGACTGATACAAATGTGTTGCACTGAAGTCTTAAACATTAACATTGCTATTAGGGTTGTGTTTTTTCTGAAATGGTGAACACTTCTTGGCAAACAGAGTAATATGTTCTGTTGGTTTACATGATGGTTGCCTTCCTGGAAAATATATATATATTGAAACTGTACAAAACCATTTTTTATTTATATATTACATGGAGTAAGGTGTTAAACAAACAAAACTCAAAAGTTTTCTTTTTTTGATTTGGTTTTCTTTTTTAACTTTGTGAATATCCAACAGATATTTCAGAAGCTGGTCCTAATGTAGAAAAATCATTCGTCATATGGTACTATCCTGCAAATTACTAAATGTCTAGCTTCCCTGACTCACCTCTCTACTGAGTGTCAGAAGTACCTTCCCATGACTGGGAAACCATTCATGCATTCATATGCATCCAAAGTGTTATCTAGAGAGCAATAATTTCCCACTGGGAATAAATTTTATAAAATGCACCATTTATATGCTTCCCTTTTTATTTATTTCTTAACCCAATGAATCTGGTTCTAGTCTTCACCATTCTTGTGTACTATTCTGTGATATAAGCCATATTCACTTAACTATTCATTGTTTTATTGCTAGAAATATGAGTTGCTTTCAGATGCTATAAATTACTGCTACAAATATTTTCATGGAAATTTTTTCATTCATCTCAGGAATCTCAGGATTAAAGGATACGAAATTTCTAGGTTATAGAAAGGTGTGTAATTTTAATAAAAATTTCCAGATATTTCCAGAGCAGTTGTATTTCACTTCCATAGCAAAATATGAGAGCTGCTTCACATACCCATCGTCATCTAATGTTTTCCATTTTTTACCTTTAGGCAGTCTAATAAATATGTAGCTGTATCTAATTGTAGTTTTAATTTGCATTTTTCTAAATACCAATGATTTAAAGAATGTTTTGATATATTTATTGATCACTTGTATATCTTCTTATTTGAAACTTCTATTCAAGTCTTTGCCCGTTTTTAATTGGATTGTGTGTCTTACTCCTCTTGTATTCTAAGAGTTCCTGTTTATATATTCTGTACACAAGTCTGATGGATACATGTACAGCAAATATTTTTCCCAGGCTGTGACTCACCTTTTAACTCCCTTGTTTTTACTATATATAATTAAAGTGTACACCATTCTGTTATGGTATACATTTACATAGTGAAATGATTACTACATTTAAGCAAATTAACCTATTCATCACCTTGCATAGTTAATTTTGTGTGTGTGGTAAGAGCATAAAAAATCCACTCACTTGGCTGGGTGCAGTGGCTCATGCCTATAATCCCAGCACTTTGGGAGGCCGAGGTGTGTAGATCACTTGAGGTCAGGAGTTCAAGACCAGCCTGTCCAACATGGCCAAACCCAGTCTACTGAAAATACAAAAATTAGCCGGGCATGGTGGTGCATGCCTGTAATCCCAGCTACTCCAGGGGCTGAGGAATGTGAATCGCTTGAACCCGTGAGGTGGAGGTTGCAGTGAGCTGAGATTGCACCACTGCACTCCAGTCTGGGCAACAGGACAAGGCTGTCTCAAAAAAATAAAAATAAAATCGACTCACTTAGTATATTTTCAGTATACAATTATTTTCAGCTATAGTTTTCATGCTGTACATTATGTCTCTAGACTTATTCATCCTACAGAAATGCAAGTTTGTATTAAGCAACATATTTCTCTCCATTTCCCCCACTTTCTGCCCTTGGTAAGCACTTTGTTCTTCTAGTCCCAGTACAATAGTACGCTTGCCATGATCACAGATGGCCTCCATCTGGCCATACCTAATATATATTTTTTGGTCCTTTTTCTAATCTTAGCAGCAAAGACTTTTTGACACTTTTGTCTATGCCTCTCCTCTTGGCACATGGTTGTTTTTCTATTTTGTTCCTTCATACTTCGTTAATTTCTTACAATTTTTTGTGGGCATCTAGAGCACATGCAATAGATTTCAAGATGGTTCCAATTCATCCCTTTCCCCTGAATTCACAGTCTTTGCTGTATAACTGTGTTGTGCTTTCTGATGTGCACAGGCTGAGTTGCACTGTCTTTTGACTCTGTATTCAGCCGTGTGACTTACTTTGTCCAGTGGAATGTTAATGAGATGATACAAGTGGAAAGTAGAAATTGGTTTGTACATTGGGATTTGCTCTCTTGTGCTTGCACTACTGTCAAAGTTTCACACCTTGGCTACTCCATGGGTCCCAGAGAAAGAATGAGGAACATATGAGCAGAACCATTTCACAAATGTATATGAGCAAGCCCAGTCAAGTTTAACCAAACCCAGACTAAATAACCTGAGGCCTACAGTCATATGAGAAATTAATATTATTTTTATATAAACCCAAGTTTTATGCTGGTTTATTATGCATCAATAGCCAACATCAGTGGTAGTTTTGTTGGAAAATATTATTAACCAGGGATTTAATTAATAAACGAATAAATGAAATTGCATATAATATAATTATATTGGATTAAATTGAATTAAATATAGTAGCATGATAACAGAATAGGCACAACCAGGTTCTGCAGTCTGGATCAGAGCCACAAACTCAAATGCCTACAAGACTAGGGAGAGAATATAAATAACCGAAGTTTCTAGTATTAGAAAAGTGAGCTGCTAAAAAAAAAAAAAAACCTAATAGACGCAAGAAATATCATCTTCACTTTTTCTGAAATATAATGTATTAATATGACAAAAGGTATTTTTGGAACTTTTATCTTAAATTCAAAATAGAAAAAATATGTAGTTAATTATTCACTTTTATAGTTTATTTTCAGTTGGAATGGGAGACCTAACAACTTTTATTTTATACCAAGATGTCATTGTATTTCCCAATTATTTGCATGGCAAGGCTTAAGTATATATCCTTGAATTTTTTTCTAGTATAATTCACAATGGAAAATAGCTGTTTGCAAATACAGATGTTATCCATCTGTGTGCATGTGTGTTTAAGGTAACTATTCTAGACATACGTGTAAAAATGTACTATAAATGCTGGCCTACTTGGTTTTAAGACTCCATTACATTGCATATTAATAACATCAGTTTCTAGTTCTTTTTTTTTGTATCAATCTGTTCTCAAGCTGCTAATGAAGACACATCCGAGACTGGGTAATTTATAAAGGAAAGAGGTTTAAGTGACTCACAGTTCAGCATGGCTGGGGAGGCCTCAGAAAACTTGCAATCATGGTGGAAGGGGAAGCAAACGTGTCCTTCGTCACATGGTGGCAGCAAGGAGAACTGCCAAACAAAAGAGGGAAAAGCCCCTTGTAAAAACCATCAGATCTCACGAGAACTCACTATCATGAAAACAGCATCAGGGTAGCTACCCCCATGATTAAATTATCTCCCACTGGGTCACTTCCACGACATGTGGGGATTATGAGAACTACAATTCAAGATGAGATTTGGATGGGCACACAGCCAAACCATATTACGTATTTATTCAATCAACTACCAATATTGATGATAAAAGGCTAACTAAACAATGTAAATTAATTTTCACTAAGTCAGAAATAAGAAAATCTTCACTGGATTTTTGTCTTGAGGTTCACACTATTGGAATATAGTTGGTCCATTTGCTGAAAACTGATTTCAGCAAAACAAAATTATTTCTATTACATTTTACTCAATGAATTTCTCAAAGATACAATTTCACCAGGAATTTTTGACGCCAATAATACTTGTGTAACGGATTGTTGATAACCGGCTAAAATTTATTAAAAAGAAGATTGGTTGTATTTATTAAAAAGTCTAAATATTTGAGGAAATGTTTAATAAAAAGATGGAGTTTCCTCTTGGAGACATAAGAAAGTCAATTTTTTAATTGGGTCAAGACCAAGTTACCTGAACTTCAGAATGAGAACGGCAATAGAGAAGGAGCTTAATGCAGGTAAAGCCAGGTAAACATGAGGCCAGAGTTTCATTATTACTCAAATCAGCCTGCTCGAAAATTTAGAGCCTAGGGTTTTTGAAGGATGGTTTGGCAGGCAGGGGGCTAGGGAATAGGCAACGCTGATTGATTTGATTGAGGATAAAATCATAAGGAATCAAAGCTGTCCTCTTGCATTGAGTCAGTTCCTGGGTGGGGGACATAGGACCAGATGAACCAGTTTACCAGTCTTTGTGGTGCCAGCTGATCCACCAGAATGTAGGATCTGGAAAATATTTCAAACACCAATCTTGGGTCTTACAATATTAACGTTATCCATAGGAGCAATTGCGGAGATTAGGAATCTTGTGACCACTGTCTGCATGACTTCTGAGCTATAATTTCTAGTCCTGTGGCTAATTTGTTAATTTTGCAAGGGTAGCCAGGTCCCCAAGCAAGGAGGGAGTTTGTTTCAGGGACTGGCTGTTGTCACCTTTGTTTCAAAGCTAAACTATAAACTAAATTTTTATCAAAGTGCCCAGAAATGTCCAGAAATGAGCAAGGGCAGCTTAGTGGTTAAAAATAAGATGAAGTTGTTTAGGTTGGATCTCCTTCACTGTTATAATTTTCTCACTGTTATAATCTTTGCAAAGGTGGTTTCAGTGCCCCCTTTTGGATTTCACCACATCTGTTCCTTAAGATGTGAGTTATGGAGATGGGAAAAGATTGACTACTCCTCCAACTTCTTCCTGTTGACAGGGGAAGTAGTTGTGCTAGAAGTTGACCCCAGGGTAAGAGGAATGAAACTGCTTCACAGCTGTCTGCATGTATTCAGGAATGCCTGGTTTGTGTTTTAAGGCTTGCATTACAAAGATGTTAGTACTCTTGCCCACAGTTTTAGCACAGCATTTAATTAAACAGCAGACTATAAGATAATGAGTTCTAGTATAAGAAAAGAAAGTCATAACTTTGGAAGTTCTTGTAGAATTGATCTAAAGTCCTAAGGGATTTAGGTGAATAGCCTCAAAGATCAATCAGACATGGGGTCACTAGTAGAGAGAGATTTGGGTTTAAAATTGTTAGAAAGACAAATTGGGATAAATAGAAAAGAGCAAATTGAAATATATCATCCCATATCTTAAAGTTGTTTACTAGTCATGAGAAGAGATCCGTTCAGTTAAACAGCTATGTGCCATTTCAGGAGGTGGCATTGCAGATGGGCTAGGCCTCTATACATGATGAAGGCAAACAGAGTTTTAGTAGGAGGCATTTTTTATGGAAACAAGAAAAACAAAAGTTAACGTTGGGCACAAACTATTCAGATGTTAGACTAAAAGCATCTTTAGTTATATAGGAGGAAGTCAGTGGCAATCTGACATAGTTTTCTCATCTATATCACAAGGAATAAGCTTTAGCTTACAGAAACTCAGGAAAAATATAATAGTAATTTCACTGAATCCAAGTCAGAAAAATAGAAGAAAAAATTGAAAGTGTTAGTTTGGAGACTTTAGTCCTGAAAGAATTCAAGATTCAGTCCAAATTGTAGAAAATAATAGAAAAACTAAAAAATAATGGACAAGAGTATAATATAACCACAGCTGTAATGCAGTTTTTGTCTGAAACATAATTTTTCCCTCTCCAGTCCTCATTTTTACTAAAGACAAATCATAGTAGGACACATTTTCTGGCAAAATAAGTTTTAGTCTTATTATACTTGGCCTGATTATATTCATAAAATGCAGCAAGACTAATTATTTGCCATATAGGCTTTTTAAATTGGCTTTGCTGGAACTTTCTTCAAAGGAATCTCAGATTAGACATTTTAAATCCTTGAGCTCAACCACAGATTTATCTGTTCCTGCAAATACTTGTATGAGTTGGGTGGATTCCTCTCCCCTTCAGGTCTCAAGATAACTTAATGCTGCTGGATATGTCCAAAAGCAACATTCTTTGCTTACCATAAGTCAGGAACCCTGTACAGGGACTGCATAGACAAGGTATAGGGCAAAAGTTTTCCCATGGGGATTGTATTGGCTCTATAAGTCACCTTTGTTTCCTTAAGTCAGTCTGTTTATATCCAAATGCATGCTATTTCCATCCAAAGCCTTGGGAAAATAACTAATGTCTCCAAATGTGTCCTATTACAGAAGAATAGAGATACTTAACTGCAGTTATGTAAGAACTATACTGTCATGAATTAAGTACGCTTACAAATAGTTTTTAAATTCTAAAGAAATTAAGTAGAAAAAATATACTTCCAATTTTGCTCACAAGAGTATATTTCACTCAATTTTTAAAAGCTGTAAATAGCTCAAAAGAAAAATAAAGATTTTTTTGATTCTGAAACACAAAACAGAAAGTATCAGTGTTTTAAGCAAAAAGTCATAAAAACATTATTTCAGTCCTTTGTTAGTCCATGCAATCAACTCTTGTTTCAATCAATATTGGGCTAGCAGTCCATATGAATATATTATGAATACATTCGTTTTTTATAAGAGTCCTAGAAGCTTTTTTTCTCTCTATTCCAATCTCACAATCTCAGAATTTATCAGAGACCTACATTCAAGAGTACTTACCATAGTCTTATAGCTGTTTATAAACTGCCTTTTAAAAAGGATAAAAACAAAACAACAAATGTCTGTGGATGATAAGAATCTTAGGACAGCCACAGTTAAAGCTGCAATTAACAAGAAAATCTCTTTGGCACACAATTATTTAACAAACAATTATAATTATTACTGGTAACATGTACTGAGACATATATACTGAAACATAATATGATATCAGACATATGATATAGGAATCTTATACAATTTTGGAATATATATTGAAAACACATTCATATGAATGTAACTCAAAGGAAGTTAAATACCATTTTCTATCTGACAATGCTTTGTATAGAATTTTAATATAGCAAATAAGCCAAATACGCCTCTTTTGGGCTTCATAGGAATAAATACTTAAAAGTTAATGAGGTCAAAAAAAGACTTAATTTAGAATTTGATTTTGCAATGTTTGTCAATATCAAAGGTTTAAAATGCTTGATATCACAAAATAGGATCACAAGTCATTTACTTAGCCAAAGTGATAAATCAAAGAAAATTTCAAAAAGGCAAAAATCTTTGCTATGATAGAGGGAAGATTCAGATTTCCAAAGGAGAACCAATAAAGACCACATGGAGCCAACTGAATCTATTTCTTCTCTCTCCCCTCTTTTACTTTCTGTAGTTTATTCAAATGGTAAACAAAAGTCTTTTATTGTCTCTCACTATTATACAGAAATCTTTTTTTACATAAAAATCTTGTTTAAAAGGAAAAATCAAATTTTATCTTAGCATTAGTATAAAGTGAATGTGAAACCCAAATTTAATAAGATTTTTTAAACAAATCTATCCCATCTTAATCAGTTTGACCATAAGGTAAGATTTTCATAAACCTCTTAAAATACTTTACAATTTTTTTGTTATAGAGCAGATAAATGCTCTAAGAAAACCTTGTTAATACATATGTGCCCAGAATCTCGACCTACATCTGTGTGCTTTTATTTCAATGTTCAATGCATTAAAAAACTAAATTTCTTTAATTTTTAGCCAACTTGTTCATAAACAGAATTCATTTATAGATTAATTTTTACAAACTTTTTACAACTTGTTTAAAACTTTAGTTTAAACCTTTTTTTTCACTTAAAGCAATCCTTAAATCCTTGAAACCAGCCAATTTTTAAAATCACGTTTTCATGCTTTGATCAATAGCACATAACTTTATTTTTAGTATAAGCAATTTTAATTATGTACCAAGTGTAGAGCCTAGGACACTGGACAGAACTGCAGGTAATGTCTGACTCTTTCCAGCATGGCTAGGGGGCATGGATAACCCCACACGTCCCCAGGCCTTACCTACAATCTCAAGGCTCTAAAGGAGGCAAGTGAGGAGCAACTATCAAAAGTCACAGAAGCAGTTTATAAACTGAAAGCACCCAAGCTGCCTAATTCAATATCTGACCTGCCTAGTAGAGTCCAAATGTCTAAATTTTAAAGACTTTTGTCAATAATTGTAAAACTATTTTTATTTACTAAAGATTATTAAAGTCACTTGAGCTAAAAGGCATTTTAGTTTCTATTTTTCTGACAAAATATTTTATGTAAGTGCTTATTTTTTTAAAGCCAATTAATTAGAGCACCTTTATATATTTCAGTAGGGAAACATCACACACACAACCTACACAGACAGACAAAAGATTTTTCAATTGCTAGTTTTAAGCTTCTCTTCCCCATTTTAGACCAACAGTCTCTTGAATACCTGCTTCCTGCCATAAACAGTTCCTAGCCGGGCAACTCTAAATCTGCATTTCTGAAGAGACAAACTTAAGTGAAACAAGATATAGAATTTATATTTTATGCAAACAAAGGAAAAATGGCGTGAGTGAAAGTTCAGGTGAGATGGAGAGGAAAAGCAGACACCCTTACATATAAACATTTCCTTAAAGAAGTAAGTTAATTGGATTACTGGCTTCAGGGTAGAGCCTTTTAAGTAACAGGGCCAAGAAAACATACAGTTTTTAGGGCCTAAAAAGCAAGCACAGCTGGACGGCAAAACAGATACTAAAAATCAAGGATCCCATTTTTACATCAAATCCTGGATCCCCAAAATGAGAGGAACACTAGGGGACCAGACTATGTAATGCTTTCACCATGCATCTCATTGCAAGGATATTCCCCTGAGGCTAGTGTCCAACCCAAGGCCAATCAGCTCATTCTGTAATCAGCTCATTTCCCATAGGAGTCTTATCTCTCAGTAAGGGTGTAAGGACATTTCTGTACCTTCTAGGTTACCAAAAGCATGCTTTTCTGATTTAAATGTGCCAAGAGCTGAGTATCCCCGCCATAACTGGCATTAGCAACCCCAAAAAGTTATATCTCCTGTCTAACTATTACAAATCATGTCTAAAAGTCCTTTTATAATGTAAATAAGTTTCTGGTCCACTTAAAAGTCAAAAAGATTAGACGTAAGAGGAAGGAGGGACAGATAGAGGTAAATGGAGAATTGGGCAGAATTCTACTGACTGAGAAGTTTTTACAGAGGGAAGGAAGGGGCTTTAAAACAATATCTTTACCCATATATCCCAATTATCAGCCTTAATTAAATGGTTTTAACTGCAGAGCTTTTAAAAATTCTTTTAAATTTTTAATTACCAGATTTTAGCCAGGACAGCTGATATTTTCGGCTTTTGAACTTTACCAAAGGTAACCTCCTATGTGAAATTATAAAAACCTTAACTACAATTATGAATTAACCAAGGATACATGAGGTGTCTCCAGAGACGGCAATCAATTTTTACAAGATTGAGAATCACCTGAAAGGTAGCTCAAAGAAAGGAAAATTTAATACAGGAAATCAGAAGTTGTCACACTAATACCAAACCAGAAAAGAATAATTTCCTGAGCTGAGAACTGAACCCAAGTTCCACTGTGAAAGGGCCAAGCTTTAGCTACTGAGCTACCACATGGAGCAGTTACCATTGTTCTTCCCAGGAGTCTAGAGTACTCATTTTCAAGCTTGCAAAGGATTTTAACTGCTTAAGAAAAATTTTTAGGCTAGCTATTACATGTACCTGAAAATTGCCACCCTCCAGTTAGCTGAGATCAAGACAAAGTACTCCCATACGGTCACAAAGTCAAGTTTTCAAGGATATAAAACAAGATGAGAGGAAAATCTCTTTGCATTTTTTATTTCAAGGATATGCAGCAAAATTTGTAACTGACCGATCTGCAGGTTTGGCTCAAACAGCAGGCTTACAGGGGTCCTAGCTATCCTATCCTGTGGTACCCCTCTTTATAACAGAATGACACAGAAAGACAAATTTATAGCACAAAGGACACCAGATTTGCTACAGCCTAAGACGAGGCTCACAAATCCATTTTCCTATTAATCAAAACCTTGCAGAGGAGACAAACAGTGATTTTTACCATTCACTCAACCTGTTTGCACAGAAAGAGAGAGGCCAGAAGTCTGGTTGATAAGACATTCTTACCCTTTTGCCAGCATGCCAGGTTTCTAGGTTCCCTTTCTCTACAGCTTCTGGAAGAATACAGTGGCTTTTGATGACTCTGCTTCCTGCACCATAGCTGTGGGGACCAAGTTGTGTTACAAAAGAAAATCACCTTTTTCCATTCTATTGAACAATAGGCAAAAGTCCCTCAATTTTATAAAATGCTGCCCAACAGGCTGCACAGTGGAACTGAATTAACAGTTCCCATTCCAGCCAGAGCAAAACACGCGGGATGGAACACAGACATTAGTCACCTGGCTCAGTGCCCAAATATCAACCTGGCAAGGCTCAAACTTCCCCATATTGACCCCTATAATCTTGGATCCACCCAAAGTAGGGAGAGATGACCTCCAAACAGGAGTTTTAAAGGGCAGTCTCTGGGCAAGATGGAAGAGCAGAAGAATCCCTTAATTAGGCCTGTTGAGCTTCCTACAGGGCTCACTGAATGTGACCAAGCAGACAAACTAGGAGAGCCTTCTGGACTTCATCAGCAATTCCTTCAGAGATCTCCCCTCCATAAAGAAACACACACAATGAAGCAAAGACAAACAGAAGGCCTTTTAAACCAAGACTGCAAACCAGATTCCACACAAGAAGAGTATTCCTCCAAACAAGTTCCCTATTCTCTGTCCAATTGTGGAGTAATCTCCTCAAACCAAGGCCCTTTCTACAATCTATGAAGAGTCAAGCAGTCACCATGACAGGTCTAGAGAACTAGCCAGTCCCTATAACAGAGCTACAGTTCCTCTAGGGAGGCCAACAGATCAGGAGAAGGAAGGAGGTGTTGGCAGCCCCTGGAATATTCACCAAACCAGATTACAAAACATCTTCCAGGATTATTTCTCCACCGCAATTAAATCTATGATCTATGGGTTGACAGTACACCACCAGTAGAGACAGTGCTAGAGGTAGACCTCAATCTAAAAGAACTAAGCAGCTGCTTGGGTTGGCCTCCACATCCGCTGCTAGTGAGTGGCTGCTGAACTGTGGCAGGTAGCTACAAGGGGCTATCCCAGACAAGCCCCCATATTTGTAACCACCTAATGGGTTCTTCTTGCCTCCTGCGCCAATAGAGCCAATTTATTAAGACATGGGAATTGCAATAGAGAAAGAGTTTAATACCCGTAGAGCTGGCTAAACAAGAGAAGAGAGTTATATTATTACTCAAAACAGACTCCCCCAAAACTTGGAAGTCAGGTTTTTTAAAAAATAATTTGGCAGGCAGAGGGCTAGAGTAGGGGAATGCTGATTGGTTGGATTGGGGATGAAATCATAGGAAGTCCAAGCTGTCCTCTTGTGTTAAGTCAATTCCTGGGTAGAGGCCACAGGACAAGACATGTCAGTTTACTGGTCTAAGTGGTGACAGCTGATTCATCAGAATGCAGGGTCTGAAAAATATCTCAAATGCTAATCTTAGGTCTTGCAACGGTAATGTTATCCATAGGAACAATTGGGGAAGTTAAAAATCTTTTGGTCTCTGGATGCATAACTCTTGAGCTATACTTTCTAATCTTGTGGCTAATTTGTTAGTTTTACAAAGGCAGTCTAGTCCCCACGCAAGGAGGGGAATTGTTTCAGGGAGAGAAAATGGTCATCTTTGTTTTAAGACTAAATATAAACTAAATTTCTCCCAAAGTTAGTTTGGCCTACACCTAGGAAAGAACAAGGGCAGCTTGGAGGTTAAAGGCAAGATGGAGTTGATTAGGTCAGATCTCTCTCACTGTCATAATTGTCTCACTGTTATAATCTTTATAAAGGTAGTTTCAATTTTAATGTTTTATCTTAGGAATTTGTGAAGATAATAAATGGAGTTAGGCACCATGGTCTTAAAAACGTGGCCACATTAGATTTAATTATTGTGTCAAACCTGCTGTTACTGTGAGAAGAGTACCAGTATTTTCTCTTACTCATTTTAACCAACTAATGATCAAAGAATTCTTTGTGCACAATAAATATTCCATTGCCGTATATTGTGCTTCTCAAAAGCTCCATGCCGAAATGTTCATTAATTTTTATTACAACAGGAGAAATCTGAAAAACTAGGTGGCAATTTTAAAGTCTAATTTTTAATTAACTACAAAATAGCAATTTTACTTTTTCTCTCCCTTTTTTCAGTCAGTCTTCTCAGACATATCTTTAGTAAGTTGAGCTAGAGTATCCTGTGGTATATTTATACTTGCAAATGGCTGCCACATACCCTTTTTGCTACATCCAATAGACCCTCAGTTAAATTTACAATCTGTAACAGTTTTTGATACTATTTTTATGTAATAAAGTCCTAAATTTATAACAGCATTTGACATACAAACAAGTCTTTAAAAATCAACAAAATATAAAAATAAACCTGAATAAAATTCAATTTTTATTAGTTCCCTGAATTTTTTTTACTAGTATGTCCTCTTTTCAATATTAGTTGCCACTCTTAATGATGTGGTAGATATTATTATGTATCTTGGTGGTATTTTAGAAGTAGAATCCTTTTTAATATAAAAACTAAATGTTATTTTATACAAAAAAGTACTTTCTAATATTTTTCTTGAAGATGGAAGCTGTTTATTTTTTTCCTCACTTTTGATAGAGACATTGTAAGAATATATCCCTTTTCTTGTAATTCTGTTATAAGAAGAATGATAGTGTAAGCTATGATGATACACTGCATCTAACATGTGGCATGAACTAGAGAAAATGTCACTTTAGTAGCAGTAGCTGCTATTCAGCTCCAGGTGATTGTTGTCCAGTATAAACATTGCTCTTGTATTTGTCATATCTTCTAATTTTCCACCAAAATCTAGAAATCAGGATTTTGGTATGCACTCTCTCATATTTTAAAAAATACCAAATTTCAAATTTTAAAAATTAAAGCAAAACACTACTCGTTAAATGATACATCTCTTTTGACAAGTCTATAACCTTCAGATCAGCAGTTTTGACCTCTGGTATAGATGCACTGAGATTTTTCTTAGTTATGATACATTGGCCTTTCAAGGGGAGATTGTGTGGAAATAAATTCTCAAAGTTGTCTTGTGTTATTTCCTTCCCGAACAGATATTTCTTTTGTAAAATTCATTGGCTGACTAAAACTAAATATAAAGCTTAATGGATATGTAGCAACTTTTTAAAAAATAGGGTGACTTTTCCACTAAAATAGACTCCTGATCCACAGCTTAGCATCATTTGCAAGCATAAAGGATATCTTTATTTTTCTAAATCAGGCCCTTAAGAATGATATTCAATAATGGGAGAATCACTCCATTCTTCATTTACAAGTTAATTAGCATAACAAAGCTGCTTAATGTGAGAGTTCACAAAGCTCTGATTAATGCATGAATCCTTACCTTTTACAATGAGACTTATTTTAGCAAACAATATCTATAAGAAAATTCCTCTCTCTTTCTTTAGAAATATTAACTCTTCAGATACTGTCATTTTACTGAAGAACTGTAAGTTCAGAGTAACAGTATGACATTTGCTGGGAGTCCGTGTTTGGAGAGAGGCACGAGGTCCTTACTTCATTTAAAAAATTTATAAGTGATACCTCTCATGATTGGTGCTACAGTGAGATGTTCAGTTCTTACATTGCCTTTTCATCCTACAACCAACCCAGGATTACCTTCCTCTCACTTAGCTTTTTGCTAGTTAACTAATAATTCCTATAATTTTCAATAATTCCTATGGCTATAATTTTAATACTTCCTTTAGTTATCTCTTTAATAATTTCTATATTTATAATTACAAAGTGCTTAAAAATCCACTAATGTTTCATTAGCTGTGTATGTACACATAAAATACTCAAATCATTTAAGTTTATGTTGACTAATGTGTGGTTCAGGATTCAGGCTTTTTTTCTTGCAATTTTTTTGGGGAAATGGAAAAATCTTGGAATAGAGTCCAAAGGTAAACCCAGTGTTGATGACTTGACATCCATAAGGTCAATGGCAAATAATTCTATTTATTTAATGCCCATTTTATTAACACTTTATATCATCTTTGTGTGTAAGGATTTGAAGTCACAAAATTGAGGAAGAAAACACCGTCCATTTAAAAAATTTATTTGAGTGTGACTTTGAGATCGTATCTAACTGACATGCCAGAAAATTTCATATCCATTGTTATGGTCACTGTCCTTCTTTCCCTAGGGTCATAAAAGAATTTAGGGGCTGGGCACGGTGACTCACGCCTGTAATCCCAGCACTTTGGGAGGCCGAGGCGGGTGGATCACGAGGTCAGAAGTTCAAGACCAGCCTGGCCAAGATGGTGAAACCCCATCTCTACTAAAAATACAAAAAATTAGCCGGGCGTGGTGGTGGGTGCTTATAATCTCAGCTACTCAGGAGGCTGAGGCAGAGAATTGTTTGAACCTGGGAGGCAGAGATCGCACCACTGCACTCCAGCCTGGGCGACAGAGCGAGACTCCGTCTCAAAAAAAAAAAAGAAAAAAGAAGAAAAAGAATTTAGGAAACTTGTCTGGATATGGGAGAACTAGGGAAAAGCCTCTAATCATTATGCCTTCAGGGATATTCTCTTTTTCTAAGCCCACATGGTCACTTACATATGGTCACTTAAAAGCATATCACCATGGATGACAAGGGGCTCCTTTCTGGGAAGCCTATGACCAGTCTAGCAACCAATCCTCTCACAGACCTCATCTTTATCAGGGGGTTCCTCCAGGGACAGGACTCTTCAAGGCCTATCTCCTTCTACTCCCATTCACCACACCCTAAATCCAGCTCCCTTTAATATCATCCCATCCAGGAATGAGGCTCCAGAAAATAAAGCCTAGAAAAATAAGAGTGTCTGAGAACAACTTGTGCTTCAGCCGAACAACAAAAATCCTTTAAGCCGAGAATTTATGAAGAACCTGAACTCCTTAATAGAAGCAGGTAGAACGAACAGAAATTACAACCTCCAGAATCATCTCATTGCTCTATTTCTTTTTTTTAAAAAAAATTATATATTTCTTTTTTTTTTTTTGAGACGGAGTCTCGCTCAGTCGCCCAGGCTGGAGTGCAGTGGCATGATCTTGGTTCACTGCAACCTCTGCCTCCCAGGTTCATTCTGTTGCCTCAGCCTCCCTAGTAGCCGGGACTACAGGCGCCCACTACCATGCCCAGCTAATTTTTTGTATTTTTAGTAGAGACGGCGTTTCACTGTGTTAGCCAGGATGGTCTCGATCTCCTGACCTCGTAATCTGCCTGCCTCAGCCTCACAAAGTGCTGGGATTACAGGCATGAGCCACCATGCCCAGCCTAGATTTCTTAATAATAATAATGTCATATAACAGTTAATATTATATGATCCAACTTATATCAATGTAGGCTACTAAACAAAAATTGCCTAATCCTATTTCACAGAAGACATATGCCAATGTTTAATTGGCTCACAAATTCATATTCAAATGAGGAGGTTGCAGAGTTTAGAGATTTGGATTTAGAATTGGCAGAATTTGACTAATTCTTGCCCAGGCTATTGATTATATATGTTTGGATAAAACACCTAATCCCACCGTTGTCAAATTGTATGTTGTGACCATGCAATTGTTTTGTGAATCTATACGCGACAGTATTTTGCCTTCATTCTGAAACTATAAAATAACTTATGTGTAGTTATTTTTCAGATGCTTATAAATTCTCTTGTGATTGGTAAAAATTCAAATTTATGGAAAAGCATTAATGAAGGCATGATAGCTTTCTTCATTATTCATTTTTTAAATCTATGAATAGTGAAAGTCAAATTATGTTGGGAGCAAAAATTGTCTGACTTTTTTGACATTAAAAGTAGATGAGGAAGGCCAATGCTTATACTGCAACAACTTTTAAAAAGCCAGGATGTTACAAAATGAAATCACATTTTTTTTTTTCTGAGATGGAGGCTTGCTCTGTCTCTAGGCTGGAATGCAATGGCGTGATCTCAGCTCACTGCAACCTCTGCCTCCCGGGTTCAAGCAATTCTCCTGCCTCAGCCTCCCTAGTAGCTGGGACTACAGGCACGTACCACCAAGCCCTGGCTAATTTTTGTATTTTTAGTAGAGACGGGGTTTTACTATGTTGACCAAGATGGTCTCGATCTCTTGACCTAGTGATCTGCCCACCTCAGCCTCCCAAAGGGCTGGGATTACAGGTGTGAGCCACCGCGCCCGGCCAAAATCACATTTTTAAAGTCATCAAAGAGCTGTGAGAGCAATGACTACTAGGTGAGCTATAATTACAGAGAAAAGAGAATCACTCCAGGTGAGCTGATGACTGCAGGTGGTTTTAGCTCTCAGAACATTTGCTGATTCTTGGTGTGGACTAAGGATCAGCCTTAACCTGGGCAGGACTCTGCTGAGAGTAAAAGTGGAACCAGAAAAGTTTTTGTTCTTCCATAAGACTGGGATGGTAAATCTGACACTTGAGAAAACTTAAATTCAGGGATATTCGCTGAGTTCTGGTGCACTGGGATAGTATGAAGAGCTCAGCTGAACTATTCCTAAAAACAACTCCTTTAAACTTTCAATGATCGGGAAAACACACACACACACACACACACTAAAGAGAGGGAGTGTGTACTTCATTACGTGGTTGGGCACACCCACAAATTTTTTTCAAATTTTGAAACTGCCTAGGACAAGAGGCTGGATAGCTAAGCTGAAAACCACTGAAGGTGCAAATGATGTCTCCTAGTATTTTAAAGTTCAGATGAGAAATACCATGGAAGGGCCTTGTCCTGCAACACGGTAGTTTTATCAAAACCACCATCCACCTCCAACCCAGCACACTTCCTGCCTGGATTGAAGTGATTAGTCACTTCCCATCCTAGCTGCCTAACCACAAAAGGAAGATATCCTCTCTGGTGGAAGACAACACTATCTGAATCCTCTAAGATTCTTTTAGGTACAAAGTCTCAAGTAATATAAAAAGTAAATTTAATTCTTAACAGGAAACAAAAGACAACAGAAACAGAACATACATGATCCTGTGAATAATAGTTATCAGACAAGGTCATTAAAATAGTTATAATTAATGTGCTCCAAAAAATAAAGGAAAAAATGAATAAGAGGAGAAATTGAGGATTTCACTCCTGAAATAATTTGTCCAGTTTTACTGGTTAAAAATAAAAAGAGAATAAAGAAAGAAAGAAGGAAGGAAGAAAAAAGGAATGAAGGAAAGAGGGAAGGAAGGAAGGAAAAAGAGGGAAAAAAGGAAGAGGGAAGGAAGAAGAAAGGAAGGAAGATGAAGGAAAAAAGGAAGGAAGAAAGGAGAAAAGGAAGGAAAGAAGGAAGGAAAAGAGGAAGAAAAAAGGAGGAAAGAAGGAAAAAGAGAGAAGGAAGGAAGAGAGAAGGAAGGAAGGAAAGGAGGAAGGATGGAGGGAGGGAAGGAAGGAAGGAGGGAAGGAATGAAGAAAAGGAAAGAGGAAGAAAAAATGAGAAAGGAAGGAAGGAAGGAAGCAGGGAGGGAAGGAAGGACGGAAGGAAGCAGGGAGGGAAGGAAGGAAAGAAGGAAGGAAGGAAAAGAGAAGGGAAGAAAGAGATAGGGACTGTGTGCTTCATCTTGCAGAAATGTTTGGATCTCATGCTGAGTAACTTCCATTTCCATCCTTATGCACTCTCCAATATTCTCCTTCTGCTCTTTGCCTTAGAGTGACTTCCACAAAAACCATCAGCTGAGCTCCCTTAAAATCTAGGCTGATTTTGATGGTTGGCATTACCTGGAATGCATTAGGTTTGATCACTAGGGGGTTCCTATAGGAGAGTATATATCCACTTTTACTTTTCATGATCTCTAACCTCCATCCCCACCTGGGAGGGGTTTTAAATGTTTCCTAGTTATCCCTCCTACCATGCAATTTAATAATAATGTAATTTAAAATTTAATTTAACTTTTTCCAGGGCCTCAGTTCCAGTGGTGAGAAACTGTATTTCAATAACCATTCAATCCCAGTCATGGTTGTGGGTTCTCCCTGTTGCAGCCCCAGGATGCTTCATCATCCCTTGCTGTTCTGCCAATTATCTTATTAAAAATTCTCATATCATTGGACATCTGACTGACAGATCTGAATTACTGCATCATGTTATTAAGTCTTAGAAGAGTGCATTTACAAAAAACAATGACCCTGCATGGCATTCAGTAGTTATCCAGGACCTTGTGAGATTACATTTTTTTTTTAACTTTGAATGAGGGATGGAGGTATAGTGGCCTGCGTTCAGAGTAATCTTTGTAAAACCTAAGGCTGATCATGCAATTCCTCTATTTTAATTTCTTCAAAGCACCCATCCCAACCCTAGCAGGATTAAATTCAAATCCATTTCCTTTATATTTAGAAAGAAACATAACCAGACTACTTCTTGGCCCTCTGAATTTATTTTGCAATATTTTTTGTATTAGTTATTCTGAATGACATCTACTTCACTCCCTCAAGTGTCTCAGACAATGCTGTCATTCCTACATAAAAGGTTTTCAAATCCTCCTTTCCCTGTCCTGTGCCTGAATAATTCCTTTTTGTCCTTCAAAAGTCAACTCAATCTTCCCTTGCTCCAAGAAGGCTTTGGGTTTCCCGCACCCCATCACATCTATTTTTTCCCATCTACTAATATCAGATCCTGAATACATGGCTATTACAGCATCTATTACAGTTTATCACTTTGGGTTTATCATCTATATTCTCACTAGCTTATTAGTTCCTTGCTTTGGGGACTGCATCTTAGTTGAATTACCTATGCTTAGCAACATAACTGTCACACAAGAATAGTTTCACAGATGTTGAGTCAGTGCACAAGTGACAAAAGAGACTAATACATTGCTTAAAACTCCAAAAATATGAAAATAGATCAATCCTCCTTCACAAATTTCATGAACAGAAATCAGTCTCAAGGCTTCTTTGTCCTATTTTGCCCAGATTCCTCTGAAGTAAAGTACAAGCATATGACATTCCTAAGCATTGACTTGTTCATGAAAAAATTCTCTTTTCCTATGTATTGAATTAGGCGGACAACCTAAATTTAAACTAACCATAATTTCCTTCTAGCTTCATCTTTTAAAGCACAGTGCTTTGTCATAGGTAGGGCTCCTTAGGAGTAGAGTCTGATGCTTTGAGATTTGACTGATTGAGCAGTGCTTTTATTAAGAATAATTTTGAGGGACCAAAGAAAGCCAAGTGTGGGCACAAGGTGAGGGTAATTGTGTGGCAGTGAAAATAAGGGGTTCAGCCTTTCCCACAGGGAGCTCTGAACCTGGGGTTGCCCATCAGAGAATTTCAAATCAAGGTGAGGGGCTCGGGTCTTTGTACTCTACATTTCCAGTCACTGACTGTGAACTGCCCTGGGGAAGGTGTATCATCTTAGGTGAGGAAGCTTCCTTTGCTGAGGAATAAAGTCCACAGTGGCATGCAGCCATAAGCTATCAGCAGCTCACCTGCCCAGCAGTCCAGGATGGATTCCTCAACCCTGGGAAGAGACTGGGATGATAAGCCCCAATATCAACTACAACCCACCTTTTGTGATACTTGGATCTACATACCTTGCTGTAAATTCACTCCATCTGGGAGCAGCTTCTCCAGGATTTTGACTGGTTTTTGGCCCTCAGGAAACAGTAACGGGAAGGTCAGTAGGATGGGTGTTAACTCGTGATGTTGCTGCTGGTGTGAAGTTTGGAAGTGGTTTTCTTTTTCTCCCCTCTCTAAATCCTGTTTCAGATTTCTCTCACCTTTGATAGAACCCATGCCAATATGAGCTTACCTAGTGGATCATCCAGACCCTTACCCCTGAGAGGTCTGGGCCCTGGTTATGCAGCCATTCTTAAGTGGGTTTAAACAAGCCTTATCATTTTGCCAGATTTATTGCAAAAATTTTAACAAATTAAATGTTAAAGAGTTAATACTACACCATCCCCTAATCCACTCACTTCCTTCCTTTCCAAAGTTACTCATTATCCTATATTTGAAATCTCACAAGCACTTGCGTATTTTCCACTCCAACTTACAGGTCAATACCAGTTTAACATATATACTCATTAACATGCAAGAAATTAGTATCCAGAATAAATATTTGCATCAATAAGCAAAAAAAAGACAAACTACTCACTAGGAAAGGAAGATAAAAAAGGTAATTCACAGAAAAATGAACCCAAATTGCCAATAAGCATATTAAAAACTCTCAAAGTAGTAATCAGGTGATTGTATATTCAAAGTACAATGAGTCCCTTCCTATTGTTTTTTTCCTACTGATACACTTGGACTGTGAGTTAAACATACTTGGTCTTTTGCTGACACATTTTTGCAATAAAGAAACCTTGTTTCTTGAACTAATACTACTCCAGAAGAAGAACATCTAAAATTATTGCTTTTTTCTTTTTTGATATTTAAAAATACAAAAACTTTACTTTTAAAATGCTCATTTTATTTCAAAGGGTTTTCTTTTTTCTTTTCCTATATCACATCCTTTGTGTCCAAATACTCATAAAATATTTTAATTACTGTATCACGTAAGTATATGTATTGATATGTAGTTATGTTTCCTCTCTTTTTAAATTATCAGTTGTATACATTAACCATTATTTTTACTTGCAGGATGATAATAAAACTAACATTTGGTCAATTTTTTCTCTCTTCTACTTTAAATTGAAAACTAATCTATTGCTCCTCATTTAGCATAATATTATTTCTAGTAAACTCACATTTACTCTTTCTTACTTGAAATGGGGAACATTAGTAGAACCAAAAAATATTTTATGTAGTTTTATAGGAGAATCTCCATGGTGAGCACAAAGAGGGTCCAAGTGGAATTGTGACCTCAGAGGTATGTGCCGTATGTAGTAGAAACAACTTTGGGTGTGATTTCAAAAGTCATTACATTTAAATTAAATTAATTACAATTAATTTTCCAGAGAAAATTTAGTTAATGATAAAGCATCTAGTGAGTTGAGTTTGAATTTTTTTTGAATCACTGTCATCATGAGTATTAAACCACAATCACATAGAATTGAATGTGTGCACAATCACTACATTGACCAGATATTAAAAACATAGGTAAAAATTTGTATTGCCAATAAATTAAACCTAAAGGCAACAAAGGGAATCTACTGGAACTTGCAGTTTGGCACAAAGCAAGTCTTTGTTTTGTTGTTTTGGTTTATTACATTTTAGTGACAACTTTGTCTCTCCAAATTCCGATTCTCCTACTTTCATCTATTCATACAACAATGAATAAACAGTGGTTCTTAAAATTTTCCCCTGTCCCACCAGCATTTCTTCATATATTTTGGTACTGAGGAGGGTAAATCTCAGGAAAGAAACATCTAGAAAGTCATCTGAGAAACCAGTAATGGTTGAGTGTTCTCACAAGATGGTAATGGTTTTTTTTTTTTTTGGCAGATAAATGCAGAGGTTGGGGTGGATAGCCTCTCAAGCAGAGAAAACATATACACATAGTGGCATGATAAAACAGTGTGTGTTAGAATGACAAATGTTTCAAGATGAGAATGGCTTTGGGGATCCAAAAGATAAGTATCTGAAAATATATGTAGGAGTCATAAAATGCAGCGGACTTTTTTGCTCTTCTAATAAGAGGGTAGTTTATTCTGTAAAAGACAGGGAGATATTGAAGGTTTTTAGCCAGGAAGTGAATTGGTGAGAGTTACAAATCTGGCTTCTGGAAGCAGTCTATCTGGCTTCAAATGCTGGATTCATCTCACTAGTAGTGTGACCATAGGGAAATTAATTACTATATGTACATCAGTTTTCTCATCTGAAAAATACCACATATGGCTGTTGTAAGGATTCAGCTTTTTGAATTAAAATACTAAAGTATTTGGAGAGGTTCCTGGCGTCTAGTGAGTGTGATATAAACTTTTGTTATTATAACAGTTGTTATCATTTTAATCACTTAATAGTCAATATATTAACCCCTTTTTACATACAAGGCATTGTAATATTCAAACCTAAGAATAAAAAGATAGGCAAGACAAATATGTGCCATCCAAGAGCTTAGAACATATAAGCTGTGTAGTAATAATGACTAGAATACAGGCAAACACCAGGGGCAGCCAGGGCTGAAAGAGAACAGCTATTCTTCCTGGAGGGGAAAGGAAATTGTTTTTTTTTTCTTTCCTTTAGGTGAGTCTTAAAAATCAATAGATGCTTCCCACACAGAAAAATGGAGAGGAAAGAATAATGCAAAATATGTCATGTTACTCTAGAAAAACATATCTTGTTTGATGATCTGCAAATTGAGTAGTGTGGTCCTAGTTCAAGGTGTATGAGGCAGTCATTGCAAATATTGCAAACAGGAGGCAGGCACCAAGGATTTGATAGCCCAGCAAATAAGTTAGTACTTATCTTTAGGCTCTAAGACATATTTCCAGATCATTAGTAAGGCCGTGGCAAGGCCATGGACTATTTTATGCATTAAAAGTGTATATATATTTTTTCTTTGATAATAGAGGCATATGAACACAATGTAAGTAAAACTGCAGTATATTAGCATTTTTTGTATATTTAGTTGAAATACCTAAGGAAAATCATTCGAAAATCAAATTGTCTCACTTATACAGTCACATGAACCATGCTGGTTAGGTCCCTAAAAGAATCACCCGCTTTATTTAATTTTAAATTTATATAATGGAAGAAATACAAGGAAAAAGAGAATAACAGGGGCAGAAGAGAGATGACAGAATTATAAAGGGATATAGGGAAGGAGATAAGGAGCAAGGGAAGGGCTGGGCATGGTGGCTCACGCCTGTAATCCCAGCACTTTGGGAGGCCAAGGCAGGAGGATCACCTGAGGTCAGGAGTTCGAGAACAGCCTGGTCAACATGGTGAAACCCCCTCTTTACTAAAATACAAAAATTAGCTGGGCGTGGTGATGAGTGCCTGTAGTCTCAGCTACTTGGGAGGCTGAGGGGGAAGATTCCCTTGAGCCCAGTAGGCAGAGGTTGCTGTGAGCCAAGATTGCACCACTGCACTCCAGCCTGGGTGACAGAGCGAAACTCCCATAAAAAAGAAAAAAAAAAAGAAGAAGAAGAAGAAAGAGAAAAAGGAAGGATAATCAGAATAGATAAGTTAACACAATTCAAATGAAAAATTATAAATTATATACTGAAATCTTCCTGAGCATAGCTGAAGTAAAATGAATATTTACTTGCATAATCGCCACAGTGCAGCGTTCTAGTGCAATGATGCTTTCAAAGCAGCCTAGCAAAAGATGCTTTCAGAACAGTAGTTCTTGAGTACAATTACTCCTCCAATATCATTTCTCTTTAACTGAGGAAAAACCCCTGATGATTACATATAAGATTACATATGTCATATAAGATTAATTTTTTCACCTGTAACTCACTTCCTGATGAAAATGTATAAGCAGAATTACCACCCAGTCGCCTAAATAGCCACAATTGACATTTAATACATTAAAAATAACAACAAAACTGGTAAAAATGCTGTCCAATTCTATCGCCGTTGCCCCATTCAAAAGATCAGACCCACCACATTACACTACTGTTTCTTTATTAAATTCTCAGGCTTCTTGCAAAGCCATTTTCCTCTCCTCTTCCTTATCCTCCTTCATTATTAACCTCTTCAGACGACTTTGTGTAACCCTTAACAGGATATGTCAAAATGGAAGCACTGAAGTGCAACTGTGCAGTGTTTCTAAGGGGACTCATCTGACACAACTAATCAAGAGTCGTTGGTCCACAGGCTGAGGAAAATTTTAAACCAGTCATTGAGCAGCAAAGAAACACTGTGCTAAAAATCTGTTTTAAATTATAGTGCATGGTTGGTGGTTGATAAGAAAGGACTGACTTTCTTTTTCCTAAATAAAAGCTTTTTTTGTGAGGTTGCAAGCTTTTTTTTTTTGTAACTATTATTGATGTATATGAAATGCCTTCCTATATTGTAAAATTTTCTTTAGTAACCAAATCAACTGACCTAACACAGCTGTATTAGTCTGGCTATATGATTAGGCAATCTGGAAAACATAAGCAGTAACCAAAACCACTGTGACCTGATAAAGTAGAGTTCATCAAAACAATTTATCTGGGAAAGCACAACACCTGTATCTGAGAGTTCATTTTCTCATATGTATGCCAAGAAGAATGGAATATAAACACAGAAGCAAAAATCATAGAGCAAATAGAGGATCTAATCTTTGTATAACTCTAGAATCTTCTCTACTTGCTAGGCTTTGTAGACATGCCGTGGAAACTAATTACATTGAGTCATTTACAATGTAATTGATGATCATGGGGATAGTGCACTTCTCTGGTACTGATAAACATTTGTTCTGCTATTAAGAATCATTAGCACATTTTGTAATAATAATAATCATTGCCAAATTTTCAATGACATCAAATCATAAGTGGGAAAATTCAGATATTCAGGAGATTTTTGTTGTTTGTTTAATACTTGTGACATTTGCTTGTTATTTTGGCTTTCAGTTTACAAGGTCAACCCTCCTTGGGAACCTTGCTAATTCCTCCTGAGATGAATGCTTGCAATTTGCAGATTTTCCACTAGAAAGAAAGAATGACTGCTGATTTTGTCAGCTGGGATCGTCCTGCTAGATTTCCTTCAAATGAGAAAATTGAGAGAAGTAATACTAGGCACACTAGTCCTGCTTTGGAATTCTAAGTCAGAATGTATTTTTATTTTTATTTTATTTTATTTTATTTTATTTATATTTTATTTTTGAGATGGAATCTCACTCTGTCATGCAGGCTAGTCTGCAGTGGGGTGATGTCCGCTCACTACAATCTCTGCCTCCCAGGTTTAAACGATTCTCCTTCTTCAGCCTCCCGAGTAGTTGGACTACAGGCATGCACCAAAATGCCTGGCTAATTTTTGTATTTTAATAGAGACAGGATTTTGTCCTGTTGGCCAGGCTGGTCTCGAATTCCTGACCTCAGGTAATCCGTCCCCCGTTGGCCTCCCAAAGTGTTGAGATTACAGGCGTGAGCCACCGCACTCAGCCCAGAATGTACTTTTAAAATCAAGACTCATCTTAAAACTTCTCTAAACATGATTATTATAAACATATCACCCAAGGTATACAAATGTGGTCTTCAACATTTTTTTAATTGACATGTAGTACATATTTAAGGGGCACAATTTGATGTTTCAGCACATATATATAGCACAATGATCAAATCAGGGTATTTATCATATCTATCATCTCATGCATTTATCATTTCTTTGTGTCAAAAACATTCAAAAGCCACTCTTCTAGCTATTTTGTAGAATACAGTAACTTCCTGTTAACTATCCTCACCCTCCTGTGCAATAAAGTACCTAAACTTTTTACTCCTAATTGTAACTTTGTACCCATTGACCAACTTTTCCCCACCCTCCCATTTCCCTTCCCCTCCCCAGTCTCTGGTAATCACTGTTCTATTCTTTGCTTCTGTATCACCTCTTTTTTTGTTTGTTTTTAGATTCCACATATGAGTGTGATCATGCAGTATTTGTCTTTCTGAGTCTAGCTTATTTCACTTAACAGTAATGTCTTCCAAGTTCATCCATGTTCTCACAAATGATGAACCTCTTTTATGGGTGAATAGTATTCCATCGTGTATATATACCACATTTTCTTTACCCATTCATCCATTGTTCGACACTTGGGTTGATTCTGTATCTTGGCTATTATAAACAGTACTTCAATAAACATGAAAGTGTAGTTATCTCTTTAACATACTCATTTCATTTCCTTTGGATACACACATGGTAGTGGGATTGCTACATCATAAGGTAGTTCTGTTTCCCATACTGTTTTCCATCATGGCTGTACTAATTTACAATCCCACCAATAGTGTGTAAGTGTTCCACATCCTCACCAATGCTTGTTTTCTTTTTTCTTTTTTTTTTTTTTTTGATAAAGCCATTCCAATTGACTGAGGTGATATCTCATTGTGGTTTTGGCTTACATTTTCCTGATGATCAGTTATATTGGTCATTTTTTCATGTACCTGCTGGCCATTTCTATGTCTTCTTTTGAGAAATGTCTATTATTTTGCCAATATTAAAATCAGGTTTGTTTTTTTTTTTTGCTGTTAATTTCCTTATATATTCTGGATATTATCCCTTTATCAGATGTATAGTTTACAAATATTCCCTTCTATTCTGTAGGTTGTTTCTTTACTCTGTTAATTCTTTCCTCTGCTGTGCAGAAGCTTTTTAGCTTGATGTAATTAATTTGTCTATTTTTGGTATATTGTTGACTGTGCTTTTGAGATCTAATTTTAAAAATCTTTGACCAACCCAATATTGTAAAGCATTTCTCCTATGTTTTCTTCTAATAGTTTTGCAGTTTGGATTTTACATTTAAGTCTTTAATTCATTTTGAGTTGATTTTTGTATATGGTGAGAAATACGGATCTAGCCTCATTCTTCTGCATGTGAATATTCATCTTTCCCATCACCACTTATCAATGAGACTGTCCTTTCTCCAGTGTGTGTTCTTGAAACCTGTGTTGAAAATCAGTTGGCTGTAGGTGCATGAATTTATTTCTGAACTCTCTCTTCTGTTTCATTGGTCTATGTGTCTGTTTTTATGCCAGTACTATGATCATACTGTTCAAGTTACTAAAGCTTTGGAGTGTATATTGAAGCCAGGTGGTGAGATGTTTCTAGTTTTGTTCTTTTTGCTCAGATTTGATTTGGTTATTCAGTCTTTTCTTGTTCCATATGAATTTTAGGATTTTTTTTTCTATTTCTGTGAATAATGTTATTGGTATTTTGACAGAAATTATATTAAATCTGTAGATTACTTTCAGTAGTATGGCCATTTAAACAATATTAATTCTCTAATCCATGAACATGAGATATCTTTCCATTCATTTATGTCTTCTTCAAGTGTTTTAGACAATGTTTTATAGTTTCCAGTATATAGATCTTTTGCTTTCTTGGTTAAATTTATTCCCAGGTATCAGTTTTTTTTAGCTATTATAAACAAAATTGCTTTCTCAGTTTCATTTTCAAATATTTCACTATTAGTGTATGAAAACACTGCTGATTTTTATATGTTGAGTTTGTATTCTGCAACTTTATTGAATTTGCTTATTAATTCAAAGAGTTTTTGTTGGATCTTTAGGATTCTATATATAAAATCATGTTATCTACAAACTGGGACAATTTGACTTCCTCCTTTCAAATTTAAATGCCTTTTATATTTTTTCTTGCCTAATTGCTCTGGCTATCACTTGCAGTATTGTGTTGAGTAGGAGTAGGAAAGGTGGGTATCCTTTTCTCATTCTAGTTTTTGAAGGAAAAGCTTTAAGTTTTCCTCACTCAGTATGACATTAGCTGTAGGTTTGTTATATATCACTTTTTTTGTATTGATATGTACTTTCTATACCTAACTTATTGAGAGTTTATATCATGAATGGATATTGAATTTTGTTAAATGATTTTCTGTGTCTATTGAAATGTTCATATGGTTTTTGTCTTTCTGTGATGTATCACATTTATTGATTTGTATATGTTAAGCCATCCTTGTATTCCTGAGAGGAATCACACTTTATCATGGGGAATCATCTTTTTAATGTGCTGTTGAATTCAGTTTGTTAATATATTGTTTAGAATTTTTCATCTATATTCATCAAGGATATTAGCCTGTAATTTTATTTTAATTATTGTATCCTTGTCTGGTTTTGAAACCAGGGGAATGTTGGTCTCATAAACTGAGTTTGGAAGCACCCCCTCCTCTTTAGTTTTCTGTAATAATTTGAAGACTATCAATATTAGTTCTTTAATGTTTGATAGAATTCAGCAGTGAAGCCATCAGGTCCTAGGCTTCTTTGATGAAAGACATTTTATTACTAATTTAATTTCTTATGATTATTGGTCTGTTCCGATGTTCTATTTCTTCATAATTTAATATCGATAGGTTGTATGTATCCAGACTTTATTTATTTCTTCTATTTTCTCAAATGTATTGGTGTATGGCTGTTCACAGTAGTCTCTTAATGATCCTTTGCATTTCTGTGGTATCAGTTGTTAGGTCTCCTTTTTCATCTATGATTTTATTTATTTGAGTCTTCTCTCTTTACAAATGTGATCTTTTTTACTCAAATAGTCTTACTGTCAGATAAGCACTGATTAAAACCATTAATTCAATAGCTTAAGTACCTTTACAATTAGAATTAAAATTTGAAAAATATAAGCAATATATTCTTAAAAACTAGTACGTAAAATTCTAAATACATTTAAAGAGTTTAAACATTTTTCTAACCATTATATTCTCTAGGTTATAAATAGAAAACTCCACTTGAAACCTAGAGAACATTTCCATCTGTCAAGGTCTGAAAGAAAAAAGAACCTTAGAAAGCAAAAACACATAAACTTTCAGGTAAACTTTGACACTTCAGTGATTTAGAATAGCCTTTAAACAAAAGGCCTGAATTGGTAGCTTTAGAATTTTTAAACTTAGGTGGCTTCATCTAGCCTTCAAATCCTCCTGATATTTTATCCAAAATAAGATACTGGTTAGTGTTCTGAACATTTAAAACCTCTTTGCTTATCTGGCACATTGTATCAGGAGAAATTCCTTACGAAATAATATAGAATTACATACACTAAATAATATAGAATTGCTTAGTATTGTATATAGTTGAGTATTCCAATTAAGTCTACCTCACTTAAAAGAGGAAAATGAAAACACATTCTGAACACATATCTGCAGACTTCATGAGTGTCCTTTGTTTCCAACCAGTATAGAGAAATGTATTTTTAATTTATTGCCTTAAATAATGTCTAAATAGCATTTATTCAGCATCCAGTGGTGCAAATCTGTCTTTTTTAACCTTAACATTTTAGTAAAATGCATTTAAACAGAGATTTTTGAAAATTTCAGAAAAACAGGAATTCCTTCACATCTTTGACAGGTTGCCAACTGAAATTAAAAGAGCAAGAAATAACAGTACAAAAAGAGTAAGCTTGTGTATAAAAGTCTTTCTATATTTTGAGGTTATTTTAAATTGTTTTAAGTATTTTATTTAGGAAGCAGTTCCATTATTTTAATTTTTGCTTTGACTTTTCTTTGTGAGTAAGGAATGTGTAGCAAGATTGTGAGATTTCCTGTTCCTAGTTCAGACAATTAGACTCCTTAACCAATTATCAGCACACAATGTCCATATTATATTCAATTCTTGTAGTTAGGGAAGGGGACCTAGTGTACATATCAGTGCATGAGAGGAAGGCATTTTATCCCCTCAGCAGGGAGAGAATGTAGGTCTCTGACTCTGGAACAAATACAGTCATGGTAGACCAAACACTATTTCATAAGAACTATTTCATAGGGCTTCAGCTTAATAGGAAAGTGTGGGGTGAGGAAAAAAAGGGAGTATGTTCCTATGACATATGCATCTTTGGAAGATGTACACAATAACACAAGGAAGGAATATTTTAATGGAATATCCTTCTTTGATTCATTCATTCATTTATTCATTTCTCCATTTACCAGCCATTATGCAAATGATACAAAAGAGAGTAAAATACTGCCTTATCCTCAAAACCATTATCTAGTAATCTAAAAAACAAATTATACTGAGTTAAATGAACTATTAAAATTCAATATAATCACAAGAAATTCTAAAACAGTAATCTTTTAATCCTCTGCCCTATAGCTTAAAACTGATCTCCATATGCTTCAGATTGAATATTTATTTAAAGAATTGTTAAGTGAGTCACTGAGTGACTTATGCACATGTCAAAATAAAATAGCAAAATCCATTGAAGATGGAGCTAAATTATCCAATTTATCCAGACTCTTCATTCACCTCTAGTTAATCCAGACTATCTGCCTATGAGACAGCAATACTAACATCTTATTTTTAATTAACAATCAAACCCCTTCTCAAAAACATTATAAAATATCCACAGGGTAAAATAATTCAATGTATTAGCTTACCGTCGGTTTCTAAAGGTGACATATTTAATGTAATATATTTTTAGCCATTAATTCAACTATATACATATCGTAACATTCATTAAACACAATGGTAGGCACGAAGATAAATAAAACACCATTTCTTCAACCAGTAAGCTTACTTAGAAAAATGTCTTTTCAAACTTGAATAATAATTGAGCCCCTTTAAAAATTTACATATTTTTGAGAATATGTGCATGGATCCCTAGAGTTCTAGACATCCCAGGATGAGAGAAAGTAAAGTCCTTAATATAATACATTAGAAAGGGCTAACCCAGTCACTACTGATTGCTACTGAGGATCCCAGAGAATCTCTGAACTCCAATTTCCTTCTATGTAAGGCGAAGCTACTAAGATCTACCTACTGCCACCTCCAGATATTCATTTAGTCCTCAAATAAACATTATGTGATGTTATACCCATTTAACAGATGTAGTACTTCAGGTACAGATAATTTAAATGGGGTTCAGAGTTACACAGGTGATGAGTGAAAAAACAGGCTGTTGTATCTTGCCACTAAATACTAAAGTATTGAAAATAAATTCTTCTTAAAGTATAAAATAGAATTACTTTCTGAAGCATTATATTATCATTCATTATTTTATCCTTGTTCCAGCTATCGTTGGCATTTCATTTTGGAGAAAGACTTACATTTAATTCCTTTCATGAATGTGTTTCTATGTCATTCATACACCATACTAGTTAGGCGAAACTGCTGTAACAAGAGATCCCAGAATAAAGTGACTAAAAAAGTTAGGTTATTTCTCTCTCAAATTGCAGTTCAGAGGGAAATGGGCCAAGGCCAAAGAGGCAGATTCACCATCCTCAGCATGTAGCCTCCACGTCAGGTCCAAGTTTCCTCTGTCTCAGCTACAGGAAGGGGAAGAAAGGGCCAGTGGGGGCTATATGGCCAATTATTTTAAGGGTAAAATTGAAGAATGTCATACATCAATTTTACTCAAATTCCATTGGTAAAAATTGGCAAAAAACTTTCAACACAGCAAGGTACAAAAAGGCTATAAAATACAGTTTTTTCCACACTGGTCTTTTCCAGTGTGGATACAACCCTTACAATGAAAGGAGGGAACAATGGACATTAGCAATCATCTATCTATGATCATTCAATGATAATGTAGTTATTAAATGCCTGCTAGGTATATGCATTATACTATATTCTTTGAAGTTTATAAAATAGTATGGCAATAAACTGTTGTAGGTTCTGTTTTGTTTGGCAAGAATTATAGTTTTAATATTAAGAAATGAATGCTACTTTGCCCTATTTTAATTTAATATTAAAAAGTCAGGAAGTGAAAATCTCAGACATATCCCGTGAATAACATTAGACCATAATGTTGATTCTTCTGCATAATGAACTGAAGATCCTAACGAGGAGTGAACATTTATTGGAATATTGAAGTCTTCTGGGATATATTAATGAAGATAAATATAGATTTAAATTGTTTCTAATAGGTCTATGCTGATCAAATATTCCTAATGCCAGAGACAAGCATGTGCTTTCCAGCAGGATGTGCAGGAAGTGCCTCCCTTCCTTGGCACTTGCTCCTTCAGCACTGTCCCTGTGTGTGTGCGTGTCTGAGCAGATGGCTCCTGCTGCTCTCCACATAACTATTTGCTAATCTTATGGTCTAGAGCTCGTTTCTAGTGAGTGCAGTCGCTTCAGGGTTTAGAAACCTGAAAGACTGTAGAATTTTATAGAATTTATGTCAATTTATAGGTCATTGTATGCTGGTGGGAATTTTAGAATATATTATAATATTTATTCATATTTGAAAGAATTCAAAGTGTCATTTTCACTGCTCAGTCTAAAATGGTATATTCTGGCTTCATTGTGGCTCATGACAAAATGAATGCCATGATCCCAGTATTTGGCTTCTGTTAAAAGCCTAAGGTAAAAAAGCAACAATGATTAAAATTAATTTTTGCCTCTTTTCTAAAGATATTTATCTTATCTCTCAAGTTCTTTCTGATACCTGGGCTGTGCACTAGAAACTTGAGCAAAAATTTGATCATTATTTTATTTGTATGATTATTTTATTTGTATGTTACATCATAGCATTTGGTTTTAGAAATTATTGGAGGGGATGAATTACACAGTGTGGCAATCTATAGCACTAAATAAATTAGATATTTGCCCAGTAAATTGAGACAAGTGGAAAAAATACTAATTAAATAAAAAGTTTCCCTGAATTCTCACTTCCCTCAATCAACTAAATGTGTGACCTTGGGAATTTGTTTATCTATTGAGCTTTATTTCCTCTTCTGTTTAAAAGGGATCATGACAAGTATCATGATTATCTCAAGGCATAATTTAGATAATCAACTGAAATAATGTACATTTATTGGCTTTAAATTATACAGATTTACTGAGTGAATGTTATCTGTCAGGAGCTGTACTCATCAAGTTTTAAATTTTTGACTTGCAAATACCTTTGACATATTTACCACAGCATAGTCTAAAAAATGTTAGTTGTATATTGATAGATATTATTGTTTAAAAGTTCTATGTTCAAATAAGTTTGAAAAATTATGTTAAATCATTAAACAAGTTCCTTATAGTCAGTTCTTCCCAGAGCTGCCAATATATTAATTTGCATAGGGAGCCTACAAGGCAATATTTTCTCTTCATATTTTAAGCAGCACCTCTTAGAACTATTGTTCTATGGGACAATTTTAGAAAAACTGTGTTTTATTGTCAACTCAAAATAATTTACATAAAACATAATCCATCTTGGGAAAATCTTGTGTGAGATGGAAGTGAATTGAAGGTAAGAATTAAATACATTTATCTCCCAACTTACTCACATATTATATCTACTTTCATTATATAATTTTTAAAATTTTTCCTCATTTCAATTCTGATTGAAAAAATTATCTCATTTAATTTCTGTATTATTTTCTTATCATTCTTTTCTCTTATTCATTTTTTCCTGTTGGGAATTTAGAGCTAAAAATGCCCTTTCTGAAAAAATAATATTCTCCTTCCTTATCAAAAACCCCTCGACATCTTTCCCATAAAATAATCATCAGAAGGAGAGAAAACTATGTGTCATATCAGGAAGCTCTCAGGTCATAGAAACTGAAGAATAATACAGCCATCAAAAATTTGGATCGTAGCGATCTGGTGATAAACTACAGAGCAACACTTTGGATTGCCACAAATTCAATTCTTTTAGGCAAGCATGAAATCAGAAGAAGAAAGCTACATGCATTGCTGAGCAAAAGCCTATGTCCTCCAATATTTTGCCAAGGACACAGAGTGCACCTGGAGAATACTATGGAACTGAAGCCAACTCATATCTGCTAGGTACCCACTCCTGTACTGAGCTAACAAAGACTATTCCAATGGGCTTAGAAAATAGAAATCATAGCAGGGAAATAAAAGCTTACCTGGGTGTAACTATTATGTGTTCTGGAATGAGACAGCCATAATCTCTCAAAGTGTAGACTGAAAGTGATCTGACAATTTTTGTTGAATGCCAAAGGCACTTTCCACAGCACCTTATAAGTTGGTCAACACCTCTAAGGTGAAGTCACCACAAAAGCAGTGAAAGGAATCTTTTTCCAAGCTTAGACATACAAGTAATGCTGTCAAATCCTCTTCTCTCTTGCAAAAGGTTAGCAGGGAAAAATAGATGCAATTACACAGTTCCCTGACAAACTGCTTTCAAATTTCCCTTCTAACTCAGCTCATGCTTTCATAATACCTACAATTACAGAAATGTAGGATTGCAATAGTGACTTTTTAATAGGCAAAACAAATAGTCGCTTGTTAATTCTTATCTTTGACTTTTCATGGCATTTGGTATTGCTAAATTTCTCCCTACTTGGTAAAATAAGTTCCTCTATACACTTTCCTAAAATTTATTTCCCCCCCTTCTCTCTCTTTAATATTTTTCCCTTGTTTTCTTGTTTGCTCCACAGATGCAGAGAGTTTAGTTAATTATATTCCTCATTATCCACATATTTCACATTTATTTTATTTTAAAGGATATCTCTATTATGCATGTACTCATACTCACATGTAGATTAAGTCATTTATTGTTTTATATATTTTTATCCATATTTCCCATTCTCATTCTCCTTAGTTCCCACAGGCAAATTTTCTAATGTCTTTGATATGTTTCATTGAATTTGTATATATCCTTCTAAATTATGTACTTTGACTTATTTATTTTTTTTATTTAACTGATATTGCATTAGAGATCAAGCACCTGACTTCTTTTTTTTACTTCCCACTAGGTATTTAAGATCCACAAATGTTGTTTTTGTACATTTAACTAGTTCCTTCTAACTACTACATGGGATTCTAGAGAATATCTGTCAGTTTTTGTGAGGTTTTGCTACAATAACAAACATCACCTGGATTCTAGTGACTTACAAAAACAAAGGTTTAAGCTAGGGGTGGTGGCTTATGCCTATAATCCCATCACTTTATGAAGCCAGGGCAGGCAGATCACTTGAGTCCTGGAATTCCAGACCAGCCTGGACAACATGGCAAAATCCTATCTCTACAAAAAACATAAAATCTAGCCAGGTGTGGTGGTGTGTGCCTGTCGTTCCAGATACTCAGGAGGCTGAGGTGGGAGGATTGCTTGATCCTGAGAGGTCGAGGTTACAGTGAGCCATGACTGTGCTACTGCACTCTAGCCTGGGTAACAGAGTGAGACACTATCTCAATAAACAAACAAACAAACAAACAAACAAAAGTTTATTTCTTACTTACTTTACATGTTGTTCGTGTCTCTGCTCTGTCTCTTCTTCACACTGGCATCTAGGCTTAAGAAAGAGCTCCCATTTAGGATGTAGCCATTCTTGTGACAAATCAAAAACAGACTCAGAGGAATAATGCTGCATTTCTTACAGCTTCTGCTTAGCAAGGGTACATGTCATTTCTATTCATATCTCAATGGCCATGGTAAGTCAAATGTCAATGTGTGACAATAAGTGGGTTGAAAATACAATCCTCTCACAGTATAGGCTCAATACGGAGGATCCTATAAGGAGTATTTTGACTATTGTGGGATGATAAAGCATCTATCTATCCCACACGCTATGGGCTTACTATACTTTTATTCATTTCCCCATATATAAGTCTTTAGTTTATCTCTGACTCTCCACTTTCACAGATTATAATTGGTAAATATCCCCTACTTGCCCCATAAGTATCATGTGAGCATTTCTCTGGAAAATAAACTCAGAAATGGAATTACTAAGTTACAGAGTAAGTACATGATGGAACTAAGTAGAAACTGATTGCTTCAGGAGGAGACCACCAAGGCCCTACTTCACTATCAGCACACAAAAGCACCCAATTTCCTATATGACCACCAACAGTAGTCATCCTCCAACTTTCTAATTTTTGAAAATCTGATGAATTAAGAATAGTAATTCATTGTTATGATGTGTATTTTTCCTATTACCTGTGATTTTAAATACGTATTAATGTAAGGTTTCTTGCTCCTTACATTTTAAATGTTCTTTAGCTCATTCTCCACACACCAGTGTCTCTTTAAGTAATTTTATTGGTTTCCCAGATTTTATCCTTGACACTTTTTATTTCATCTGCTGCATAATATCTCTAGAGGTTCTCAATGAACTCCTGTACCTTCAACAACCACGTATGTACAAATAGCTCTCATTTATCTCATTCTTTCACTCCCAACTATTTTCAATCACCTTATGCATAGTTTGTAGCATACTAATTGGTCACTCTAATACAATATTTTTTTACCTCTGGTAGCTCTCTGGGGATGGTTTTTCCCTTGGGCATTGGCATTAAAGTTATTTCATAAAACCTATTGCTTATCATATAATTATACTGCATTAACAATATTAATGATTGTCCACTTTAGTAAGGAAAAATATCAAGCTCCTTGGCATAATGGATATAAACTACATGATCTAGTGACACCTGTCTTAGGAGTTTCTTTTCTGGGCATTACCTAACATACATCCCACAACCCAGGAATATGGATTACTTGACATAACCTAAACCAGGGGACAGCATACTATGGTTCACTGGCCAAATCCTACCCGCCACCAGTAAATAAAACCTTATTAGAACAAAACTAAGCCCATTTAATTATAGGCTATAATGCAGCCAACAAACAGAAAAAAAAGCTCATCATCACTGGTCATCAGAGAAATGTAAATCAAAACCACAATGAGATAACCATCTCAGGAAACAACAGATGCTGGAGAGGATGTGGAGAAATAGGAACGCTTTTACACTGTTGGTGGGAGTGTAAATTAGTTCAACCATTGTGGAAGACAGTGTGGCAATTCCTCAAGGATCTAGGACATGAAATACCATTTGACCCAGCAATCCCATTACTGGGTATATACCCAAAGTATTATAAATCATTCTACTATAAAGACACATGCACACATATGCTTATTGCAGCACTATTTATGATAGCAAAGACTTGGAACCAACCCAAACGCCCATCAATGATAGACTGGATAAAGAAAATGTCACACATATACACCATGGAATACTATGCAGCCATAAAAAAGAATGAGTTCATGTTCTTTGCAGGGATATGGATGAAACTGGAAGCCATCATTCTCAGCAAACTAACACAGGAACAGAAAACCAAACACCACATCTTCTTACTCATAAGTGGGAGTTGAACAGTGAGAACACATGGACACAAGGAGGGGAACATCACATACTAGGGACTGTTGGGGGGTGGGGGGCAAGGGGAGGGAGAGCATTAGGACAAATACTTAATGCATGAAGGGCTTAAAACCTAGAAGACAGGTTGAGAGGTGCAGCAAACCACCATGGCACATGTATACCTATGTAACAAACCTGCACATTCAGCACATGTAACCCAGAACCCAAATTAAAAAAAAAAAGATTAAAAGGAAGGAATTAAACTAAAAAAATTATGCATTATATACAGCTGCTTGCATGGCACAGCAGTAGAGCTGAACAGTTGAAATAGACGCCATATGGCCCAGAACACTTAAAATATTTCTTATCTGTACCTTTTAAAAAATTGTTTGCCAACTGCTGTCCTAAAACACTATGTTCTTCTACCCCCCAGTGGTTTTTATATACTATTTCTCCTTTCTTATATGCCCTTTACTATCTTTTAAATTTTGTTAATTCCTATCTGTAATCTAAATGTCAAATTCTCTGAGTTGAAGGATCTCTTTCATAGAATTTAGTACTTTTCTTTATTACTAATTTATCTCATTTATGGTTCTGTCTGTTTTCACTTCTACAGTCTGTGTTTTATTTAAATTTTATCAGTATAAAATAGGACAAGTTTAAATACATGTTATATGAATGAATGAAAACGACAGCTTCTAGAAATAGTTTACTTTGTTGTTGGTTCAAGAAAGAATTCAGTCACACTGATTTTCCATGTTTTCTGATTCTACATGTATGATGAAACTTAATAAGGATTTACAAAGGATATGCTATGTTCAATGCACTTTTCCACGGTGGTCTTGTTGAGAATAAGGGAGAAATTAGACTGCTGAAATGTCTAAAATTTATGAGTCAGGGAGCAGGAAAGGAGGAATCTTAACAGAGATGAAGCCCAAATCTCTGCAAAGTATTATTTTAGTCACAGGTGGTTACACATAGAAGTTATAAGATGGAAATAAAACATACAATATAAAAGGAAACATTAGAAAGCTAGTCAGAGCTATTCATTAAAGCAGAATAAAACAATATGTGTGTGATATGGTTTGGCTGTGTCCCCACCCAAAATCTCACCTTGAATTGTAATCCCCATAATCACATGTGAAGGGTGGGATCAGGTGGAGGTAATTGGATCATGGGAGCAGTTTCCCCCATGCTGTTCTCCTGATAGTGAGTGAATCTCATGAGATCTGATAGTTTTATAAGCATCAGGCATTTTCCCTGCTTGCACTCACTCCTTCCTGCTGCCCTGTGAAGAAGGTGCCTGCTTCTCCTTTGCCTTCTGCCATAAAGCCATAATTGTAAGTTTCCTGAGGCCTCCACAGCAATGCAGAACTGTGAGTCAATTAAACCTCTTTCCTTTATGAATCACCCAATCTCAGGTATTTCTTCATAGCAGCATGAAAACAGACTAATACAGCATGCATGTGTGTATATGTGTGTGCGTATGTATGTGTGTGTGTGTTTGTTTCTGTGTGTGCATGTGTGTGTTTATGTGTATGGATAGACAGAGATTTATTATAAGGAATTAGCTCATATGATTATAGAAGATGATAAGCCCCAAATATGCAGGTTGGCCAACAGGCTGGAGAACCAAGAGAACCAAAATTCCAGTTTGGGTCAGAATGTTTGCAGGCTAGTGGAACCAGAAAGACCTGATGTGTCAGATGAAGTCTATAGGCAGTCTGCTGAAGATTTCTTTCTTGCCCTTTCTTTAATAGAACCAAATGACTGGCTTAGGAGGGGCCTGTTGTTTGATTCTATCAAAGCCTTCATCTTATTGATGAGCAATCTGCTTTACTCAAAATCCACCAATCTAAATGTCAATGCCATCCAAAATACTCTCACATCTCACAGAAACACCCAGAACAATATATATATAAAATATATATGATATATATATCATATATTATCATATCTCTATATATATATATATCTCTATATATATATATATATATATCTCTATATATATATGATATATATAGAGAGAGAGAGAGAGAAAGAGAGAGAGAAGGTCTCACTCTGTCACCCAGACTGTAGTGCAGTGGCTTGATCTCAGCTTAGTGCAATCTCCGCCTCCCAGGCTGAAGCGATTCTCCTGCCTCAACCTCCCAAATAGCTGGGATTACAAGCGGGGGCCACTACTGCTTGGCTAATTTTTGTATTTTTAGTTGAGATGGGGTTTCACTATGTTGGCTAGGCTGGTCTTGAACTCCTGACCTCAAATGACCCACTTGCCTTGACCTCCCAAAGTGCTGGGACTACAGGAGTGAGCCACCATGCCAAGCCCCAGAATGATATTTGACCAAATAGGTGGATATCCTATGGCCCAGCCAAATTGGCACATAAAATTAGCCATCACACTAGAATACCTATACTACTATCAGACAAAATAGACTTCAAAAAAAGAAGTAATACCAAAGGTAAAGAGTATCGCTTCATAATTATAAAAGAACCAGTTTATCAAATTTAACAATCCAAAAATATATATGTATCTAATGAAAGAACTTCAAAATACATTAAGAAAAAAATAGAACCACAGTAAAGAATATCAAAACCTGAAATCATGATTGATTATTTTAAAAGTCTTCTCTTATTGTTTTATAATACAAATAAACCAGTAATTAGTAAAGATAAAAATAATTTTAACAACCCTGACCAACCACCTTGACCTATTAACAGTTTTGGAGCAACACAATCAGTCAACTACAGAATACAATGATCTACATGAGGAAATGAAGAGCACAGGAAATGGTAAACATGCAGATGAATAAACAAATAACAGTTTTCTCATTTTTGTTTTTTTAGAAAAGAAAATCAATTATTTAAGCAAAAACAATATACTGTGGGTTTATAATATATTTACAAGAAGTACAAGTAGAATTTATGTAAAAATGGTACAAAGAGTAGGAAAGAGAACATGAAAGGATAAACTTGTAAGGTTCTTGCATTATCTACAAGATCATGTAGTGTTATTTGAAGTGACACTATAATTGAAAGATGTTAATCTCATAAATATTAGAGCAACTATAAAAAATGATATTGCATTAAGCCAATAGTATAAATAAAATAGAATACTAAAATTACCCAGTAAATCCAAATATAGATAGGAAATGATCTTAGAACCTGTACATTTTTAAGTAGCAAGCTGATAGATTTGAATTTAATCACATTCATAACCACATTAAATATACCAGGTCTAAACATTTAATAAGAAAACAAAATTTGTTTTGTTGGATTAAAAAATATCTTTTCTTAAAAATGACTAATTATAAAGACATAAATATGTTAAAAGTAAATGAATGCAAAAAATAACTATATGAAAACGGTAAGAGAAAGGCATATGTTAATGTTAAACAAAGTAGACTTAAAAGGAGGGAGTATTAGAGATGAAGAGGAATATTATTTTGGATAATGATAAATGGTCTAATTTGTAAAGAAGACTTAACAATCCTCATTGTATATATACTCAGTAACAGAGCTTCAAAATGAATGAAGCAAAAACTGCAAAACTAAAATGAGAAACAGGTAAATTTATAATTATGGTTGGAGATTTTTAACATCCCTGTCTTAGTAATGGCTAGAAAAAATAAATAAAAGGAATTAGATTAGAAGTCAATAGCAGAAAGACTTTTGGAAAAACACAAATAATTGGATGTTAAAAAATACTTGTAAACCAAAAATGAAATCAAGAAAGCAATTTTATTTACATATCATCAAAAAGAATGAAATAACTATGAATCAATTTAACAAAAGAAATGCAGAAATTACACTCTTGAAGGTCATGAAACATTGTTGAGAAAATAGAAGTCCAAATAAGTGGAAAGACAGACTATGTACATGAATTGGAAGACATTATTATATAACAAGATATCACAAAACAACCTACAAATTCGGTGAAATTTCTGTCAAAATCCTAGTTGACCTCTTTGTAGCTATTGAAAAACTGATTCTAAATTTTATATAAAAATTCAAGGGGCCCAGAATAGGGAACACAATGTTGAAAAGGATCCAGTTTGAAGGCCTTACACGTCCTGATTTCTAAACTTACTATGAAGCTACAATTGTCAAAACACTATGGTACTGGCATAAAGACAAATGTATATATCAATGGAGTAGTATAGACAGCCCAGAAATAAACCCTCACATATATTATTATCCAATGATTTTTGACAAGGATATCAAGAACATTCAGGAAAAGTGTATACCCATATGCAAAAAAATGAAGCTGGACACTTAGAAAACATCATATGCAAATATTAACTCAAAATGGATCAAAGACCCAAATGTAAGAGAAAAACAATAAAACACCTAGAGGAAAACATTGGAATAAGTCTTTCTGGCCTCATTTTTGGCAATTAATTCTTAGATATGACCAAAATTACGAGCAGCAAAAGAAAACACAGATCAACTGAACATCATCAAACAATAACTTCTGTGCTTCAAAGGACATCATGAAAAGATAACCTACTGAATAGAAAACATATTTAAAAATCACAGGTCTAGCGAGGGGCTTGTATTTACAATGTATTTCAGACTCTTACAACTCTATAATTTAAAAAACCTCAATTCAAAAATAAGCAAAATATCTGAATCAACATTTCTCTAAAAAAGATACACAAGTGGCCAATAAGCACACATAAAATGCTTGACATTATTCATTGGGAAATGTAAATCAAAACCACAAATATAACATTTTATATACAGTAGGATGGTTAGAATCAAAAAACCAAAATAACAAGTGTTGGCAAGGCTATAGAGAAATTGGAACCTTCATATACCGCCGGTGGAAGTGTAAAATAATGCAGCCCTTTTGGGAAACAGTCTGTCAGTTCCTTAAACATAATGTTACCATATGATCTGTCAACTTCACTTCTAGGTATTTACCCAAGAGAAATGAATACATACGTAGGCACAAAAACATGTACACAAATGGACATAGCAGCATTATTCATAATAGCCAAAAAGTAGAAACAACCCAAACGCTCACCAACTGTCCAATGAACACATAAAATGCAGCATATTCATAGAATGGAATACCATTTGGCAATGGAAAGAAACCAGTTATACATGCTACCACATAGATGGGCCTTAAAAACATTATGCTTAGTAAAAGAAGCCAATCAAAAGGGGCTACATATTTAGTACATGGTTCAATTTATACTAAATGTCTAGAATAGATAAACCTATAGAGACAGAAAGTAGACTGGTGGTTGCTTAGGCCTGGGAGTGGGGATTAAGGGGTAAGTGCTAAGGAGTATGGGATTTTGTTTTGGAATAATAAAAATATTCTAAAATTGAATCTGGTGATAGATGCATAATTCTATTAAAAGACATTGAATTGTAAAGTATAAATTTTTAAGGTGTATGGCATGGGAATTATATCTCAATAAAGCTATCAAAAATACTCATAAATCATCTAGGACTTAAGAAGAAATCACAAGGAAAATTTTGAAATATTTTGAACTCTATGTAAATGTAATAAATTATATTTGTTTTCTATATATTTGTGAATTACAGTTACAGCAGATTTTGGAGGGTAAATTATAGCTAAAATATTTATGGTAGAAAAGAAAAATGGTTCAAAATCAATCATCTAATAATCTTCCAATTAGGAAGCTGGAAAAAGAAGTGAAGATTACATCAAAATGTATATAATGGAAATATTAATAAGAATATAAATTAGCAAAATAGAAAATATACAGCCATGAGAAAAGCCAAAAAAATATTTTTTAGAAAAAATATTGTAATTGATTATCCTTTAGCTGAACTGATTAATAAAAAGTTAAAACATATAACTCGTATGTAAATTAAGGAGGGGAGATTACTGCAGATCCTAATGTCATTATAATGAAGATGAGGGTAATTAAAACTCTTCCCACAGTCAAAAACATTTTAAACCAACATGACTACACCTTGATTTCTACCAAACATTTAAGATAGAAATATTAGTCTTACAAAATCTCTTTCAGTAAATAGAAAAAGAGGGAATACTTTTCAACTGATTTTTTACGAGGCAAGTATTATGATATCAAATTTGACAAAGACAACGACAGCACAAGAAAATAAAATTACAGGCCACTTATGAATATTTATTCAAAAATTAAAAAAAAATTAGGAAAGTCAACCCAACAATGTATACAAAGGACAACACAACATAATGAATTTGGGTTTACCTCATAAATGCAAAGTTGCTTTAAAATTAGAAAAATTGTATCAGGATGATGCTGGCCTCATAAAATGAGTTAGGGAGGATTCCCTCTTTTTCTATTGATTGGAATAGTTTCAGAAGGAATGGTACCAGCTCCTCTTTGTACCTCTGGTAGAATTTGGCTGTGAATTCTTCTGGTCCTGGCCTTTTTTTTTGTTGGTAGGCTATTAATTATTGCCTCAATTTCAGAGCCTATTATTGGTCTATTCAGGGATTCAACTTCTTCCTGGTTTAGTCTTGGGAGGGTGTATGTGTCCAGGAATTTATCCAATTCTTCTAGATTTTCTAGTTTATTTGAATAGAGGTGTTTACTGTATTCTCTGATGGTAGTTTGTATTTCTGTGGGATTGGTGGTGATATCCTCTTTACCATTTTTTATTGCATCTATTTGAATCTTCTCTCTTTTCTTCTTTATCAGTCTTGCCAGCGGTCTACCAATTTTGTTGATCTTTTCAAAAAACTAGCTCCTGGATTCATTGATTTTTGAAGGGTTTTTTTGTGTCTCTATCTCCTTCAGTTCTGCTCTGAAACCGCAATGAGATACCATCTCATACCAGTTAGAATGGCGATCATTAAAAAGTCAGGAAACAACAGGTGCTGGAGAGGATGTGGAGAAATAGGAACACTTTTACACTGTTGGTGGGACTGTAAATTAGTTCAACCATTGTGGAAGACAGTGTGGCGATTCCTCAAGTATCTAGAACTAGAAATACCATTTGACCCAGAGATCCCATTACTGGGTATACACCCAAAGGATTATAAATCATGCTACTATAAAGACACATGCACATGTATGTTTATTGCGGCACTATTCACAATAGCAAAGACTTGGAACCAACCCAAATGTTCATCAATGATAGACCGGATTAAGAAAATGTGGCACATATACACCATGGAATACTATGCAGCCATAAAAAAGGATGAGTTCATGTCCTTAGTAGGGACATGAATGAAGCTGAAAACCATCATTCTGAGCAAACTATCGCAAGGACAGAAAACCAAACACTGCATGTTCTTACTCATAGGTGGGAATTGAACAATGAGAACACTTGGACACAGGGTGGGGAACAACACACACTGGGGCCTGTTGTGGGGTTGGGGGAGGGGGGAGGGATAGCATTAGGAGGAATACCTAATGTAAATGATGAGTTAATGGGTGCAGCACACCAACATGGCACATGTATACATATGTAACAAACATGCATGTTGTGCACATGTAACCTAGAACTTAAAGTATAATTTAAGAAAAAATAAATAAATAATAAAAATAAAATTAGAAAAATTGATTAAAAATTTGAACGTAATAATGGAGGAAATCCAGGTAGTCTTTTCAATAGATACCAAAAAAAGCATTTGATAAAAGTTAAAATGCAAACATGTTGAAAGCACTCTGCAAAACAAAACTAGAAGGAAATTTTCCCAACCTGCTAAATGTTATCTAGTATGTATACAAAATAGCTAAGAAGGCAGACACAAAAGAGTACAGACTATATGATTTCATTTTCATGAAGTTTTTCACCAGGAAAAAATTATTTGTGGTAATGAAAATCAGAGCAGCAGTAATCGAATGAGAACTTTCTGGATTGGGGACTGTTCGATATCTTGTTTGGGGGTGTTGTTTATAGAAGGTATACATTTGTCAAAACTCATTGAATATTTTATTTAAAATCTGTGCCTTTCCTTATGTGTAAATTGTATGTCGATAATTTTAAAATTCATAATTCTATGATGGATGTGTCTAAGCAGAACTTTGTAGAAGGTTTGGTATGTAGATAAAGATAATACATTTATGAAGGAAATATGATAAATCAGTTAAAAACCTTAATTAGCAAGTGCTTCAAAAATAACAGTCTGGTAAAATAGGAAAAATAGGTGCTGCTTGTGAAGAATTTTTTAAAATATATTCTAAACCGAAGTTTGGAAATGATACTGCATAGATGAATGGGCATATCCAAGGCAAGGAAGGGATCAATGATAGTTGTATTTGTAAAAGTTTAACTTATTAAGTAAAAGACTCAAGTAGCCAACCAGTTTGAATATTTGAACAGTATGTTAAGGGCCCAAGTTGGAAGCAGCAATAGAAAATAATGGGGAATTACTGAGGAGAAAGATTGATACAGCATATAAGTAATAATTCTTGGACACTAATGTAGTGTTAAGAGGAAAAGAGGAACAGGTACATACAGGCCCATGGCAGCAGAGTGGCAAAATTGTGCAGAATTCTGTCAGTCAGGCCACATCATTTTTTACACTAGGAGCCCTGATTTTCCTTTCTGTGAAAACCTGGTCTCTGTCCATGAGTTTGCTTGAACTGTGAGAAATTAATTCCCATTGCTTGCTGATTCGAGACCAAGTACAAGTTTAGGAAAGGTTTTCTGCTTGTCGATTTCCCCTGCTATGCTCTGTGAAGGGCCTGTGTCTTGGGCATCATAACCTCACTTAGAGATCTGCATGAGGTGCAGAGTTGTTCTGGGGTGTGGTGTAGCAAGGTGCAAAGAGTCAATTTATGATACCTTTATGCTCCTAAAATATCACAGTCAGCCCTATTTGATTTTTATGTACCCAGTGGGAGAGTAAAGGGGATAATGTTCAGAGATACTTTGCATTTAAATGATTTCTTTATTCAAAGAGATTTGCAAATGTTATATCATTAAACAAGGTTCCCTTTGAGAACCATTAGAAGTAAATACAAAATTGTAATGCCTGTTTCACAGTGGGACAATATTATGTGGTTCAGGAAAACAGGCCTAAAAATATGGTATTCACGAGCAGTGCACACTAATCAATATGTAACGATAATAACATCTTACATAGTCTTAGTTCTTCCTTCCTCACTAAGTCTAGAAATTTCTAATAAATGCTTGATCTTTTTGAAATTACTTGCCTTTCTTTTCTATGTGGGGTCAATAACAACCTTCTTTTGTATCTCATAAGTTGTTATGCACATCAAATTAGATAATGCATACAGAAAGAAACAGGGAAAAAAATGGTACAAATGTAAGAATGAAGGAAGGAAGGACCATTTCTTGTTTTTCTTCCTATTAGCATGTGCCTTACTGGCATAACACCTTGCACAGTGTCAGCCTTTAATACATGTTGCATTATTGTTTTCGGGTAATGAGGTATCAGAAATTTCAAGGCACATAACATTGACTTTTAACTTTAAGCTCGATGATTTTTAATATTTAAAAACATATTATGGTCATTCACTTTATTTTAAAATAAGGATGCTGTGTACTAGTGCATTTATCTAGATTGCTAAACGATGCATGGATAGTTAATGACAGGTTTGGAATTAGATTCTAGATGCTTTTAGGACTTTGCCTGCAGTGCTTTTTAAACTTTGGTTATCAGGGATTTTACTTTAGTTTAAAGCAAGTTTTTCAAATACTTGAACTGTGTAAAAGAATTTCAAGAATAAAGAAGTATCAGCTCAGAGTAGTTAAAAACCAAGCCTCAAGAATGAAATGGTGTGACAAAATGAGAAGATAAAATATTATTGTTTTGAAGAAAAAATATTATATATACATATCCATATGGCAAAATAAATACTTTTCAAAGCAGAAAAAAATAGTTTTAGTTACAGAAATCCAGAAAGGACTAGCTAAAAGTTTAAAGATCATAGGTAGTGTAGTTGTTGAAGAAAGGTAACATTGTTAAACTTTTGTTGTTGTTGTTAGATCCAACTAATTTGGAATTTTGAAAATCTGGACAGTGCTTAAGCCAAATACAGCTTAATAAATCTGTTTTTAAAATAGGTACATTAAAGATGTACTCAGGCTTTCAGGGCAGTGGCACCATATTTACAGGCCATCCATTTAGAGGTGCCATTGTTTATAAAAGTCCTAAAAGCTCTAATTTGCATGCTTATGTTATGTTCCTTGCTAATCACCTTTGCTTATGAAGGTAAAATTTTGCTAGTGCATTGTAAGATAAACAATAATGCAAAGTCATAAAAGTATATTTATTCTTAAAAACCTATAATTCAAATTTTCAGCATTTTGAAACCAGCCAACTTCTGCTTGCAAATTACTCAGCATCAGTCACTCAGCTAGCTGAGCAAAGGCAAAAGAAGATGAAGGAGAAGTCAAGATTAGCACATTTGAAAGGCAAAATATTGTCCTTCATCAAATTCAGTTAGAACTCTGAGTGTGGGTCAGGAAGGGGGAAGGGAGGAAGACTTGCCAGCAATCAGAATTAGAGATGTCTAAAGCATAATTGAGAAATTGTAAATTTGACTTTGAAATCCTTGATGAAAAGGCACTATAGGAAACATAATTATTAGCATACTGTTTCATGTTTTAATTGGATGCATTTTGCTGTGCTGTGCCAAAATGATTTTTGAAGTTGATTGCGTTTGTGCCTCCCTTCCTATTCTTTAAAGCTCAGTCAACCTTAGTAAGAGAGAAAAAGGAGGTGGATTACATAAAAGAAGGGAAAAGCTAATGATTTAAGAATGTGTGGTTTTTTCTCACATGAAACATCACTCTTAAGTTTCTCATTTGGGGGTAACATTCCTTCATTTATAGAGAGAAAAATATTGCATTAGGCAGCAAATCATTATGGTCTTGGGTATTTAGAGAAATTCTGTTTGTTGTGTTAAATTATCCTGGCATCTGTACAATACTCTACTGGCTTTCATTATAAAGGCCTTTAATCATTGATAGCAGTTATTTGTTAAGTGTGGCTTTCATTGTGTTCATATAAGCCAAATTGTTGGTTATTTATTAAAAAGCAGAATAGCCAAAATCTCAATAAAATATCTCAAGTTATTTCATCAGACTTTAATGAGTATAGAAAATATGAAATATTTCTTGAAAAAAATTTTATAAGTATATTATTTTAGCATGCTGAGTATTTTAATACATAAAATCAAAATAAATTCAATAAAGACTTACCACTTTTCTCATTCAGCCATGAGGATTATCTTTTGCAAATCACTCGGAAAAAATGTAGTCTCAATTCATGCAAAGGTTCTTTGATCTTCATGTAAATAAATAGGCTGCCTTCCTCTCTAAAGATTCTTTCTTGAATATGATTTCTTTCATCAGGTAGTTTGTCTCATCTTTGTCAACATCAAGGTAGTTTACTTCAGAACTTCAAACAGACATTTCCTACACATTTACAGGAAATATATTAAACACTATAAATGCCAAAACTTCCTCTCGCTTTGCAGGAAGACAGAGAAGGAGACATTTTCTGTTGCACCCCAACTGGTAAGAGGCACGTCCTATGTTGTAGTCATAATATACTAGACAAACACCAAGCATTCACTTCCTTTAAAGGGAAGAAAGGAAACCTGTATCCCGAGAAAACGAACTAGCTTGACAGAACCTGAGGAGAAAATCAACAGCAGATGACTGAAGAGAAGACCACAGACTCTAAAGACTCCAAAGAGTTTTAAGACTGCATGTTCAGGAAGAAAGTTTACAATATAAAATCCAATGCAATAGTCCCATATGTCAGATATAGTATTAGTTTAGTGTAAGAGAACCGATGAGGATTTGATCTGTTTCTTATTTTTCTAAGCTAGCTCTAATTTGCCTGAGTTCTTTAGCTCCCAGTTTGCTCAGCAACTTTATGATTCTTGGTGCTGTGTGAAATGCATTTTTTTCTGGTCTTTGCAAGTTGACCAATTTCTTGCTGAATGAACCAGCCAGCCAGCTGTGAAGCCTATTTTTCCAGCTTCAGCAGACAGGACATCTTTTTAAATTTTTTATTCAGAAATTGAAGAATTTTTAAAATTGACTCTAAACAGGGATATAGGGCAATTATATTTTTAAGTTTTGATATTTAGATTGTAAGGCAATAATCTTGTTGATAAAAGTTTTTCCAGTATTTTTTTTGACCATAGCAGAATATGAGTAGCACAGACGAAATTTTATGGAAAAATATATTTTTATTCTGAATCCATCATAATCATATGACAATTGATAATATCTTTCTTTTGCTCAGCACTTATGCTTTTCCAAATGATTCAATATCAAAGTCATTCACTGGCCACCTACCTACTATAAACAAGGTTCCACAGGATGAAAAAGATGCCTAATATTCTGTTCCTGACCTGTAGGCAATCACACTCTTATTGAATAGTTATGTATTTGTCTGAAAACTCAACCAAGGGAGATTCTACCTTCATTATAAAGGTTTATTTTTAAAAGTGTTTTTTATAGATTATTAAAGGAGAGAATACTTTCTAGGTTTTTTTTTTTTTTTGAACTGGTGCTGCTTTATGGAGGAGACTGCTTTGACATAAGTTTGAATGATAAGTAGAATTTGTCTGCGTAGGTAGATATTAGAGATGTAAGCAATGAAAACAATTCATGTAGAAAAATGAGTATCTACACTGCATCTAAATATGTGTGATAATCGAAACAATGATCTCATGGGGAAATACACTGAGAAGAAGTATTTTCGTGTATATTTTCTAGCATTAGAAAACCAGGGCTGCATCCTGGTTAAGAGCTCAGGTCTAGCATCAGAGGCCTGAGTTTCATTCTCTGCTCACCATTACTAGTAGCATGTTCTAGGGCTAGCTACTAGCTTTGTTAGCATCCAATTCCATAGCTATAAAATAGTGGGTATAATAAGATTTGTTTGTTATTCAAAAACAGATTAAATAAAGCAGTAAAGGGTTTTTCATAACTCCTGAATATAATATAAAGTTAGTAATTGCTTTGCAAAAATTACTATGGTAGAATATTCACTGTATCATTTTTTTGAAAACATGTAAGCTCTAAATTGTGAGTGTCATTATAATTACTTGGTGTCATATGATCTAGAACTGATATCTTCAGACTTTAATCTATAAATATTTCTACCATAATAATTTGTGACTATGTGATTCTACATTTTTCACCTTCTTAAATTATAAATAGTTCTGATATCTCCAGGTTTTCATTCAAATTAATTTCTGTCCCTGGAATACTCTCCCTCTTTAAAAGGTTGTAAGCTTCCTTAAGCATAAAGACTGTATCCAGAAAAAGCATTCATACTTCTGCAAGAGGAAAGAGCTCTTGTGGTTTCTTTTGAAACTCTGAAACTCAGAAAGTGAGAAGACCCCAACGAGAGTCTGATAATAGGTTTTGAATTCTCTTTATATTCATCTCAGACTGGTATCTGTCCATTTTGTGCATATTCTGAAAGGCACTCACCTATCCATGCATCTTCTAATTTATTTATTGATTTGTTTATAATAAATGCACAATAAGTATCTTTTATTTACAGAAGGCTCTCACAGACCAGTGTGAGAGACATAAGTAAGCATTTATTTACAACCAGACACAGTAGATGTTATTTGTTAGAAATCAAGGTGCATTGGAGACATGGTCCAATGAATGATTAAAGCAAAAGCATATTGTGATGATACATTCATTGTATTGTATGTATTGAAATTTATCTGTAAACTGAAGATATTTTATCTCATAAAAACCTTAATTTTAATCTCCCTCAGTTGAGGAAATCAAGAACTTAATTACTTCTGGTTCTACAGACAAATTGGCACTTATTTATTTTCCTTCTTCCCTTTACTTCTTTCCTCTCAAATTCTACGTCACTGAATTCTACATATTTTCTAATCATCACTATCACAAACCTCTGCCATCCCAAGCCAATTTCAATCCTTGAAATTACTTCACTGTAAAAAGAAGCTTTTCCTCTCCTCAAAAATTGCAACATCTCTAGTAAAGATCCACTTTACTCCTGAAACACAATATTTTTCTCTTTTTAATGTCACCAATCTTAATGACATATCACTTTCTTCCAACACAGTGAGTAACATGGAACCATTCTATCTTCACAATCATAACCTAGAACGCCTTCTTTCACACCATAAATTTTTATGTATTCCTTTACTAATCCCTCATGTGTATAAATGTGGTTTAATCCTTGATCAGGACTTCCAACTCACCATGCTCATTTACTGTATCTATCGCATTTATTTTCCTTATACTTACATCCCAAATAAAGTTTCACTGCAAAATCAGACTTTCTATGTATCCTGTTCTTATGAACAGCTTTCTCAACTGTTTGGCACTACAAATGTCACTGAGCAGTGAGGGTTCATCCTGGGAAATTAGGTATTCATGACTAGGCACTTGAGTCACATAGTTCTATAAAACCAATAATTCTGTAGTTGTAACCATATGCAAATTATGATGCCAAACTTTAGCCCTTAACTAAATTCTCTTTGGGACTTGCATTTAAGCTGCTATATCAAATAAATTGACAAATTTCAATTATTTTACACAATAAACGTCTATTCGTCACTCATGTAGCAGTCAAATGCAGTTATTGATGTTTGGCAAGTGGTTTTCCTCCACATAGTGTTTCATGGATGCAGGATTTTTCCATATTGTGATGTACTATTCTCTAGTGTCACAAATTTCTCTACTTTCAGCAGACAAAAAAAAAACCAGTAGAGATGGTTTGGAAATAGGCACCTTTACTTAACCACCTTGATTTGGAAGTGATATACATTATTTTTACTCAAATTCCACTGGTAAGAACTGGTTACATGGCAGAGAAATGTAGTCCCTTGTTAGGCCATTTCCTCCTTGCAACTGCCAGGGGGAGCACAAATTTTTTGTGTTATCCAGCTGATTCTGCTATAAAAATTATTTCTTACAGAAAGTTGTAATGGAATTTCCAGGCTATCAACAATAACCTCTCATATTAAGTGATAACACATTTAGTTAAAAAGCTGTGAATATATTGTTGGGGAAATTATGCCTGCTAGTTTCATTTTGTTTAATGAATTTATTATTTTTTCTTTTTTTTAGCATCAAGAAAATGTGCATTTGTCTATTTACTCTTTATTCATTAACTATTTCTTAAGAATCTACCATATTCGTGGAATTCTGATATACTTGAGATACACTGGTGATTAAAACACGCAAAGACCATTGCCTTGGCAAGGTTATATTCTAGCAGGTAAAGATGAACAGTAAATAGTAGACATAATAAAAAAAGCAAATTATTTTGAATATTAAGGCATGTTAAATTCTATAGAAAAAGGAAATGAAAAGGGTAATGGGAATGAGGAGTATATGAAGTGCTTATTATAATTTCAAAGTGCTTACCACTGAAAGCCTCATGGAAAGGATAACATTTAAGCAAAGCTGGGAGATGGAGCCTCAGCCACACAGGTATCTTACTAAAGAGAATTCTAGGCAGAGAAAGAACAACCGGGGTGGGGTCTTAATGTAGAAGTTTGCTACTGTGCTCAAGGAGCAGTGAGGACCCCAGATGTCTTGAATGCTGTGAACAAAGAAAAGAGGGGTGGACTGCCCATATATGTTTATCACAGCACAATTCACAATTGCAAAGATATGGAACCAACTAAGTGCCCATCAAGCAATGAGTGGATACAGAAAGCAGTATATATACATCATGGAATACGAATACTATTCAAGGGACATGGATGAAATTGGAAATCATCATTCTCAGTAAACTATCGAAAGAACAAAAAACCAAACACCGCATATTCTCACTCATACGTGGGAATTGAACAATGAGATCACATGGACACAGGAAGGGGAATATCACACTCTGGGGACTGTTGTGGGTTGGGGGGAGAGGGTAGGGATAGCATCGGGAGATATACCTAATGCTAGATGACGAGTTAGTGGATGCAGCGCACCAGCATGGCACATGTATACATATGTAACTAACCTGCACAATGTGCACATGTACCCTAAAACTTAAAGTATAATTAAAAAAAAAAAAGAATGAAACTATGAATTTTGCAGCAACTTGGATGGAACTGCAGGCCATTGTTCTAAGTAATTCAGGAATGAAACACCAGATACTTTATGTTCTCACATAATTTGGAGCTAAGCTATGGGTATGCAAAGGAATACAGAATGGTATAATGGACATTAAAGACTCAGAGTGGGAGGGCGGTAGGGTGAGGGATAAAAAAACTACATATTGGATACAATGTACATTACCTCAGACTTCACTACTATACAAGTCATCCCTGTAACCAAAAACCATTTGTACCCTTGAAGCTATTGAAAAAAAATAAATACATAAGTAAAGATTTTAAAAAAGAAGTAAGAGGTGGGTTATGGTTCAGAAAAGGAAGAAGTGTCAGATCACATAAAGTGTTGTTGGCAGCATTGATGCTTTTATTCTCAGGGCAATGGGAAACCTTTGTAGAGTTTGGAGTAGAGAGTTAAATAATCCTTACTATTGAGAAGGATCACTCTGGGTTTCATGTTAAGACAGACTACAGGGGTCCAAAGGTGAAAGCTGAGTCCAGTTAGGAGATTATTTCAGGTGAGAGATGATGGTGATGTGGAAGAGAATGTTATTTATCCCTCTTCATGTGAATGGAAATTGTGTTCAATATGTGCTTTGTCTGCCAACATTCTTACCTTCAATTAATATTAACACCTTGAGAAAATTTTGATACCCTACCTGTTAAATCCCTGGCCTCCACTTCAAGGTTTCTGTAAGAAACCTAGATTATTCTGAAAACTACAGTGGCCAACTGGCCATCTAGCAGAACTGGGAGGAGCTCTTATAACAGTACTTTGGTTTGGGACACATTATCCTAAAATGAGGACAGATGGAAATTAATATTTCTGCTGTAAGTGAGCAAGAACTTCTTAAAGTACTAAAGATGTGAACTTTAAGAAAGACATTGTCTTCCTCTCCTCCATGTTCAGTTTCAAGTGACTTTTTTACAGAAGGTGTTTAAGAAAACACATACGATACAAAGAAAGAAAATTGCCTATTATCTGGCCCAGGACTTATTACCATTAATACCAATGTTGATACATTTGCTTTGTATATTTTTCTACAAGTATATCTCAATATTTACAAAATTTTAATAAAATGATACAAATAATTTTAATTCCATTATTTTCACTTATTATATTGTGAACATAATACCATTTTCAATGCATATTCTTAAAAAACAATTTAGCATATAAAATTTATCATTTGCCTATAATTTATTTAACCATCACACTGTTGTTAAAAATTAAGGCTATAATTTTTTTTTTTTTTTTTTTTTTTTTTGAGATGGAATCTCACTCTTGTCGCCCAGGCTGGAGTGCAGTGGCATGATCTCAGCTCACTGTAACTTCCACCTCCCAGGTTCAAGTGATTCTCTTGCCTCAGCCTCCCGAGTAGCTGTGATCACCGGTGCCCACCACTACACCTAGCTAATTTTTCTATTTTTAGTACGGACAGGGTTTCACCATGTTGGCTAGGCTGGTCTCGAACTCCTGACCTCAGGTGATCCACCCACCTCGGCCACCTAAAGTGCTGAGATTACAAGCCTGAGCCACCACACCCGGCGAAGCCTATAATTTTTATAAACATAAATATACTTTAAATGACACATTTTTCCAAAAATCTTCATATTTTCTTGGAACTAACGTTGACTGATTGGGCAAAGGGTACAAGCCACTCATTAATTAGGCAATTGTGTTTTGCAGAAAACAGCTGTATAGTTGTCATCTGCATAGAATCCAATCTGCATAATTTTGGGGCATCTTGCCCTTGGAAATTCAGGTGTTTAACAAGGACTTGTTTCCTACCATGAACCATACTGTTGACTTACACTGACAATCCAACAGACTATACAGTTATAAAGAGAGAATATTGCCTATTACCTGGCCTAATACTTGTCACCATTAATATCAATATTGAAGAATTTGCTTTACTTTTCTCTATAATTATCTATCAATATTTACAGACTTTATCTCAGAAATTATAGAGTTTTGTATAAGAAACCTAATTGTGTTCCTGTTTACACCCACACACTCACCCCCATAGCCTGCTCATGGCACAGATTATCATTTTGGAAATAATGGCAGCCCTAATTTCCAAATGGCCATGCAGGTGCCTGGACATGAGGTCTTTTGCTAGAAAGTTGGTGTGCTCTTATTCCAGTAACTACTTTCTTTTGACTCAGTCCATCTCTGGATTTCTCTCATTTTTCAATTTCTGTTTCTTTTATTTTCTGTCTCTGTATAGCTATACATTTTGTTTCTACTACCATATCTATGTTATTATGAGTCTTTATTTATTGATGTCATGTTATGTAACATCATTTGAGAGAAATTAATTAGATCAATTAGGTATCATTCAATATGGTCTGCTCCTATTGGGCAGATATCTTAAGATAATCTCATTGGCCGTTGGGTTTCTCTAAGTTTAAGGCACTGATCTTTATGGTATGGCAGTATGACAGAATCACAGATCTTCAATCTGAGTGTTTTAGACTCACTTTTAACCAGTCTTAAAAGTAAGCTGAGGGCATGGCCAATTCTTGGAAGTTCTACAAACTCTTATTTATTTTAAAAATTTTTAGTCTCTTTTGACATATTATCCACTGAAATATTGTGCTAGTTCTTCCTGTTACATCTCATTTTATACTATCTCTTCTTATGGGTTACAAATTTCCTTAGAATCATGTCTAAGAGATCTACTTCAGTTTGAAAGTAATTATTTGGATATTGGAGGTTTATGTATTATGGATCACATTAACCTTCATCCACAATTTCTTATTCTGAAGATTATTCTCCATGGTCTTCTTGACTACACACAGCAGGCTTAGCTTTTGCAGCTGGATTACATTCCTCATGAGATGACTGAGGATCACATTTATAATTCTCTCCTATTAAATTCTTCAGCTCAGTGTTCTCTAACTTCATTTCCAGTATTCTTCACTCACTGACATGAGAATACTCGCTTCACAAGGCTTCCTTGTGAACTTTGTCTTCAATCATCCATTCCTCCTTTGGGATCATCTCATTCTCATGGTTAACATTATTTCTTTTTCCCTGAATTGCCCTCTACCTTTTTTTTAAATATCCGTCTGTTCTTATATACTACAAACACGGGCAACCAGATTCAGCTATCTTCTATGGCTGGTACCTTTCTATTGTTGCTAGATAATTTTCCCCTGAAGCATTGTACCTTGATTGATATTGAAAAAAAAAAAAGAAAAAGAAAAAAAGTAACATTTGCTACTATATGGTATATTTTGTGGTAAATTGTGTTTTCTTCATAATGCATAGACTGAAAATTAGCTGGCACTCATAGTACAGGTTGTTAAATAGCTCACTTAGGTCAGCATTGTACATAGCAGCTATTTGTGCCTTGTTTCCTTCATGCTAAAGGCAGACGATAAGAATCATTATTTTAAGAACATGCCATTGGTTACTACTCCCTGATGTGCTATAGTTGATTATCATGACAGGAGACTGATGCTGGTGGCACTGTTTCTGTTTTTTCATCTCAATTATTTTTGAACAACAAAGAAGGAACAATGTTCTGCTGAACAGTTTTGACTATGGCAAAGAATTAAGGGTGATATGTTATCATTATTCTTACTGTGAAAAATAATAAATGCTATCACAAAATCTGCATTGCTAATAATACCCTTTTCTTCAACAACTTTTTTCTAATGTATTTGAAACTCCTTATAAACTTCAACTGAGTCAACATCACACCACCTTATGAAGAAAACTTTCCATTAAGTAAAATTACTTCACTAAGTCTTAATCTTTAATATTCCATTCTCTGAACTCACACACTTACGATTCTAGTTATTTTAATATCTTAGTCTCACTGCACTGACTCTGAGACTTCTCCTCTCTGGATCATGCCTTTTTTTCCCCCAAATCCTGGCATTACGTCTTTGTATTGATCTGAGACTTTTAGTAAATATTTCAATCATTTGCTTTTAGGCACCCCATATTTCCCATCCTAGCTCAAAGACTACACTTACAAATTTATATTCACAGTGAATGATCCTATACATTTCTGGACACTGCTGATAGATCCAGGCTTAGGTTTATGGTTTAGATCAGGGGAGTGTTCTAGTTATCTAATGGTGGAAAACAAGTTACCTAAAACATATGGTATTAAACAACCATTTACTATGCTCCTGGACTCTGAGCGTCAGAAGTTTGAACAGGGCAAAGCAGGAATGATGTGTCTCTACTCCACGATATCTGAATTCTTACTTAGCTCATTTGGAAGATTCCACAGTTGGTGACTATCATCATCTGAAGCCTTATTTGTTCCCATGTTCAAAGGTAAAAGAAAGAAACAGAAATATATTTACTTTTTACCATGTGATATGGTTTGGTTGTGTCTCCAAGCAAAAATCTCATCTTGAATTATAATCCCCATAATGCTCATAATCCCCACGTGTCAAGAGAGAGACCAGGTGGAGGTAATTGAATAATGGGAGCAGTTTCCCCCAAGCTGTTCTTGTGACAGTGAGATCTCATGAGATCTGATGATTTTATAAGTGTTTGGTAAGTTCCTCCTCTGGTCAATCTCCTTCCTGCTGCCTTGTGATAAAGGTGCCTTGCTTCCCCTTCACCTTTCACCATGATTAAGTTTCCTGAGGCCTCCCCAGCCATGAGGAACTGTAAGTCAATTAAACCTCCTTCGTTTATAAATTACCCAGTCTCAAAATTACCCACATTTCCTTATAGCAATGTGAGAATGGACTAATATACCATGTGTTAAGATTTATGCCAGGTAATTAATTTTAACTATCTTATTTGATTCTTAAAATAAATGAATCAGCCTCTATTTACAGATGAGAAATCTCAAGGGGTTGCTTCCAAGGTCACTTTTACGAAATGGCAGATGCAGCCTCTGTTCTTCCTTTTACAACTGCTCTTCCAATCACCAGTGTCATGGCACTTCATGAATTAGAGCCAATCACTCTGCTGCCCTAACCCTTTTCTAAATCTTTAGGTTTTTTTCAATATTGGTTTCATCCCTCATCTCCTCTCTCACTACTATCTTCAGTTCATTCTTTCTAGTGCTCCTTCTTTGAGAACCCATAAAAACTTCCATTATAGCACTTATATTATTTTCAATTGCTCTTGCACAGATTTATTCCAGTGGGTTTTAGATACATTGTGGCCAGAAATTGTATCTCACTTATCTATAACAGAACCTGCCAATTGATTGCTGCTCAATCATGTCTGTTGAATGATTTTAATAAAACAGAATTCATATAATATTTCTGATTATTTTAAACATATAACATCTAAGAACTCTTCTCCATTCGGCTTCAAACACCTATCCTCACATTCATGATTCATGAAGTTTTAACACTAATATGATATGGTGATGTAAACATGTTTTGCAAGAATCCTAGCAATGATATGCATAATGACTTAGATTTGAGGGGTTAATCAAAACTGAACATCACTGTTTTTGGTTTTGTCAAAATGTAAACAGAAACCTTTTAACTTAAATTCATTTAAGCTATTGGGAGCAATTTGTAAACACTATAGCTGTATTTGGCATGTCTTTTGGAAAAACTATATTTATTTCAGCTCACATTTAAATAAACAATGATAGTCTTACATGAGAAAACTCATTTCTATTGTTAATGCCATATATGCTTTGATTTAGAGGCAGTGTGTAATTTTCTGTATTTTGTTAATCAACTCGTTGTTACTTTTTAGTTGAGATATATCAATGCTATTTCATTAACTAAAAATGCTTTCTACTTTGAGCATTGAAAAACAGCAAATGAGTTTCTAAGTCATTTAAAGTTGAAAGGAACCTAACAATATGACTGCATGGAATCAAATGTTCAGATTGATCCTATTTCCCAAATTGGATTTGAAAGATGTAATATATCTTCCCAACTTCCCAAATGATTTGTAATATATGCCACAAAAATTTTAGCCTACTAAACTTACTTTTTACAATATTACTGAATGGTCCTAGTACAACTTTGCATCTTCTTAAATCATCAATATTATCAAGTGTTCAGCATGACAAACTCGTAGGAACATTGTCAGACATTCTCTAACAGTTATACAGTGTTCTTGTCACAAGGTGCAATCAAGATCAAAGCCACATACACTGACATGAGTATGTTTGTACAAAGTTAGATACATAAACCCTGATAGGATAGTTGTGAACACTGCTATTGTCTCCACTGACCCATGTCTGGGTTGGCTGGACAGGTCCCTGAATGATGTACTAGTTTAATCCTTTGCCAAAATATTACCAAAAAGAAAAATGGGTTTGAAAGCAACTATCCAGGACTGACTTTCAGGACTGCATTCTGGAAGCCATACAAATGGAAAAGAAAACAATAAGAAGTAAGGTCAGCTTCCAGCTGGAACAAAAGTTACAGCCAGAGTTAAAGATAAGATGTGGCGTTTCCCCAGGCAACGAAGAGTCTGACAAGGTTGAAAGCTGTACAACCCATTGGTCCTTAGGTCAAAAAGAAATTGGCATATTTTATGTGTGCTGTAAAAAAAATGCACAAATTATTTCTTACAGATTGTCACCTTGTGAATATGTACGTAACCTGAAATATAAAAGCATTCAGACACATTCGAGTGCAGCTAGTCCAAACATGGTTCAAATAACACTTATAGCAGAGAGGGAGGAGTGGAGGAAAAACATTTTTTTAGAGTAGGGAGGTATTTTACTCTCTTTATGAGTTTTGATTTTCTTCACTGTCAAGAAAGCATAAAGGGACCAATAAGGAATTCAGCACAATCCATCAGCCATTTGTTAGATAATAATTATATACATTGCATAGGAAAAGTGTTTTTTGCCTTTAAGTGATTATACATATGTATGTGTGTTGCACATAAAATAAAATTAACATTGATAATAAGAGAAATGATAAATATTATAAAGTGACTTCATTGGATAAATGACTACAGACTTATTATAAAATAAAGTTATATTTTACCTGATGCCAGTTCCAACTCTTTGAAAACCCTTAGCTTTCATTTGCAATTAGTAGCAATTAGAATGCCTATAAATAGATCCATGAATTATTTCATGCCTTTTCCTCTCCCCCATATTTGATGACTTCTCTTTCCCTACTCCTTCATAAAGCCTCTTAATCTCAGTTTGATTACTGGAGTGACCCATTCCCTCTGACAACCCACAAAACTCTACTCTACACACACAGTTTGCTTCATCATCATATAATTTCACAGTCCTCCTGCTAGCTACATTCTGAGAAGTGCAAGACACCTGATAATGGCCTTGATGTCAGCTTCACATGTTACTTTATGTTTATTTGTGTGTATGTGTGGGTGGTGCATATGAAAATCCATCTCAGCACTGGTAACTATCAAAACAATTTAGCCCTTCATCACCAGAGGCTGAACAAAGGACATCCTCTAGTTTAATGCCAGATATTTGTTTCTCTTCTTTAACATTGTCTTATATCACAATGGCAATAACCCATTATTAACAGAACCACGTTTTCCAAAATTGTCAGGCCATGAGGCCTACAACTCTAGGAAGAAGCAATTTATACAATTTTAGATCACAGATGTTTTTATACCTGCATTTAATTTTTTGATGTATTAGCCTGTTTTCACGCTGCTGTGAAGAAATACCCAAGACTGGGTAATTTATAAAGGAAAGATGCTTAATTAACTCACAGTCCTGCATGGCTGGGAGGTCTCAGGAAACTTACAAACATGGCAGAAAGAAAAGTAGTTACCTTCTTTACAAGGCAGCAGGAGAGAGTGTGAGCATGTGAGGAAGGAACTGTCAAACACTTATAAAACCATCAGATCTCATGAGAACACATTCACTATCATGAAAACAGCACGCAGGAAATCGCCCCTATGATCCAATCACCTCCCACCAGGTCCCTCCTTCGACAAGGGGGGGATTATGAGGATTACAATTCAAGATGAGATTTGGGTGAGGACATAGCCAAACCATATCATTTTATTTTATTTAACTCTATGCATATCATTTTGTGCATTTAGAAAAATTATTCTAGAAAAAGTCAATTGACTTCATAACACTGACAAATAAGTTTGTGGCTAGAAAAATGACAACAACCAAAAGTTATGGAAGATGCAAATAAAGTTCCAATGAAGAGTCATAGACTATTTTACAATCCAGTAGCTATGTTCTGGACTTTCTCCCAAGGGAGGTATACAGACAATATTCATGTAGTGAATTGCCGAATTGCTGGTTTTATATTCTCACTGGTCCTTGAGTTACTGACCCACATAGTGGTATAATAAAAAGTACATTGGAATTGGAGTCAGGAACCATAAATTTCTTAGTTCAAACATAATGAATTAACTCCAACTTGTGAAATTATTATTGTGTGATAAGCACTCTTCTAGGCTATCTGCATATGTTACAGGAGAATATTTTAAAATATCATTTGCAGTAATACTGCTCCTACTATCGAGTTACTTCAATTATACTTTGGGATTATCCCTATTACCTCCCCACCTCCACCAACTACAACCCAAATGGCCACACGTGGATCTCCTTATATTTTCTGAAGAAGAGGACTGCTTTTAAACCTAATTTAGAGTTTGAAAATGGCTGGGGTCTCCTTTTTACCATGTAAAAAGAACTGTTGAGGCATAGAGTCCCAACATGGCACTCAAGAAGTTGTCCAAAAGAATTGCCAAAGATTAAGATTCATTTCAGCTTTCTGTTGCTCTATTCTTATTATTTGTTCATTTTCATAATCAGGCAAGAGCACTCTACATGCAGGAATATTAGTGTCCAAGGCAGGAAGAAGGAAAGAAAGACAGAAAAGCCATGTCAAATTGTTCTTTTTGTTTTTTGTTTTCAGTCAGGGAAATAATAGCTTAACTGGAAGCCCCACCAAGTTGATTTCTACTTATGTTTTATTGGCTATATTTGAAACATAAAGCCAGTCTTAACAACAAGGAAATCTGAAGAGGTGAAATACTGTCTTAACTGGAAAATTGTCACCTTCAATTTTATTGAAGTTCCATTATAAGAAAGAAGTAAAGTATACATATCTTTTAAGCAATTAATACTAGGTGCAATATTGTGGACATAAAAAAAATCAATGCAACGGGATACTTAAATTTAATATTCCAAAGCCAAATTATGAGAGAAAAAATATGAGTTCTGTGTGTGTGTGTGTGTGTGTGTGTGTGTGTACAGTCCTAGGTTGGATAAAAAGATTTCATGAGGTGAGGAGTGAGAAAGAGGAGCAACATATTATTGAGAGACCTTGAGCATCAACCAGAGAACCATTGTCTTTCTCCAGCATGAAGAAACAGTTTATAATTTACTTACAAGCCGCATCAGTAATAAGCTATATTTCTCTTTACTATCTTTTGAGAGATAATATGTTGAGAAGGACCAACACATTACTACTGGGTTGTCTGGCAGAATGTCCACTTATCTTGGCTGGGAAACTTTTTTCAGATCTCCATCAAGCCCACTGCATAAGGTTAACTCCACGTTAATTGCTTAGGACATGTACAACCAGAGCAGTGATTCTATGAAGAGAAGTGAAGACTTCAACATATAGTCAATTGGGATTAGAACCTCATTGCAATTGAAATAAAAGATCTTAGTAATAAAGGTAAAAACTATTTACTTTATGTATTTCAATCCGTTTAAGTTCAATAGTATTTTTTTCTTAAAATATATTTGACATTCCAGGCCGGGGACGGTGGCTCACGCCTATAACCCCAGCACTTTGGGAGGCCGAGGCGGGCGGATCACGAGGTCAGGAGATCCAGACCATCCTGGCTAACACGGTGAAACCCCGTCTCTACTAAAAATACAAAAAAATTAGCCGGGCGTGGTTGCAGGTGCCTGTAGTTCCAGCTCCTCGGGAGGCTGAGGCAGGAGAATGGCGTGAACCTGGAAAGCGGAGCTTGCAGTGGGCCGAGATCGCGCCACTGCACTCCAGCCTGGGTGACAGAGCGAGACTCTGTCTCAAAAAAAGAAGAAAAAAGAAAAAGAAAAAAAAATTGACATTCCATTGTATTAAAAATTTGATAGCCTAGTGAAAAAATGACACTCACAAAATTTACACTCACAAAATACTTCTCTATGTTTTCTTCCTAACTAAAATGTACTGATACTTTGCTAGAGCCACAGTCTGTTGACTAAATTAACCCATTTAAAATTTTAGAGCCAGTTAACTTTACTCCCCAAATCTGTAGTTTAATATAAAGTTATTGAAATTATTGACCAAACAATATCATGAAGAAGTATAACATTACATCATTTATTCTAATATTCAAAAACAAATTTCTCCTTCCTTCAAATGATTTGATGATACCAAGAAGTATACCTGCCTTATAGATGACATAAAATAATGTTGAAATAAATAAATACAGAGTGAATATATTAACTCACTTCTTATATAAATAAGGAGATTGAGATCCACAGATCAAAGAGTCTTTACAATACATTTTGGGTTTGAACTGCAGTAGTCTGACCCCAGAATCTACTACCTTAAGCGCTAAACTATCATGAAGACTGCCTTAGTTCATTTTGTGCTGCTATAACAGAATACTGCAGACTGGGAAATTTATAATGAACAGAAATGTATTGGCTGATGGTTCTGGATGATGGAATTTCAAGATCAAGAGGCTGCATCTGGCAAGAACCTTATTGCTGCATTATCTCATGAAGTCAAAGGGAAAGTAAGAGAAGAGAGAAAAAGGGACCAAACTTGCCCTTTTATAATGAATCCCCTCCCTTAAAAACAGCATTAGTCCATTTTATGAGGGTGGACCTGTCATAGCCTAATCACCTCCCATTTGACTCCACCTCCCAACACTGTTGCATTGGGGATTGCATTTCCAACACATGCTTTTTGGGACACATGGCAGTGGCATATTGGCCTGATAGCCACTTTTTAATTATAGTTGATTTTACTTTGAACTCTAATAGTATATTTTGTTTTTTTTAATTAAAAGAGGAGATTAAGAAAATATCACTTTATCATGATAAATTCTATAGACACTCTTAGGCAGCCTGAGATGTCAGCCAAGTATGCGTTTAAACTTCTCAATTTCCCAACTAGCAGGCTCCATTCCCTTTTATTCATCCTCATGGTACCTTTTCCAAGTAGCTAATGCCCCCATGTTTCCCTCCCATTTCTCAGAGATTCCTTTCCAACTCCCCCCACCCAAAAATCTTCACACATCAAGAACTATGCATAAGCCATGGCTTCTTGGCCAGTCATAATTATCAGTGCCGCTGCTCGTACAAGGGAATAAGAGCTACATACAAACATGTCTTGAGATAGCTCATGGAGTTCAGGTCAGAGGGTTAGACATACTCATCACAGCCCTGAGATAATGGGTAGAATTAGAAACTAGTAGAAATTACAAATATGTATATATATTTAGTCTCCAAAGCAGATTACATGTCTAACCCAAGGTTGACAGTAGGGGAAGGGACTGCCTCTGCAGCTGTGAAGTGCCCTGTCACTGATGGCATTCAAACAGTGGCTTGAGCACAATTTGGCAGGTATACTGTAGAAAGAACTGAAGCATTCACATGAACCTAGATTAGATGACCTTTGAGGTCCCTTCCAGGCTTGAATGCTCCCTCTAGGCAGTAGGAGAATTTGTTTTCTATTAAGGAAATTTTCACTTACAATTTGTACCTACAAAAAGTAGAGGAGTCATGAGTTTTCGAAGTTGAAAGAAAAATAAAATAAAATCTCCAAAAAGGGACAGAGGTGGAACCAATCTAAGACTTGACAATGTCCAAAGTGGGAACAATAGGCTAGAAACAGTTCACTGATGCTCTCTCTAACATGCATCCTGGTTTATTTATTGCCTGGCACAATTATAAAGTCTTAGGATAAGCATTAACACTACATTCTTTAAATAGTGTACTACATTTTATAGATAAAAATGTGTAATAGTGTACTACATTTTATGTAGTACACTTTATAGATAAAAATATGCAATAGTTTACTACATTTTATAGATAAAAATGTGATCAGATTCTTGCTAGGTATGTGACCTTATGAAAATAAGCTATGGTAGTTCAGTCCCAACACAATGCAGGTTTGTTCAAAACCAATGCCATTACAGGGAAAGAGAGAGAAAGAAGAAGCTAAACATATCCTTTAGTATTATTATTTTGTTCATAAGTTTCTTTAAAACAATACTTAACCTCAAATATCAAAGGAATGTAAGAGTTGAAACCTAAATCAGCCCAAATGTTTTTATTTTATTTGTTATTAGACTGTTACCTCGTTTTGTAGAGATTATATCTCTAAAAAATATAACTTGACTACGTTAGTGAGATGCATTTTACATAGCTTTAATGAATTGTTTTGAAAACAACTAGTATTTCATTTTTTCTAGCATAGGATAATTTTTGCTGACTGGAATTACAATGTCTCTCTTAGTCTGTTTGTGGTGCTGCAGCAGAATACCATAAACTGGGTTGCTTATAAATGAGAGAAATTTATCTCTCACAGTTCTGGTGGCAGAAAAGTTCAAGATCAAGGCATCAGATGATTTGGTGTCTGGTGAGGGCCTATTTCTTGGTTCATAGATGGTCATTGTTTTCTCCATGTCCTCCATGGTGAAAGAGGCTCATGAGCTTCCTAGAGTCTCTTATAAGGGCACCAATCCTTTTCCTGAGGGCTATATCCTCATAACCTAATCACGCCACAAAGATTGTACCTTCCAACGCTATTACCTTGGGAGTCAGGATTTAACATATAAATTTGGAGGGTAGGGGGCAACAAATATTTATTCAACATATAGTACTGCCAAAATAGATGGAAAGTAGACAAATTATCCAAATATTAACCAATGTTTTCTCAATTAGTAAATATTTTACATAATATAAATTTTACCTAATTTTTTTAAAGACTAAGATGTGTTGTTTCTCCTCAAAACCACAGAAATCCTTTTAGAAACTCTTACCAAAAATTAACTTTATGTAGTTTAAAGATACCTAAAGTTACAAAAATAGTAGTTATTGTCCAGAAAGACATTGTCAATTTGAAAGTCTAGATTACCTTTACAGCCTGTGGGAGGAATGGAGTATCTTGACCAAGCCTCTTCTATTTGAGTCTCAGCCTCAGTATATTTTCACAAGCAAGTCTTCTCAGGCCTTCCAGGACTCCCAGATAAAGTTATGGCCTCAGGTGACACCTCCATTGCACCCTATACTTTCTATTTATCATCACCAAATGTCTGGTAGAATCTTTTCTTCCTCGCCAGGCAGTGAGGACCATAGGAGTAGAGAACTTGGCTGCCCGTTCATCACTCATCCCCAGCCCTTCCTGAAATGCTTGGCCGAGAGCAGGCCCTCAGTAAAGATTTGGGGAATAAATGCTTGATCAAGGCATGCCTCAACATCATGACATTATGGAGAAAGAGTGTTTCATTTAAATTGACGATTGTATTGTCTTGGTGAAAAGGAATTTTGTTCAAATAAAAGTAAGCAAAAACCCATGTACCTAATTATAACCTACTTTGTATAGTATCCCACTGATAGAAATAAAACTCTAAATATGTCAGAAAAAAATGCTCTGTGAAATAAATACTATCCTGTTATTTGGAGAATATGTGAATAAAACTTTCTATAACCAGACTGCCTCATGACATAAAATCTCAGGAAATTCTTCTTTTATTTATTGAGACATGGTCTTGTTCTGCTGCCCAGGCAGAATGCAGTAGCACGATCCCAGCACCTGGGCACAGGGGATGCTCCTGGCTCAGCCTCCTGAATAGCTGAGATTACAGGTGTGAGTCACCATGCATCGCCATGAAATCACCTTTTATGCTACTTTTTTAAGTGAGTGACAAAAGAAAATTTATTTAAGTTTATGCAGAGCTTCCAGTAATATCACCCCAGTGTTTGCATATTTCCAAAGGAAGCATGTTGTTCTCCATAATCTTAGAAAAAAATCTCAATAATCTTCAAAGTACTTGTGGAAAAAATACCTGTAGAAATATTCTTTTCCAACTAGCATTACAAAATGACTAGTGAGCTTTCCAACCACTAATGAACCAGATCTCAAACACAAAAATATTCATAAGCATCTTTTCCTAAATTCTGTCAATATAAAGCCATTTCTGGCACTCCCTGTCTCATAAATAATCAGGCTTTCTTGATGCCAAATGTTCTGAATGACAATGGCAGTTTCTGGGCTTCATTCTCATAGCTTTTGAACAACATCATTTCTAAAGTGACCTTTTCCTCTTGCACAATTGCCACATCTTTCAATCCGTAAGCAGAGAATTCAGTGATTCAGCAAAAGCACATTGAATGCTTTCTATGCACCAGGCACTCTTCTAAGCTCTGGAGTTTTAAAAAAATGAATAAGGCAAGGTCATTTCTATCCCACAGAAAAAGACATATAAATATATAATTGCATTGCAATATGATAAATATTGTGATCAAGACATTTATGGCATTTAAGTAATAGTAGTGAAAGGAAGAAAAGAGAGATGTCTTTACATTAAGAGTTTATAGTTTTCCACCCAAAAGTACCTCTGAAAATTGATATTTTTTATGGAAAAAAATAGCTATATTTCCAAAATTAGCTGTATGTTGTTCGTCTTATTAATGAAGAAAACTTTATGCACATTCAAAGAATTTGGAACTCCCATTTCCAACTCTCAGAGTTTCTAAGTTTTACTTCCACCCAGGCAGTCTCAGCCAGAGCCCAACATAGACTGAGCTTTAACCCCCTCTTAGCCTCTTCCTACCCACTAGGCAGAAATGCTGAGAACCAAGTATATGGTGACTCAGCTCCCTTCTGTGGATTAAACTTGTTGGTCTGGTCCATGCTAGGCTTCTGTTAGCTCTGTTCTATTTCAGCTCCATTTTTATAGGTCAACGACAACCTATAAAAAGCTAGAGCTGTTACTTTGAATAGCTTTCTTTAAAATCTCTCTCCTCTGTGCTCTTTCTGGTCTCTGAATATTGGCTGTGTACCCAGATCCTCCTTTCTTCTTTGCCCCTTTCTAAGGATGACTTGTCTGGACTTCTGCCATGATTTCTGATTTGTAATCTCTGCCAGAAATTGATCCTCTAATTACTCTGCATATTCCTCAAATCACACCAAATTTTTTTAAAGGGGGAGGGTGGGGAAGGAAGAGTGTTTTCAGTTATAGGAAGCAGCATGTTCCCCATATCATTGAAACATACATATTAGCCTTCTAGAAATAGGAAGAAGTTTAATAAAAGTGAGAAATCATAATTGTGGCTGTCTCAAGCTCATCTATGGTGACTAGATGTATGTACAGACAAATGATTTAAGCTCCATAAAATGCTACACCAATACCAACATTATGATGGGTCATTGTGAGGATTAAATGAAATAATATATACAGCACCAAAAATGTAGGTGTTATTCTTTATATTTCATTACCATGCATTAAAAAATATACTGATACAGTAGCACCATTATGTTATAACCTGTTTTTGTTTTTTTTTTAATTTTACCTCCACTTGCAATCTAGAATTCCCTTAACTACTTAGTGGTTTCATGCTTGCACATTAATGTTGCCACATTTCTAATTATAGTTTAAACCTTTCCTTACTTAAAATAAAAGGCCATCTACCCCCAAAGTGAAAACATTTGTTCTTCTACTTATGTGGACACTTAACTTGAGAACATGCTAAGAATATAAACTTCAGTCATTACTTTCTTGACATCGATTCCAACCTATTTATCCTGCGCTTCATATCTTGATTCATTTCTCCCTACACCCTCATCCCAGCCCTTGAATCTCTTTGGTTTCCCATGTCCCCTACAGTACACTTTACAGTTTACTGTTCCAATACATATCTTTTCAACAGTAAATCACAATCTACTTTGTACTTTCATTTTTTTCTAAGTATGATATATTTATTTATTAAACAATTATGTATTTAGTAGCTGATATAGGTCAGGTCCTATTCAGGTGCTGAGGACTAAACAAAAGCCTCCTAGAACGAATGGACAAAATTATTAAATAACATCAGGTACTGATAATAGCTGTAAATAACAACAAAAACTTGATTAGTGGGGTAACCATAGCCAGATTTTGGATTCGTTAACTCACCTCTCATGACCTGAGCTATGTTTTCATCTTAGTGCAAGGACTAGCTTAAATCTGATATTAACGGCCTTAGTAAAAATAACTTCACAATTTAAAACAACTTAAATGTCTAATTTTATTTAAAAAAGATGCATATAGCCAAACTATTAATTTAATTTTACTTGTTAATTTTATTTTTTAAACTTTTATTTTAGGTTCAGGGCTACTTGTGCAGGTTTGTTATATAGGTAAACTGTGTGTCATGGGGGTCTGGTATACAGCTTATTTCATCACCTAGGCAATAAGCATATTACCCAATAGGAATTTTTGCTGATCCTCTCCCTCCTCCCACCCTCCACACTCTCCAAGGCCCTGCTGTCTGTTGTTCCCTTCTTTGTGTACATGTGTTCTGGTTGTTTAGCTCCCACTCATAAGTGAGAACATGTGGTATTTGGTTTTCTGTTCTTGCATTACTTTGCTTAGGATAATGGCCTCCAGCTCCATCCATTCTGATGCGAAAGACATGATCTCATACCTTTTTGGCTGTGCAGAATTCCATGGTTTATATATACCACATTTTCTTTATCCAATCTACTGTTGATGGGCATTTAGGTTGATTCCACATCTTTGCTATTGTTAACAGTGCTGCAATGAACATACACATTCATGTATCTTTATGGTAGAAGAATTGATACTCATTTGGGTAATGGAATTGCTGGGTTGAATGGTAATTCTGTTTTAGATTCTTTGAGGAATCATCACACCATCTTCCACAATGGCTGAACTAATTTACATTCCTGCATGCAGTGTTTAAGTGTTCCCTTTCCCATACAACCTCACCAGCATCTGTAATTTTTTGACTTTTTCATAATAGCCATTCTGACTGGTGTGAGATAGTATACCAGTGTAGTTTTGATTTGCACCTCTCTAATAATTAGTGATGCTGATCAACTTTTCATATGCTTCTTGGCCGATGTATGTCTTCTTTTGGAAAGTGTCTGCTCATACCTTTTCTCTGCTTTTTAAAGGGGTTATTTTATGCTTTTTAAAGGGGTTATTTTATGCTTGTTAATTTGTTTAAGTTCCTTATAGATTCTGGATATTAAACCTTTGTTGGATGCATAGTTTGCAAATAATTTCTCCCATTCTGTAGGTTTTCATTTAGTCTGTTGATAGTTTCTTTTGCTATGCAGAAGCCATTTACTTTAATTAGATCCCATTTGTCAATTTTTATTTTTGTTGCAATTATTGCTAGCATTTTCATCATGAAATATTTGCCAGGTCCTATGTCCAGAATGGTTGTCTTCAATGGTTTTTATAGTTTTGGGTTTTTCATTTAAGCATTTAATCCATCTTGAGTTAATTTTTGTATATTGTGCAAGGAAAGGGTCCAGTTTCAATCTTCTGCCTATGGCTAGCCAGTTATCCTGGCATGATTTATTGAAAAGAAAGTCCTTTCCCCGTTGTTTGTTTTTGTTAATTTTGTCAAAGAACAAATGGTTTTCAATATGCAGCATTACTTCTGGGCTCTCTATTCTGTTCCATTGGTCTATGTGTATGGTTTTTGTACCAGTTACATGCTGTTTTGGCTATTGCAGCCTTGTAGTATAGTTTGAAGTTGGGTAACATTCCAGCTTTGTTTTTGGTTAGGATTGCCTTGAATATTTGGGATCTTTTTTGGTTTAATATGAATTTTAAAACAGTTTTTTTTTTTTCAAATTCTGGGAAGAATGTCATTGGTAGTTTCATAGGAATAGCATTGAATCTGTCAATTGCTTTGGGCAGTATGGCCACTGATTCTTCCTATCCATGAGCAAAAAATGGTTTTCATTTGTTTGTCATCTCTGATTTCTGAGTACTGCTTTATAAAATTCTCATTGTAGAGATCTTTTTCTTCTCTGGTTAGCTGTATTCCTAGGTATTTTATTCTTTTTGTGGCAATTCTGAAAGGGATTGCGTTCCTGATTTGGCTCTTAATTTAGATAGTATTGGTGTATAGGAATGTTACTGATTTTTGTAAATTTATTTTATATCCTGAAACTTTGGCAAAGTTGTTTATCAAATCTAGGATCTTTTGGGAGTGACTTTGGGTTTTCTAGATACAGAATAATTGTCACCTGCAAAGAGGGAAACCTTGGCTTCCTCTTTTCCTATTTGGATGCTTTTTATTTCTTTCTCCTACTTAATTGCTCTGGCCAGGACTTCCAATACTATGTTGAATAGGAGTGGTGAGAGAGGGCATTCTTGGTTTGTTCTAGTTTTCAAGGAGAATGTTTTCAGCTTTTGCTCATTTGGTATAATGTTGGCTGTGGGTTTCTCATAGATAGCTCTTATTATTTTAACGTATGTTTCTTCAATGCCTAATTTACTGAGGGTTTTTATTATGAAGAGATATTGAGTTTTATTAAAAGCTTTTTCTGCATCTATTGAGATAATCATGGATTTTGTCTTTCATTCTGTTTATAGCTGAATCACATTTATTGATTTGCATATGTTGAACCAACCTTGTATCCCAAGGAGAAAGCCTAATTGATCGTGGTGGATTAGTTTTTGATGTGCTGCTGGATTCAGTTTGCTAGTGTTTTGTTGAGGATTTTTGCATCTATGTTCAAGAATATTGGCCTTAAATTTTCTTTATTTTTCTTCTTTCCTTTTTTTTTTTTTTTTCGTCTCTGACAGGTTTTGGTATTAGGATGATGCTGGACTCATAGTTAGGCATCAGTCCCCTCTTTTCAAATTTTGAAATAGTTTCAGTAGGAATAGGCCCAGCTCTTCTTTATACATCTGCTAGAATTTGGCTGTGAATCTGTCTGGTCCCGGGCTTTTTTTGGTTGGTAGGCTTTTTATTATTGATTCAATTATGAAACTCATTATTGGTCTCTTAAAGGATTCAATTTCTTCCTGTTCCAGTCTTGGGAGGTGATATGTGTCCAGGAATTTATTTATTTATTTTTATTTTTTTTGAGACGGAGTCTTGCTCTGTCACCCAGGCTGGAGTGCAGTGGTATGATCTCAGCTCACTGCAAGCTCCATCTCCTGGGTTCCCACCATTCTACTGCCTCAGCCTCTTGAGTAGCTGGGACTACAGGCACCCACCACCACACCTGGCTAATTTCTTTTTGTATTTTTAGTAGAGATGGGGTTTCACCGTGTTAGCCAGGATGGCTGTGATGTCCTGACCTTGTGATCCACCCGCCTCGGCCTCCCAAAGTGAATTTATTCTTTTCTTTTACATTTTCTAGTTTGTGTGCCTTGGGTGTTCATAGTCATCTCTGAGGGTTTTCTGTATTTTTGTGGTGTCATTGATAACATCCACTTTGTCATTTCTGATGGTATTTTTGTGGATCTTCTCTCTTTTTTCATTATTAGTCTGATTGTGTTCTATCTATCTTGTTAATTTTTCAAAGAACCAGTTCCTGGATTTGTTGATCTTTTGTATAGTTTTTCATGTCTCAATATACTTCAATTTAGTTTTGATTTTGGTTATTTCTTGTCTTCTGCTAGCATTGGGATTGGTTTGCTCTTGTTGCTCTAGTTCCTCTAGTTGTAATGTTAGGTTGTTAATTTGAGAATGTTCTAACTTTTTTTATTGGTCTTTTCCTTTCCATATTTAGTACATTTTTGATGTGGGTATTTAATGCTATAAATTTCCCTCTTAACAGCACCTTAGCTGGTCCCAGAAATTCTGTATGTTGTATCTTTGTTCTCATTAGTTTCAAAAAAGTTCTAGGTTTCTGCCTTAATTTCATTATTTACCCAGAAGTGATTCAGGAGCAAGTTGTTTAACTGCCATATAATTGCAGGATTTTAAGTAATTTTCCTAGTTTGATTTCTACTTTTATCGCACTGTGGTCCCAGAATGTGGTTGGTATGATCTGTTTTCTTTTTTAATTTACTGAGGATTGTTTTATGTCTGAGTGTGTGGTCAATTTTAGTGTGTGTGCCATGTGGCTATCAGAAAAATGTATGTTTCGTTGTTTTGGGGTGAAAAGTTCTGAAGATGTATATTAGGTACATTTGATCAAGTGTTGAGTTCAGGTTCTGAATATCTTTGTTAATTTTGTGCCTGATAATCTGTTAAAAACTGTCAGTAGTGAGGTCTCCCACTATTATTGTGTGGGAATCTAAGTCTTTTTATAGGTATCTAACAACTTGCTTTATGAATCTGGGTATTCCTGTGTTGGGTATGTACATATTTAGGTTAGTTAGGTCTTCTTGTTGAATTGAACCCTTTAATGTTATATAATGTCCATCTTTGTCTTTTTTTATATTTGTTGGTTTAAAGTCTGTTTTGTCTAAAATTAGGTTACAAATCCCTGCTTTTTTTCTGTTTTCCATTTGCTAGTTAGATTTTTCTCCATCCTTTTCTTTTGAGCCTATGAATGTCATTGAATGTGAGATGAGTCTCTTGAAAACAGCATGTTATTAGGTCTTGCTTCTTTATCTAGCTTGCCACTCTGTGCCTTTTAATTGGGGCATTTAGCTCATGTATGTTCAGAAGTAGTATTGATATGTACAGATTTGACCCTGTCATCTTGTTCTTTGCTGGTTATTATGCAGTCTTGTTTATGTGGTTGCTTTATTGTGTCATTAGCATATGTACTTAAGTGTGTTTTTGTAGTGGCTGGTACTAGTCTTTCTTTTCCATATTTAGTGCTTCTCTCAGAAACTTGTAAAGCAGATCTGGTGATAACAATTTTCCTTAGTGTTTGCTTGTCTGAAAAGGATTTTATTTCTTCCTCACTTATCAAGCTTAGTTTGCCTGGGTATGAAATTATTGGATGGAAATTATTTAAGAATGCTAAATATATGTACCTAATCTCTTCTGCTCTATAGGGTTTCTGCTGAAAGGTCTGCTGTTAGCTTGATATGGTTCCCCTTTTAGGTGACTTACCTCTCTCTAGCTGCCTTTAATATTTTTTCTTTCATTTTGACCTTGGAGAATCTGATGATTATCTGAGTTGGGGATGAACTTTTTTGTGCAGTATTTTGCAGAGCTTCTCTGCATTTCCTGAATTTGAATTTTGCCTCTCTACTAATATTGAGGAAGTTTTCATAGATGATATCCTGAAATGTGTGTTCCAAGTTGCTTGATTTCCCTCATCTCTTTCAGTAATGCAATAAATCATAAATTTGATCTCTTTATAAAATCCCATATTTCTCAGAGGTTTTGCTCATTCTTTTTTACTTGTCTTACTTTACTTTCTTTTACTTCTGTCTGACTGAGTTAGCTTAGAGAACTGGTCTTTGAGTTATGAGATGATTTCCTCAGATTGGTCTATTTTGCTTTTAATACTTGTGATTGTATGATAAAATTATTCTACTGTATTTTTTCACCTCTATTAGATCCGTTTGGTTCTTTTGTAAAATGGTCATTTCACCTGTCAGCTCTTCTATCATTTTATTGTAATTCTCAGATTCCTTGGATTGAGTTTTGACTTTCTCCTGAACCTCAATGATCTTTATTCATATCAATATTCTGAATTATATTTCTGTCATTTCAGTCATTTCAGCCTGGCTAAGATCTGTTGCTGTGGAACTAGTACAGTTGTTTGGAGGAAGGAAGATACTATAGCTTTTTAAGTTACCAGAGTTCTTGCATTGCTTCTTTCTCATCTATATGAGCTGGTGTTCCTTCAACTGTGGTGTAATTTGTGAATAGTCAGTAGACTTCTTTTCTGGATGTTTTCAGAGGGCCAAGCGTTTGTGCCTAGTCTTAATTTCTAGCAAAATTCTTGTCCTTAGTTTCACAAGGGATTATATTAGCAAATTATTTTTTGTGTGTTGGAGTTTGGGCTGTAATCCAGTAAATGACACTTAAGTGTAGTGGCCATAGGTAGGCTCTTCCTCAGCTCCATGGCTTTTCTGTATTTCCTCACAACTGCAGCCATGCTCCCTCTCAATGCTCTAAATGTGTGGTCTCCTCTCCTATGTGAGTACTGACTATGGATTTCAGCTTGGCACTCCCACACTGCACACTGTAGCTCTGAGGCCAGCTCAAGTTTTATGTTTCCTACTCAGCTTGGAGGCTGCAGGAGAAGGTACCTTAGCAGTGTTTGTGGCAGGGGCCTTTGACTTGTCTCCTGGGGCTCCACTGCAGAGAAATGCAGAGCTGCTATCCATCAGTACAATCAGCCTTGGAATGGGGTGGCTGTGATTTAGACCCAAGCCTCAGTTGGTGGACGGCAGTGGGACTCTCTCTGGTGTTAAGCAGTGGGGTGGGTGGATCACATAGGAGACAGACGGGCCTCTCCTCCTTAGGGCAACTCCAGCTTGATGGTGATCTGGTTAAAGCACTCAGGGTCTTTGCTCCTTCCCCAGTCTCAGAGCAGCAAGGGTAGCACCACTGCAGCAGCAGTGGCAGAGGGGATTTTGGTTGCCACTGGGAGTTCTACCTCAAAGAAATGCAGAGCGGCCACTGCTGGGGATTTTCTTCCAAGAGGTGGGATCACTGTGCTGCTGGCCTGATTTGGGAGCTCTGCTTCTTGAGGAGCAAGAGATCAAGGGCTTGCAGGGAGGAGAGACTGGGCTCCTTTTCATCTGGTGACTGTGCCATGCTCAAAGCACAGGTGAAGCCCTAGGGATCTTTGTTTCTTCCCTAGACCAAGGGCAGCAGGGGCAGAACTACTGCAGTTACAGTGGAAGAGAGGCTGTCAATTGCCTCTTGGAGGCCTCCACCCACCTCAGGAAACTCAGGCACTAACAGTGGGTATGCTCAGCCATGGGTGGGGTGACTGATCTGTGATCCTGAGCCGGGGCCCTGCCTGGTGAAGAGTGAGGACTGGAGGCCCACAAGGAAGAGAGATTGGATTTCTTTCCATATGGGGACTGCAGTGTGTTGCAGCTGTCAGTGTAGGAACTAGATCCTTTATTCCGTCCCCAAGGGTGGTTAGAGTGGTACTACAGCAACTGCAACGTCAAAGGGGTTGTGGGGATTTCTGCCTCAGAGAAATGCAGAGCTGCCTCTGACTGAAGTGTCCAGGAAGGGCAGGGTAGTTGTTAAGCTATTAATTTTAAATGGTTCAATTAGTTCATGGCTTGAAACTTATAATCTTAGAAAAATAATATTTTATAACATGTAACAAAAATCTAAATATATATAGACTTGTTTAAATTCAGTTAAGATGAAGGGGAATGCAATTTTCATAGTCTTGAATTTCTAATTATTTCAGCATCTACCCATTTAACCACACTTTGAAAATAAGTATAATTTTTATAATTATAAGTTTATAATAAGCCTATAAACTTTTTGATCTACTAAATGATAATAATGAATATCCTATAATATTTGCAAGGAGGGCTCAATAAGTTTTACTTAAATTGTATAATTTGATATCAGCTCAATTTAAGAATTAACATTTCCGTTTGTCTATTTCTTGGTTGGTTGATTTATTTTCCAGAGACGAGAAGAGAGAATGGCATTCAAATTTTATTTAAAAGATATTTACTGTAATGAGCATATCTGCCCCCTATATTTTGGTTTCTAGTTTCCATTCCTCATTAAAATAAGCTAGAAATTTTTAAAGAAATGGCTAATTTTATGACTAGGTTAGGGAAAGCACCTGTGCCAGAAAGCAATAAAGTATACTAAAACGTGTGTGTGTGTGTATGTGTGTGTGTGTGTGTGTCTGAAGGCAAGGTAAAAGGTTATAAAAGCCAGCATGAAGAGGCTCTGTCTGTCTAAATCTGGGAAAATATGAGCACACACCAAAATAAAGTAATGGATTACAACCTACTTCCTTGGAACACAATGCCAATTAATAAATATAGAAGGAATAATGGAGCAAAAAAATTATAATTTTGCAACCATTATAGTAAAAGTATATTCAAGCAAAAAGTATTAATGTCTGCCAGATTGGAGGGAAGGGGTAGATTTGAAAATAAATCTACATATAAATCTACATAGTCTTCAAGTATCTAATAAAAGATTCCTTTTATTAAGGCTAGTCATTCATGGGTAGAACATACATTTCTTAGTACAATTAATTCCCTCAAGATTATAGATTTAAATTATTCATGAAATGCAAGTTAAAACATTTTACATAGGTCTGTAACTATATATAATATGCTAATGGATAGATAAATAATGGAAACATCATAAGAAATACATTTTATGATACTTCAAGAAAGCATATAGATAACAATAACCAATCAATTTACTAAACTAAATAGTTTTGCTAATGACACCTTGACTTCAGTTTCGACATTTCCAGTTTTGTAAGAAGAATCACATAGACTTCATTACATTTAGTTAAGTTTTCTAAAAGGTAGTACATGCAAAGCTAATGCAACCAATAAGTTGTTTCTTTATATAGAAACTTTCTAGGCTAAGCCTGCTATTTCTATCTTAATTGGTTTTGTATTAATTAGGACAATCATGATCATAAATTATATCAGATGGTTATGTGACATGGAAAGACAAGTTCATAAGATTCTCTTGGTTTCTGTCTTACCTTTCCTTACTCTTTGTCTCTTAGTCAGCATTGCCTCTCTCTTCTTGCCTCTAAATGTGAGAAGACCTCAAGACTCTCTCAGCCATTCTCCTTTTATTACTCTGGTCTTCCTTTTATTCATCATTATTCATACATGTCACTTCAGTTACCACCTACATGAGAATGACTCAAACTTTCCATTGCCATTCCAACTCTCTTTTCTGAGGTTCAATCTTGTAGATGCAGTTGCCTATTTAATAGCTCTTCTTGGATCTTCCAAAGGGGTGTCAATCTCCAACTCTCTTTACTTAAATTGGCTCTTCTGGAAGTGTCTTTATCCCTGTGATTGGTACCACCTACACCTCCACCTCCAGCTTTGCCCCCACCTCTCATTCATTAACTTATCTGCTATTGAATAGCCTCTGCCTGGTCTGCTCTCACCCACTCAGGCACCTCTTCACTCTGTTCTGCACACAGAAGCCTGATAATATAATCCTCCTCTCCTGATTAAAGTGCTTCAACAGGATGTCCTTTCCCTACTTTATGTTTTTGTTTGCTTTGTCAGTGATCAGTTGGCTGTAAATATTTGGCTTTTTCTGGGTTCTCTATTCTTTTCCATTGGTCTGCGTGCCTATTTTTATATCAGTACCATGCTGTTTCAGTAACTATAGTCTTATAGCATAGTTTCAAGTGGGATTATGTGATGCCTCCAGATTGGTTATTTTTGCTTAGTCTTGCTTTGGCTATGCTGCCTCTTTTTAGGTTCCATATAAATTTTAGGATTGCTTTTTCTAGTTCCGTAAAGAATGATGAAGGTACTTTGATGGGAATTGCATTGAATATGTAGATTGCTTTTTGCAGTATGATCATTTTTGCAATATTGATTCTACCCATCCATGAGCATGGTATGTGTTTCCATTTGTTTGTGTTGCTAATGATTTATTTCAGTATTGTTTTGTAGTTTTCCTTGTAAAGATCTTTTACCACCTTGGTTAGGTATATTTCTAAGTATTTTTCTTTGCAGCTATTATAAAAGGGATTGAGTTCTTGTTTTTTTTCTCAGCTTGGTGGTTGTTGGTGTATAGCAGTGCTACTGATTTGTGTACATTGATTTTGTATCCTGAAACTTAACTGAATTCATCTTGTTACTCTATTCACCAAATGGTGCTGGGATAATTTTCAAGCATCATGTAGAAGGATGAAACTAGATCCTCATATTTTTTCTTAAACAAAAATCAACTCAAGATGGACCAAAGACTTATATCTAAGATTTGAAACCATAAAGACTCTAGAAGATAGTATTGGAAGAACTCTTCTAGACATTGACGCAAGCAAAGAATTCATGATCAAAAACTCAAATCCAACTGCAACAAAAAACAAAAATAAATATATGGGAACTCATTAATTTAAAAAAGCTTCTGCACAGCAAAAGAAACAATCAGCGGAGTAAACAGACAACCGACAGAGTGGAAGAAAGTATTCACAATCTATGCATTTGACAACGGACTAATATCCAGAATCTACAAGGAACTCAAACAAATCAGCAAGAAAAAAAAACCCAAATAATCCCATCAAAAAGTGGGCTAAGGACATGAATAGACAAACCTCAAAAGAAGATATGCAAATGGCCAACAAACATATGAAAAAATAAATGCTCAACATCACTAATGTTCAGGCAAATGCAAATTAAAATCACAATAAGATACCACCTTACTCCTGCAAGAATGGCCATAATAAAAAAATCAAAAAAATAATAGATGTTGCTATGGATGTGATGAAAATGGAGCACTTTCACTGCTGGTGGGAATGTAAACTAGTACAACCACTATGGAAAACAGTATGGAGAGATTCCTCGAAGAGCTAAAAGTAGAATCATCATTTGATCCAGCAATCCCACTACTGTATATCTACCCAGAGGAAAGGAAGTCATTATATGAAAAAGACACACATGCATGTTTACAGAAGCACAACTTGCAACTGAAAAAATATGGAACAAGCCTAAATGCCCATAAACCAATGAATAGTTAAAGAAAATGTGGTATATATACACCATGGAATACTACTCAGCCATAAAAAGGAATAAAATAATGGCATTAGCAGCAACCCGTATGGAGTTGCAGATCATTATTCTAAGTGAAGTAACCCACGAATGGAAAACCAAATATCATATGTTCTTACTTATAAATGGGAGCTAAGCTATGAAGACACAAAGGTGTAAGAATAATACAATGGACTTTGGGGGCTCAGGGGGAAGGGTGTGTTAGGGATGAGAGATAAAAAACTAAGCATTGGGTAAGGTGTACACTGCTTGGGTGACGGGTTCACCAGAATCTCAGAAATTACCCTTGAAGAATTTATCCATGTAACCAAAAAATAAAAAATAAAATGTTTCAACAGCTTTCTAATGCTCTCAAGCAGGGTAAAGTGGTTCTTATTCCTACCTCCTTCTCTTGTCTCCTCCCTTTCTTTTTTGTTGAATACCTGTTCATCTCTAAATTTCAGATAATCTCCTTGCTGATCAATGCTGCATAATTCCATGGTGCTTTCCCAACATGGTGCCTTTTCTCATGCAGCTCTCTCTTGCTAAAATTCACTTTTGTCTTCACTTAGCAAAATCATAATGTCTTCAGATATCAAGTTTAAGCATCGCATCCTCAGTCTCAAGAAATCCTTCCCCATCCTCCTAAAAATGATGTCCAACTCTCTGTAGATTCTCCGACCATTATGTATCTTTCCTTTACAGAACTTACACAAAATCATTTTAACATATGTGATGGTATGATGATCTTTATTCCAAAAAAAGAAAAAGCCTCTAGATTCTAAGCTCCATGAGGGGGAAAAAAAGGTCTGTGTTTAATCACACTGAATCTTTAGACACAACAGGGTGCTTAGCACATGTTCGGTACTCCATAAATACCTATAAATACCTACTGAGTAAATGAATGATTGAATGATCCATCTCTGTTTCCTAAGCAGTCAACCTCATTTACATATGTATTAGAATGAGGACCAAACTGAGAAAAGATATGGAAACAGGTGGGATATCTGACAGAAAGACTATTGCTAGAAGCATTGAGCCACACTGAATTGAAAATCATCAAATTTTATTTCCACAAAAAATAATATCCCCCAAGATCCTCCTTTCACAAGTGAGGAAACTATAAGGCGCTGGCCTGACTGCTCTAAGTGCAAATCATAATAAGATTTGCTTTCAGAAATTTGTGATAATCTAAGAAATGATAGGCACTGTGCTGTTTGTGTGCCAAATATAATTGAATTCTCCTGACCAGTTATTCTTAACCACAGATCAGAAAACTGTAGCTTAAAGGGTTAAACAACTAGTCAGTATTATATGGCTATTAAACAGCATCCTGCTTGTATTTGCCTCTATCCCAAATCATGCTCTTGCGACTACCCTAAAATAGTTAATTCGATTCATGTAATTCTTCTTCATTTTCTTCAGGTGTCTCCTAAAATATAAACCCATTTTATCACTTATTGTCTCATTCAGACATTGCATTTTTCACCAACCCCACATCTAGATACAATTTTCATTTATTTTCTCTCTCGACTCTGGTGTCTGTGTCTTCTGGGACCCAATTTCATGACAAAACACATTCTCCTATAGTATTAGCCTGTTCATAGCACCCTGATTTACCGAAACTTGAGTCTTCCTAGTGGATATTCCTGTTATCTGCTGTCTATGGAGTGGAGGCTTCTTTTTCCCCACTTAAGTGTCTTTTTGTATGAGAGAGAGAGAGAAAAAGAAAGAGAGAGAGAGAGACAAAGACAGAGAGAGAGAGACTAGATTCTGAGTTGCAGTGGAAAGAGTAATTGAGCTATCTTTTTATTCTGGAAAGGACACTCAAGTGGAACTTAAGATCAATAATATTTGGTTGATCTCCATCCAATTCAATCAAGTTTAAATATTGTATGAAAAAAAAAGAAGATAGTGAAATGGTATAGGTAGAAGGGATCTTGGGATTCATTTTGTCAGCTCTTTAATTTTCCTCATAAGGAGATTGAGCTCCAAAAAAATTTGATACCTGACAAGTTTAAATAAGTAATCAGTGGCAGAGATAGGACTAAACTTTATGTGTACCAACTAATAATGTGTTAAAATAATACTGAGACTTTTTAAAAATCAAGTTAGATTAAACATTTAATACCTTCTATCTGGCATATGTTCTCTCGTTTAACCAAACTTTCTTCACATGATGATTTTTTAAAATAAATAGGTTAGTTTAGTCAAGGTTCATGACACCATCACTTCTGAGATCTAAGGCCTATCATTATGTAAATTTTCATATGCTCAAAGAAACACAGACTGATTTTTTTTGTTTTTACTCTGAATTATCTCAGTATTTAATCAGAACCACAGAATAATCACAAATTTGACTTTTTTTAAAAAATATTATTCACAATTTATAAAGAAGATAATCTCACTGGGTGTAGAAACATGGACATATTCTTCTTTGTACACTAAAACAAAAACAAAACAAAAAGTAATCCCTGGCATAATATAAGTTTGCCATATAGTCCTATACATTTTCATTTCACAAATGAGTTGAATATTTCCAACTTTATATTTGTTAAAAAACATGGATTAACATATATTATATTAAAATATAATTATTAATTGTTTTTCAGGGGTAGTTATTGGTCGTACTAAATATTCATATGTTTTGTCCATTCTCACGTGACTACTTTTGACATGAAATAGATGAGTAAAATTTGAGAAAGCCTACTGGCCACATGGGTACTGAATATGTAAACTTGGTTTCCATTTTAACCAACTCTAATGAAATCATTGACCATAGCCTGGAAGAGTTTAAAATAACAGGATTTATTGTTGTGACGGGGGATTTTTAGTACAGAATATTGAATTATTTAAGCCTTGTCTACTGAGAGGGTTCAATTTGACAATCGATGGTGCTACTATCATTGACATCACTTATTCTACACACATTTATTGAGCTTTTCTATAATTTAATCAGAGTTCTAAATGCTGAGGAGATAAAGTGACACAAGACCTAGGCCCTGCCCTCATAAAGCTCATAATCTAATAGCTAAGCCAAAATAGCAACCCAACAAGGACAGTGCAGTGTAACAAATGTTCTAAGATTAAAGATCCCAAGACACTGAGAGAACCCGGAGAAGGTATATGGAATTCAGCATGTAGGGAAGAGGAAGCGAGGTGAAGGGAGAGGATGTTGGGAAGAAAAACAAGGGACTAAATAACACAGACTCCATCACTGTTTAATGTGATGTAATCTGCTAGGGAGGATCCAATGTCAGCTGTAACAGGCAGCTTATCAAGCCTGACAGCTGGTAAAGAAAGTGGTCTCTTGGAAACTGCAATTTAGCAAGATCTAGTGGAGCTTCTCTTTGATTCAATCCTCTTGGCTGTGAGCTGAATTAAGTGTCAAATGTTCAATAAATTTGTTAAAATAAAACATCATTGCCAAGAAGAATTTTTTTTAGCTCTGACCAGTCTTAGCCAAATACTTGAGCACAAGTGTCTCTTTCTTCCATAAATGACAGTTAGGGGACAGTTTAGTGAACTGACTCAAAGAAGGGGGTAATATTGTCACTCAGATGACTGACTCTCTGGTTTTTTTTTTTTTTTTTTTTTTTTGGCAATGCTTAAAATAATACTTGGGCCAAAATGTCTGGATTCAAGTGTCTATGGTATTAGCTCAGGTGAAAATACTCTGTATAATACTATTTTTCTAAAATAAAAATGTATATATGAGGAAACTTCAAACAGTTGTCAGAAACATGGAATTAAATGATGAAAATAAAAATATAAACTTTATATATCAACACAAGCTCCACTAAGTTTGACACTTTTGTAAGTGATGATACTAGACATTTAGTTCGTCCCTAAAGACTTGAGGGTCTTAGGAATTTAACCATATCAATGTAGTCTTTTTTTACATTGTTAACTGAAGAAAAATGGATGCCCTTCACAGATTTTTTTAAGATTGAGAAACAAACAGAAGTCAGAAAGAGCCTAATTATGACTTAAAGATGAATGCCTAATATGGCTTGGATTTGTGTCCCCAGTCAAATCTCATGCCAAATTGTAATTCCCAGTGTTGGAGGACGCGTCTGGTAGGAGGTGATTGGCTCATGGTGGCAGATTTCCCCCTTGCTGTTATCGTGTTACTGAGTGAGTTCTCATGAGATTTGGTTGTTTATAAAGTGAGTAGCACTTCCAACTTTTCTCCCTCGTCCTCGGGCTCCAGCCAGGTAAGATGTGCCTCCTTCCACTTTGCCTTCCACCAAGATTGTAAGTATCCTGAGGCCTCCTCAGCCATGCTTCCTGTACAGCTTGTGGAACTGTGAGCCAATTAAACCTCTCTTCTTATAAATTACCCAGTTTCAGATATTTCTTTCTAGCAGTGCAAGAACAGACTACTACAGAAAATTGGTACCAGGAGTGGTGTATTGCTAAAAAGATACCTAAAAATGTGGAAACGACTTTGGAACTGGGTAACGAGCAGAGGTTGGAACAGTTTGGAGGACTCAGAAGAAGACAGGAAGATGAGGGAAAGTTTGGAACTTCCTAGAGACTTGTTAAATTGTTGTGACCAAAATGTTAATAGTGATATGGACAATGAAGTCCTGGCTGAGGAGGTCTCCGATAGAGGTGAGGAACTTATTGGGAACTGGAGCCAAGGTTACTTCTGTTATGCATGAGCCAAGAGATGATCTGAAACTGGAACTTTAAAAGGGAAGGAGAGTGTAAAATTTTGGGAAATTTGCAGCTTTACCATGGAAAAACCCATAAAAAGGAAAAACCCATTTTCTCGAGGAGGAATTCAAGCTAGCAGCAGAAATTTGTGTAAATAAAGAGGAAGCAAATGTTGATAGCCAGCATAATGGGGAAAATGCTTCAAAGGCATTACAGAGACCTTTGAGGCAGCCCCTCTCATCACAGGTCCAAAGGTTTAGTAGGGAAGAATGGTTTTGTGGGCCAGGTCCAGGGCCCTGCTGATCTGCACAGCCTCAGGACATAATGTCCTGCATCATGGATACTCCAGCTCCAAGCAGCCATGGCTAAAAGAGGCCAAGGTACAGCTTGGGCCATGGCTTCAGAGGGTGCAAGCCCCCAGCCTTGGAGACTTCCATGTGGTGATGGGCCTGTGCATGCACAGAGAGCAAGAGCTGAGGCTTGCTCTCTGTGCACCTGCAGGCCCATCACCACATGGAAGCCACCAAGGCTGGGGGCTTGCACCCTTTGAGGCTCCACCTAGATTTCAGAGGATGTATGGAAATGTCTGGATGTCCAAATAGAAATGTGCTGCAGCAGCTGAGCCCTCATGTAGAACCTCTATTAGGGCAGGACAGATGGGAAAGGTGGGGTTGGAGCCCTGATGCAGTCTCCACTGGGGCACTGAATAGTGGAGCTGTGAGAAGAGAGCCATCATCTTCCAGACCCCAGAATGATAAATCCACCGACAGCTTGCAACATGTGCCTGGAAAAGATGTAGATACTCAACGCCAGCCCATGAAAGCAGCTGTGGGGACTGTACCATGCAGAGCCACAGGGGTGGAGCTGCTCAAGGCCTTAGGAGCCCACCCCTTTCCTCAGTTTGGCTTGGATGTGAGACATGGAGTCAAAGAGGATTATTTTGGAGCTTTAACATTTAATGACTGCTCTGCTGTATTTTGGACTTGCATGGGGTCTTTAGCCCCTTTGTTTTGGCTGATTTCTCCCTCTTAGAGTGGGTGTATTTAACAATGCCTATACCCCCATTGTATCTTGGAAGTAACTAACTTATTTTTGATTTTACAGGCTCATAGGTGGAAGGGACTTGCCTTGTCTAAGGTGAGACTTTGGACTATGGATTTTTTAGTGAATGCTGAAATGAGTTAAGGCTTGGGGGACTGTTGAGAAGAAAGGATTCTGTTTTAAAACATGAGAAGGACATGAGATTTTGGAGGGGCCAGGGGCAGAATGATTGGTTTGGACTTGTGTTCCTGCCCAAATCGCATGTTGAATTGCTATCCCCAGTGTTGGAGGAGGGGCCTGGTGGAAGGTGATTGTATCATGAGGGAGGATTTCCATCTTGCTGTTCTCATTGTAGTGAGTGAGTACTCATGAGATCTGGATGTTTATAATATGTGTAACACTTCCTCCTCCTCGCCATCTTTCTCCTGCTCCAGCCATGTAAAATGTGCCTCCTCCAAGTTAGTACAAGCTTATGTTGGTGCAAACAATTTTGAAATGCAAGCATAATTTTTTTCTCCCTTTCCCTTTCCCTTTCCCTTTCCCCCTCCCCCTCCCCTCCCCTCCCCCTCCCCTCCCCTCCCCTCCCCTCCCCCCTCCCCTCCCTTTCCTTTCCTTTCCTTTCACTTTTTCTTCCTTTCTTTCTTTCTTTCTTTCTTTCTTTCTTTCTTTCTTTCTCTTTCTTTTTTTTTTTTTTTTTGATACAGGGTCTCACTTTGTCACCCAGGTTGCAGTGCAGTGGTGCAATCTGAGCTCACTGCAGCCTCAGCATCTTAGGCTGAGCCCAGCCCCTCAAGTAAGTGAGACTACAGGCTCATGGCATTATGCCTAGCTAATTTTTTGTGTTTTTTGTAGAGATGGACTTTCACCATATTACCCAGGCTGGTCACAAACTCCTGAGCTCAAGTGATCTGCCTGCCTCAACCTCCCAAAGTGCTGGGATTACAGGCATGAGCCACCATGCTTGGCCAGTTTTTTCATAATATGCATTTTCCATGAAATTTTTGAAGACCTCTCATATTTCATCACCAGCTAATATTTAGGTCCTATCATCCTTTTAAAAGCTTCCTTTTACTTCCATTTTTTCCATTTGCATTCCTAGGATCAAATATATAGCTATACAAAATATATTTAAAAATATATCCTTTTGGGGTCTCGTAAGTGCATGAAAATATCATTTTGTTGGCTAATGGACTTGGATAAAGCCTTGGGCCAGATGTATCCATCTACATATATGAAAATAATCATCACTTCTTCACATATTGTTAACAAGTTATTGATACATTTTCTATGAGCTTAGATTTATTATGAAAATTATTTTTCTATCTAAAAGAGACTTGCAAGACAATTTGGCCAAACCCCTTATTTGACTTGTGAGGCAATTAGAGTCTAGAAAAAGCTGGCATTTATCCAGATTCTTATAGTTAGAATATATCTGAAATACGGCAGATTTCTCTACCCACTGTGCCTATGAACCTGCCACTATAACTATATTTATAAAAGCCAACTGTAGTGTTCTTTCTTTAAAATATGTACAATCAATTCTGCTATAGTGGTTATTTTGAAAACACAAATTTGTTCCAACACAATTGACATTTTAGAAACAATGTGGGCATAATACAAATTTCATGGTTGTTTATGCCTGGTTTTTTCCATAAGAAGTTCTAGTTGGTGCAAAAATTGTCACCCAGCTGAAAGGAGCCACATAGGAATACAATCATATGCCACATAACAATGTTTAGATCAATGATAGACTGCATATATGAGAGTGGTCTCATAAGATTATAATGCCATATTTGTACTGTACCTTTTCTATATTTAGATATGTTTAAATAAACAAATACTTAGCATTGTATTACCATTGCCTACAGTATTCAGTACAGTAGCATGCTGTACAGGTTTGTAGCCTAGGAGAAAATAGGCTGCTATAGCCTGGGTCTAGTAGGCTATACCATCTAGGTTTGCGTAAGTATACACTATGATGTTTGCACAAGGACAAAATTGCCTAAAAACACATTTCTCAGAACATATCCCTGTCACTAAGTGATGCATGACTGCACATAAAATGCATACATCTCAAACATCTGCCAGCTACCTAAGTCAACCATGTATCTTATAAACCACACTCATTGAGGTAGACAGAATAGGCCCCCAAAATGTCCATTCCCTGATCCTAGGAACCGATGAATATTATGTTATATGGTGAAAGGACTTCATAGATTTAATGGAAGTTACTAATCATTGATGTAATTTAAAAAAGATTATTCTGGGTTATACAATGGGCCTAATCTAATCACATGAGCCCTTAAAAACAGAGCTTTCTCTGGCTAGAGCAAGAAATATGAAACAGAAGGAGAGTTCCCAAGCACTGGAATGGTTTGACATACAGTCACTGGTTCTGAGATGCAGGGACCACATGTATGGACTAGAGAGAGGCCTGTAGGAACAAGGAAGCCTTCATCTAACAGCTAATAGGAAAATTGGGACTTCACCTTGTATCCCTCAAGAAATGGCTTCTGCAGCAACTGGATGAACTTGGAAGTGGATTGAATCCTTCCCAGAGGATCCCGTGGAAAAAACCGCCTTGCCAACACGTTGATTTTGAAACCTGAAGCAGAGAACCAGCTGAACTACACTATGCCCAGACTTCTGACTCATGGAAACTGCCAAATCTGTGACTAAGGAAAGACAAACATATCTTTTCACATCTGGTGTGACAAGTTTTCATCCAATTTCGTATAATTCTCTTTGTGGCATTTCACAATAACTCACAAACTGCAACCTTTCTAATGCCCACTTTCACAGGCAAACTCCAGGGATTTTTAAACATAAAATTTAAACATAAAATGTCATATTTATTGAATATTTGTGTGTATCTTAATCATTAAACACATGTAAAACTTTGCCACCATTTTTATTATGTTTTCTCCTTTTTTGTATGTGTCATGGATAAAGTTTCTCAGTTTCATGCCCCATTTTTTCTGTAACCCTAGTGGTTTTTATTATACAATTTTGCCTAGCATGATTAGTTTTAAGAATGCATATATTTTGGTCTCTTTCTCTCTCTATCTCTATCTCTCTCTAAATATATATATATATATATATTACATCTCTCTATAATGTTATAGACCCATTTCATAATATAATATATTGCAATTGTTACATGGAACAATTATTTATGCAATTGTTATATGGAACAATTATATACGCAATTGTTCCTTAGTGTGTGTATATATATGTGTGTGTGTATATATATATAATATATATATGTGTGTGTATATATATAAAATATATATATGTATGTGTATATATATGTGTGTGTATATACATTTGGTATACATACATTTGGTATATATAATATATATATGTGTGTGTGTGTGTGTGTGTGTGTGTGTGTGTGTGTGTGTGTGTGTGTATAGTTGTAATGCTGTGGCTTCTACTTCTTATGTCTTGGAAATGGGTCCGTTGGATATAATCTGAATTTATATGGTGCTAATTAGTTTCATGACATAATTACGCTATAAAATGTCTCTTACTTCTAGAGCTTCATAGATGCTTCTTTTTTGAAGCAACATTATTGCTCTCTACTTCTTCTTAGGGGAAGCTGTAAGAGTTAGGTGTCTTCCATGGGCTTTCATGTTATCCTATTTATATAAAGATTCAGCTCATCATTCTGTGTATTAATTGCCCATGCATTTTCCTAAATCCTTGTTGGATTACAAGCTTTAAGAAGACAGATACCACATCTATTTTATTTTTTCATATTGGTGTATCAACACTCTGGCTTTTGCTTAACACATAAAAATATACAATCAACATTTGTTTAATGAAAATACTATAAATAATTGAAAATATAAACGATAATTCAACACTATGTGTATTCCTATCTTCTCACAATGTGTATGGCTGAGCAGATATAATAAAATTTTCTTTTAATTACTAGAACCGTTTATTTCAACATTCCCTTCTATGCATATTTTAGAATTCTTTCACCAAAAATATGCATCTAACTCTAGTAATAGTTATGTGAGATTCTTCAGGCCGTGACATAGAGCAAAGTATTTGTTGAGACATAGAACATAGAATAAAAATTGTTTCTTATCTCTTTAGGTCAGATTCCAAGTATACTATTTCCTAAAGCTTTATAATTGGTAATCATTGTTTAAAGATAAAATTAGCTACATAATTTGGCTTAGTAGTTCTTCTAAGGTGCCTATGATGATGTGAGATAGACAGGCTTCAATTTATGAGCAATCTAGGCAAGGATAGCTTACTCAACCTGCAAATTACTTGCAAAATACATGAAATGTTTATAGCTCTAGTTGAAAATACTATACCAAAATGTTTCTGGGGTCACATTAAAAATGATTGAATGGTTTGAAAACTGTTCATCTTGTAGTTTGTTTCAGGAGAGAAAAGCCAGATAAACAGTTTGGTATTTTGCAACTGCTTCTTAGTATCAACATGACTAGAGGCCAGAGGCTGGAGAAGAACACAGCATATAATCGAAAATGGAATAGTCCAATCTTTACACACCCATAGCATATTTTAACTATATTCTTTAAAAAATTTATATGCAAGTAGATGATAGTTGATCATATTTGTATGAATTCTATCTTCAGGGAGTAACAAATTTAGAACTGTGTGAGCAAAGAGTACAAATGAAAGGAGAGTAACAGAAGTAATCCCTATCCTTATGGAATTTATAATCTAGTTAGTAGATAATAAAATAATAATCTAAACAGAAGAATAGCCCAGGAAGAACAAGACATGAGAAGGCACTAAACAGTGTGACACAGATGCAGAAGCTGGATTCAAAATTCTATATTTGAGAGAAGAGAATGAGAACACTGAGGACAGGAATAGTCAGAAAGACCACTCTGCTAGGAGATCTCTTTGCTCAGATAAAAACCAGGAAGCCAATGGTTTGTAACTTGGGCAACTGTTCACTGGGAACCCAAATGAGTCTGCCAGCTTACTTTGCATTCATCGAACAACCAGCAGCTCATAAAAAAAACTTTCAGCCATTGCTGACCTTGATTAGAATTGAGGCTGGAGCTAAAGAAAAAAAGTGAGCTTTCTGTGTTCCAATTCTCTATTCCACTCATTCTCTCCAGATCCTGGTTGTGGGCTAAGCTCTGCTTAACCACAGAGTGCAAGAAAGAGATGCAGCTTTTTAGGTATGTGATAACAACAATCATAAATAAGTACAAACACACATATACCTGCAAGCAAATAGAGGAGCACAGATGGTACAAGAGAATCTTTCTATAGGTCTTGAGCCAGACCCCATTACTCTCTGTTTCATATAATGGCCTTGTGCAGTAACTGTGGACCATCACACTGCACAGATGGAAGAGAGAGTTAGAGGGCTATTGAACATGTGAATTTTCCCAATGTGTCACAATTACAGAAACATCTGTGCTAAATATTTTCAAGCTGATCCACTATAAAAATTGGCAATGTTCAATAGCACTCAATGTCTTCTCTTTCCCTGGTGGGAAAGCAGTCTAATGATTGCATTTGGGACTATAGCATAAGGCATGTACCTATGCAGATTGCTTGCTGTTTAAAGGGGCCTCATTTGCATTATGCTGTTTGTAATGTTCTTTCTTTATCCCTCCTCCTTTCTTTTTTGCTTGCAAATGTAAACTGAAAGAGAAATCAAACCATTTGCTGCAGTTGTCATTGAAATGTTTCCCAGGGCTCAATTAATGGAATGACCTAGGCAGGGGCAAGAAAGAAGAGAGCAGTAAGGTCTCTTGACATTAATTGTAGACTGTGCTGGCTGTCAATTTTGATTATATTGAAAGAAGTGATTGGCTACATCTGCATTTACTCACAAACATGTAACTTCATTCTAGGAATTTACTAAGGAAAGCAAACTTCATAGCATTTTTAACTTATATGACTTTTACCTTCAAGAAGCTTGCAATCTTAGCCAGTGCCTTGTAAATTTACTGTACATATAAATTGCATGAGTTTCTCACAGAATGAAGATTCTGATTCAGTATCTGGGATGAAACCCAAGAGTCTGCATTTCTAACAAGCTCCCAGGTGGTACTCATGCTGTTGGTTTAAAAACTACATTTTGCATGGCAACATTCTGGGCTCCAAGAATGTAAGATAAAAATAGTAAATGCATCATTTGCTCTTTTCACTCACCTGAAATTTCAAATATTCTGTTAAAACAATTAACTGGGAGGCCATAAGGCTGAGGTGACTCCACTGTCCTGGGTTTCTACATAAGCCAACCAAAACCCAACTCAGTATAAATGGAAACTGCCGACTAACCTCTAACTAGAGATAAGGTTAGAAACAATTAACACTTTTCTGGGTCAAAGATGGTGAAAGGCAAACCCTGGTAGTCAAAAAAATAAGACAAGTATAATAGAGAAAGGTAAACTGGGCAGGATTTGGGGACTGATTGGAAAGCATAAAGTTGGATAAGACTTCAGTTTTCCAGATGGAGTTTCTAGGAGTATGGTGGTATAATTTTTTTTTCCTTTTTCTTTTTTTTTTTTTTTTTGAGACAGAGTCTCGTTCTGCCGCCCAGGCTGGAGTGCAGTGGTGCAATTTCAGCTCACTGCAACCTTTGCCTCTCGGGTTCAAGCAATTCTCCTGCCTCAGCCTCCCAAGTAGCTGGGATTACAGGCACACGCCAACACGCCTGGCTAATTTTTGTATTTTTAGTAGAGATGGGGTTTCACCATGTTGGCCAGGATGGTCTCAATCCCTTGACCTCGTGATCTGCCCACGTTGGCCTCCCAAAGTGCTGGGATTATAGGCGTGAGCCACTGTGCCTAGTCAGTGGTATGATTTTTAAAATATAATGAAGGTAAGAGGATAGACAAATCATATATACTGAAATGCCCAGTATAATTCTGAAACTAGAGCTTGAAAGAGACTCATATGGATGAAAAAGCTGACGTTCACATCAGATGAAAAGAAGACCTGGACATGTTATTAGGGAATATACCCATATATGTATAGGTAATTGTACAATAGAGCAGTTAAATGAAAGAAAAAAAATGATCCTACTGATTAGATGTACTGATGAGACAGGAGGAAAAAAAGTAAACAAAACAACAACAAAATTCTTACTGTTAGTAGAATATTAGAAACGTGTAAGATAAGTGAAAGCAGGTAAGCAAAAGATTGAAGAGTCAGTGACGGGCTGAGGCAGTGGCAGATCCAGATGTAGGATAGCCATTTTGTTGATAGAACTTATCAAGGGGCATGTCTTAAGGCTGTATGAGCACAGCTGGAATTATTACTTTGAAAGAATGTTTAATTTAAATGGCTTCATCATTGTTGGAGGTTTCAAAGGGTCTACTCTCACTTCCCAAACCACCCTTTCCACTGCATTGTTACTTACTAGAGAGAGAGTACTCATGACATTGGATATGATGCAAAATGTATTTTTTGCTTTTTTGAGTAACATCATTCATAATTTATTTGGATCTCCTATTTATTTCCTAAATAGAAAAAATACACTATGTTTAGTTATCCCTTATCTCCCTGGTCAATTCAATTCTCTCCTGTCACTTTCCCTTTTACCCCTGTTGTCATTAAGTATAAGCTGCTATTTAAAAAGAAGAAAACTCTACAACAGGAAACTGAGAAAATTCTCTCCTGGCATTGTAACATGACTTAATCCCAATTTCACCATAAAAATAAATGTTTAAAATGATTATATTGCACTGAATAATATCATACCAATGATTCACTACAGAAAGATCCACATAATATGAAGAATATCAGCCAGGTAAAAAGCACTTCCTATGTATACTATACACAATGCTAGCTGTTAATAAATCTAAAATCATTTAATACTGTTATAACATAGAGAAGTAGATGTTTTACCCCATTTTACAGTTGGGGAAACAAAGCATCACAAAGCTTGAGTACCACAGATATTAAACTGAAGAACCAGGATTCAAATAAAATATTTCTCATGCTATATCTCTAATTCTTTTCAATATACTGTAACATAGACTGTTCGTTTTACAGGAACCAGTACAGAGGAATTCTGTACACTACTGATGGCTCTGAATGATAGTAATGTTTCCTTTAACAACAGCAGAGTGCAAACGGAGCAAGTTGGTTACTGCCACTGATGGATAACATAGGTCTGTATCGTACATAGTACATAGACTGGAATGCACATGGCAGTATAGCATCACTATTCTGATGCAAATTCTATGACTTTTCTGTTTGAAAATAAAGAAGATAATGAGAAGCATCTAATGCAGAGCAATTTCATGACAAATTTTCAGCTGGATACCTGGAGGCGTAGTACTACAAGGTAGGAAAAAAAAAAAAATCCCTGTTCTGGAATAATTACAACCACTAGTAGGAAGTACTATATCCACAATTAGAGAGACCCTCACAAGAGCTTACCTCCTTTCTTGTCAAAGTCTTGTCAAGGAGAGGCTTTTTTGATTCAATAGGCTGTATTGGAGCAGTGCTCCAAAAAGGAATGCTCTAATTTCATTCATTTTTTTTGTTTAAAATAACCATATTCAGTATGTGTTTTACATATATAATGAGAAATAGAATATGTTGAAAAATAGAGTTCATAGTTGATGTCAACATGTATAAAATAATTTTGAAACTATAATCTCCTCTACAGATAAAAGAATATCCATGAATATTTTATCATTCACCATGGCATGCCTCCATTATTATTACCCCTGTACTCTTAAGGAGTTGAAAATGAGTGTGAAAAACTGGTTCCATTAACATTAGGAATTAGTGCAAGTAAAAAGATGAGTAGTTGAAATCAAAGACATTTTAGAATTTGAGATCATGGAAGCAAATTACGACTTTACAGCTTTTTGTAGTGGAGGTGTCAAAGAAAACCAGAATCAGACAGTAGTTAAAAAGGTAAAAACAGATTTTATTCATGAATTTATTACAATATGGGAAAAGAGACCTCAGAATAGAGCTGGGCTTAATTCCTAATATGGCAAAACAAGGGGGGATTTGTAACCAAGGAGCAGGCTGATGGATGGGTGAATGGAAAATTACTAAGAGGAGACAGCAACAGTAGCAGGATTTTGGCTAAACCCACCCAGCAGGATTCTTGCTGAAGGCAGGCAAAGGTGATCAGATATCATCTGGGGGATGTTGGAAGATGAAAATTTGATCAGATATCACATGCGATCAGAGAGTAAGGGTGGAGAATTTCTTAAAACCTGACTTAGCAGGATTTTTACTAAAACTGGGAGGCAAGGCAAGGACTAAGACAGAAACCTGAGATTGAGAACTAGTCAAGAAAAGGGCTCAGAGGGGCCTGACTAAAGTTTGCCAGAGTTGAAGAATATCAGAGTTGAACAGATTGAAGAAACTTGACACCTGCTGGTAGGAAAAATCAGCAGTGTGGGTGAGCAGATGGCAAGGAAAAGGTTAGAAAAAGCAGTGAGCAAAGCAATTGGATGGACAGACAAACTTTAAGACATGAATAAATTATAGTATTAAGAAGTGGTTTTGCAAGTGTAACAACTGATTTAAAAAGAGCAAGTATGCAATATTTTAAAACTCTAACTTATTGTAAAGGAATAAGTAACTATGATAAAATTTAGATTTTAGAATTTAACAGACTTGTCTATTCATCTGTGGTGCACTTAGTGAATTCAAATGTCACAAACACTGAGCCTCAATTTCCTTGTTTAGAAATTGCTAGGAATAATGTACCTAGCATAGGATCATTAACATAGAGTGTGTTCATTTAAGGTCAATTCCTGCCCTCTCCCCCAACCCCAACATTTATTTTAAGCTTATTATATTGTATATATACATTTTTTCCAGCTTATTCCAAATAAATTGTATACCACTGTTTTGTGAGAAATTGTATATTAATACATTCCATAGTACAAAATATGCAATATTTAGCCTACCTTTAAATTTTCCAAAACTGACCTAAGAAACAAATTATAATTTTTTAAATTATGCTAACTGTATTTTCTATCTCAAATTCAATCTATTATATAGGTTTCTAGGTTATAGGTCGGACTTTGCCTTTTAAAATTTTAGACACTCATTCTCTCTTTCAAAAATTTCCACTATAAATCTCCAAGAGTTCTATGCCCTGCTTAGAACACATTTACATAAATATTATTTTAAAAGCATATATTTACTAAGACTTCATTCTGTACAAAGAACTGTGACTGACAAACCTCAAGGATCAAAATTAAATCTGAACAAGGCTTTGCCACAATGAACATCCTCACATTGTTTAACTCTGTATGGGAAAAAGAGAGATCCCATGTCCCCTATCTTCAAAAGAATACTTTTGAAAGTAGCTCATTCAGTTGATGTAGAGGAAATAGCTTCCTTTATACCTTTTCTACTTGATTATATATTGTTTTACCATAGTAGCTTGTTTTGGAAATGTACTTTAGAAGTCCAAGTATCCTTACTCTCATTTAGAAATAAAGATAATTCTGGTTGAAGAAAAAATAGAAATAAGGTTACTTTTTTTATACGCTTAAGAGTCAGGCAAAGATGTCATTCAATAGAAGAGATTGGACAATGCCACACACTCTAATAATTCCAAATGTTAAAACATCCTAAGCAGGGCCTGAGTCCTGATAGCTTTATGCCAAATCTGGGTTATAGTGGGTTTATCATTAGAGAGAGCAATGTCTTATTCTCCACCTAGTGAGTAACTAGATAGAGGCTGCCCTCCTGAATTTAAAGGGAAATTAATAATTGACACACTACTTTAAGGGTGGCATGGGGGGTTTTGTTTCGTTGAAAATCAGTTCCTCAATCTCTTAGCATCCCTTGCTCTTCTCTGAACTTTGCCTAGTTGTTAACCTCCTTGAGTGTACTGCAGAAATGGGATGGAATGCAATATCTTTAATGGAAAGCTCATTCTCACTAAGACTGAGCAAAAGAAGATTTTAAACTTCTTACTTAACAATTCAGAGTTTGACTCGCTTGGAAGTCATAGCCAAGTCAATGTTAATATTAAATTTTTCATCTAACACATCATTATTTCAAAGAGGGTAATTAATCAATTAAATGCTTGGATGTATGTGCATTTATGTAGTTAAGAGACATGGTTACATCTAAGTTTTATGATTTATGTGCCTAAAAGACCATAATCTTTTTGCACAAACACATGTTTATAAAAGGAAGAGAAGAATAATTAATTTATTTTCAAACCAGTACATCAATCCCTGGTGAACGGCCATCTTCTAATACCTGTCTCCAAGTTTTTCTTTTTCTACCAACTATAACCACTGCCAACTTGTCAAATGATGCAGCTTTTGCTTCCCCATGGCAACAGATCCCTGCCCTGAGTGACAGGATTTCCATATTGACAACTGGAAAATGTCCCAAATAACTCCGTGAAGCACCTGGAGTTTAATTTCCCATCTTAACATCCATAAGGAGTCTTTTTTATTATTTCTCACATGTTAAAGTGAGGTTATTTATATACCACACAACTGATGGTGTGATGACAGCCAAGCTAAGCAGAGAGTATTTGAAAGATTCAATAAACGTAGCTTCCCTGAAAATGGTGTATTAATGTCGTTCAAAAGATTTGAATGATCTGCTTAAAATAGCTAGGAATTTTAAGACATGCCTGCATTTAAAACAGTGATAACATAACAGCACCTAGTCATCTTAACAACAAAAAAAGGTAAAAATGGAATAATTTTCTATAAAAGACATCAAGCTTTCCATGTCAAAGTTTAAGTAAATGCCAGAGAACAAGTAAAAAATACATAAGCATTTCTGCCACAGAATAGGTATCTTTTAACAAAAGAGGGAGAACCATATTTCTTTCTTCCTAATGGCAACTCTTTATCACTAAAAATAGCACACTAAAAACCTACCAAGTGGAGTGTTTTTGAATAAATCTGAATTATAGATAGTGACCTGAATAAGAGCAATGAACTTTATTCAAAACCACGCACATTGGCAACTCCTGCCAGGAATATAGTAATCCCTCAGTCACTAATTGTGTGGTGTGTGCGTGTGTATGTGTATGCATGCATGCATATGCCTATGTGTGTAAGTGCACAATTCTGTTTGAAAGGTATGATTTTTCTTGACTTAGTATAAAATTCAGTCATTTTTAGAAAACGTAGTGTCATAGATTTCTCCTTGAATTCTGCATTAGATTTTTCGAAAACTAGAAATTAACAACACTGCAATAGATTTTTATAAAACTAGAAATTAATATTCTTTCTTTATGTAATTCCCATAAATGGCACAAACTTGCTTTTCCTTCCATTTAGCTTTGATGAAAAAATTAAACAATATGCTTTTGCCATATAATAATCTTTACTTTTCTTATTTACAACAGCAAAGGCTTTATGGCCATGATTTTGTTCTGTCCTCAGTTGATAGACCCAAGGTTAAGCTAAAATCATTTTTTATTCCTTGACACTTCCTGAAGTCCTCATTGAAAGGTTTAACAACATATGTTGGCCTCTCACCTCTTCTCCCTTTTTCTTGACTGGACTTTGAATCCCCATCATAGAAATCGTTGAGCTGAAGGCAGAGGATGTAATGTTGAGCTCCTTCACTCCCAGATCTTAGTGCTGAGAGGCAGGACAGAGAAATCCCAATGAAAAGAGTGCAAGGAAGTGCATCAACAGCTAGTTTTTCTAGCTAGTTCCTCTTGTGCCAAGGAGAAAATAAAATTTCAATTTTCCCAATTATTGTGAGGCATTGATGACATGTGGTTTTTATTTTAACCAATCTTTAGATATTAGTGAAATTTTCTCATAGTGGCAGATAGTTCAATCACCTTTTCTTTTCTTAATAACAGGGGTAGGCACTGAGTGCAGAGTGTGATGCTGCCAGTAGAGTGTCAGGTCTTGATAACACCTTTTCTAAAGTGGGAATCATGTGGTGATGGAATGCTCCCACTGAATGATGAACTTAAAGAACAGAAGTTCAACAGGGGAAGACAGTCCAAACAAAAAGGACTGGTCCAGGTCTGGTATGCAGGATACTTTTACATAACATCAGAGATACTGTCAGGCTGGGAAGGGAAGACTGTTCTTCAAGCAGCCTTTGGAGGGAAACGTGGAGTTCTTCTGACTGAAGAAATTAAGGGAAGACGAATTCTAGGAAAAAAAACCTTAAATCTGACCATGGTAGTTTTATGGAAATCACACCTGTAAGGCTGGAACAACTGAGGGAAAACTTTTCTAAAACTTATAAATAGAGGAGACATCATCAAGATTGCTGACTAGAGGTATTCAGCACTTGCCTGCTCCACAAAGAAAGACCAAAACAAAAAAATAGTTAACCACAAGTTAAATAAAGTATCTAGAGGAGAACACCGAAATTCAGCAGAGAAGTGATGAAAACCCACAGAGGAACAGACTCAGGATGGCAGCATACAGACAGAAGGGAAGGCCACAACTGAGACTGACTTAGAGCCGAGAAAGTCCCCACTGTGGGGAAAAGGTAAGTGGGAGGTCTCCAGCAGTTCACATTGTTACCATGGATGCCTGCAATCCTAGCTACAGAAGAGCTCCACAGCCCTTGCAGGTATTGAACTCTGTATAGAAATCTGCCTAAAGACCACACACTGCATTATTCCAGAGGGGGAATCCACACTGCTTCCCTCCACCCACCCACCTAGGCTGTTGCATCACATCATCATTTTGAGAGGAGAGTCACCTCTAGACTACATCCTGCCCCGGGGCCCAGTAGTTCTGACATCGTCACATCCTGGGGTCCTGCCAACATCTCACTGCATTCACTCAGAGGACTGCAACATTACAACACCACCTGGACCCAGCTATACAGATATGACCCTACCATATGAACCCATGCAGTGCCCTACACCCTGAGGCACAGGCAGTCTAACACAGCAGGGAGGCAGCCCTTAGTACAAAGAAAGCCAACACAATCACGACACAGAACCAGAGAGCTGCCCTCCCAGGAACTGCTCTCATCACCACCAGCAACCACACTCTTCTGGAGATGAAGGTGCTGTGCACTTGTGCGTGCCCCCTGGCATCTCAAAGACTGGCCTGCCTGGGGTCCGCCACCACTGTTGCTGATGACACTGGCTTCTCCAGCAGTGGAGCTGTCATGTGTTTGCATGCACTTCCCTAGGCCCCAAAGACCAGCTTGCCCAGGACCCGCCCTCAGTAAATCTGTGCCACAGACTTTACAAAAAACTGCAGCTAGGCCACTGAGGCACTCAAAGACACCAATGATTTTGATAACAGCCAAATTAATCAAATGGAAAGTATACTATTGTGCCCACCTAGAACCAAAGCCAAAAAAATCCTACACAGCTGACCCTATAAGACACATCTACAGGAAAAAGTCTTTTCCTATGAAGGTCACTCCATAAAATTCAAAACAACCATTCTCGCAGACATGTAGATATTAATGTAAGGAAATAAAAGCAAAAAAGCAAGGAAATGTGATACTTTCAAAGGAATATAACAATTCTCTAGTAACATATCCCAAAAATATAAATCTGTGAAATGCATGAAATGGAATTAAAAAATGATGATCTTAAGGAAACTCAGCAAAACACAATGGAACAGTTAGACAATTCAACAAAGTCAGGAAAATAATTAATAATATAAATGGGAAATTCAACAAAGAGAGAGATGCCATAAAAAAGAGCCAAACAGAACTCTTGGAAGTGAAAAGTTCAACGAAATAAAAATAAAAAGTATAATTTAGAGCTTCAACAATAGACTAGATCAAGAAGAAGAAAGAATTTATGAACTTTAAGACACATCTTTTGAAATAACCAAGTCAGATAATAATAAAAAAGAATTACAAAGTCTACAGTATAAATGTGGCAGCATTGAATGAATAAATTTTCAAATTTTGAGGGCTTCAGAAGCAGAAGAGATGGCAAAATGCATTAAAAAAAACATTGAATAAAATAACATAAAAATTTCCCAAATCTTGGAATGGATATGGGCATCTAGATATAGGAAGCTCAAGATCTTCAAATACATACAACCCAGAAAGGTCCTGTCAGAGGCACATTATAGTCAAACTGTCAAAAGTCAAAGAAAGAATTCTAAAAATAGCAAGAGAAAACTGCCTAGTCACATATAAGGAAATCTCCATCAGAATAAAAGATTTCCCAGCGAAACCTTCCAGGCCATGTGAGAATGAGATGATATATTCTAAGCACTAAAGAAAAAAAAATTGTTGACCAAGAATACAATACCCAGCCAAGATACTTTTTTCAGAAATGAAGGAGAAATAAACTCTTTCCCAGACATGCAAAAGCAGTGGAAATTCATCACAACTAAACTAGCCCTTCAAGAAATAATTGAGGCAGTTTTATATCTGAAAGTAAAAAGACAATATCTACCATCATGAAAACGTGTGAACGTATAAACTCACCAGTAGAGCAGATACACAAATGAGAAACTAAAATAAATCAAACGTTGTGAACAGAAAGAAATCAAACATTATCATTACCAAAAAGTAAACAAACCACCAACCTTCAAAGATAAACAATAAGAGAGGATGCATGAGCACTGTAGCACCCAACTATATAAAGCAAATATTGTTAGAACTAAAGGGGGAGATATACCACACTACTATAATAGTTGGGGACTTCAACCCCCCATGCTTAGCATTGGACACACCATGTAGACCAAAGTTTAAAAAAGAAACATCAGACTTAAATGGCACCATATACCAAATGGATCTAACAGACATTTATAGAACATTTCACTGAGTAGCTGAAAAATATATATTTTTCTCATCAGCATATGGAATGTTCTCTAAGATAGACCATATGTTAGGACACAAAACAAATCTCAATGAATTCTTAAAAATTAAAATTATAACATCTCAGAACACATTGGAATAAAACTAGAAATCAGTAATAAGAGGAACTTTAGAAACTATACAAATACCTAAATATTAGACATGTTTCTGAAAGATCAAGGGGTCAATGAAGAATGAAATAAAAACATTTTTTGAAACCAATGAAAATTGAAACAAAACATACCTATGGGATATAGCAAAAGTATTACCAAGAGGGAAGATTATAGCAAAAAATGCCTACATCAATAAAGCAGAAAAATTTCAAATAAATAACCTAATCATGCCCCTCAAGAAATTAAAAAAAGCAAGAACAAATTAAACCCGAAAAGAGTAGACGGAAAGAAATAATAAAGATAATGGCAGAACTGAACAAAATAGAGACTAAAAGAGATACAAAATAACCAAAATGAAAATTTGGTCTCTGAAAAGTAAACAAAATCAACAGTGATTAGCTAAACAAACTGAGAAAAACGGAGAATATCCAACTAAATAAAATTAGAAACAAAAGAAGAGACATTGCCACTGACATCACAGAAATACAAAAGACCAGTAGAAACTATTATGAACAACAATGTGCCAATAAATCAGAAAACCTAGAGGAAATCGACAAATTCCTGGACACATACAGCCTACCAAGATTGAGCCAGGAAGAAATAGAACATGTGAATAGACCAATAACAAATAGCAAGATTGACACAACAATACAAAGTTTCTTAACAAAGAAAAATTGAATTCTACCAAACATTTAAAGGAAAACTAATACCAATTCTTCTTAAACAATTCAAACATGTTGAAGAGTAGAGAATTCTTCCTAACTCATTCTACAATGCCAGAATTACCCTGATACCAAAACCAGACAGGAACACAACAAAGAAAGAAAACTAAAGTCCAAAATCCCTGATAGACATAGACACAAAAGTTTTCAGCAAAATACTAGCAAACTGAATCCAACAGCATATCGAAGAGATCATACATCATTATCAAATGATATTTATCCCAGGAATGCAGTAATGATTCAGCATATGTAAATCCATAAACGTGATACATAATGTAATAGAATGAAGGACAAAAAATATGATCATCTCAAGAGATGCAGAAAAAGCATCTGATAAAATTCAACATCTCTTCATGATAAAAATTCTCAAGAAATTCAATGTAGAAGAAATGTGCCTCAATATGATAAAGGCAGTATAAGACAAATGCACAGTTAACATCATACTGAATGAGGATAAGCTGAAAGCTTTTCCTCTAAAACTGGAATAAGACAAAGCTGCACATTTTCATCACTCTTATTCAGAATAGTACTCGAAGTCCCTGCAAGACCAATTAGGCAAGAGAAAGAAACAAAGGGCATCCAAATTGAAAAAGAGGAAGTCAAATTGTCCCTCTGCAGATTACATGATCTCATATCTAGGAAAGCTAAAAGCTGCATCAAAAACACTTAGAACTTATAAATAAAACAAATAAAGTTTCTGGATACAAAATCAACATAAAATATCAGTAATGTTCCTGTACACTAGCAGTGAATTAGCTGAAAGAAAACAAAAAGAAAGCAACCTTATTTATAATAGCTATCAAAAAATACCTAGATATAAATTTAATCAAGGAGGTGAAAGATCTCTACAATGACTACTACAAAATAGTGATGAAAGAAATTGAAGAAGACAACATGAGAAAAAAATGAAAAGACTTTTCATGTTCATTGATTGGAACAACTAATATTATTAAAATGACCATGCTCCCCAAAAAGATTTACAGACTCAATGCAATTTCTACCAAAGTACCAATGACATTCTTCACAGAAATAGGAAAAACAAGCCCAAAATCTGTATGGAACCCCAAAACACCACAAACAGCTAAAGCAATTCTGATCAAAGAGAACAAAGATGAAGGTATAACACTACCTGACTTCAAAATATACTACACAGATCTAATAACCAAAACAGCATAGTACTGGCTTAAAAACAGACACATAAACCAATGACATGGAGAATAGAGAATGCAGGAATAGATCTACATATTTATAGCCAACTAAATTTTGGTAAAAGTGACAAGATCATACATTGAATACAGGACACCTTCTTCAAGAAATGTTGCTAAGTAAACGGGTTATCCATATAAAGAAGAATGAAAGTAGACCCTTATCTCTCAACATATAAAAAAACAGCTGAAAATGGATTAAATATTTAAATATATTTTCTGAAACTATGAAATACTAGAAGAAAACATGGGGGAAAAGTTCCGTGACTTTAGTCTGGGGAAATATTTTATAGGTAAGGTTTCAAAAACACAGGCAATAAATACAAAAATACATAAAGGAGATTCTATCAAACTAAAAGTGTTATGCACAGCAAAGAAAACAATCAACAGAGTGAAAAGACAACCTCTTGAATAGGTGAAAATATTTGCAAATATCCATTTACAAGTGATTAATTTCCAGAACATATAGGGAACTCAAATAACTTATCAAAAAAAAAAAACCCAAATCACCCAATTTAAAATGGCCAAAGGATCTGACTAGGCAATTCTCAAAAGAAGGCATACAAATAGCCAACAAGTATATAAAAATTATCATCATCACTAATTATAAGGAAAATTCAAATCAAAACCGCAATGAGATATCATCTCAACATAGTTAGAATGATTATTTTCAAAAACACAAAAAATAAATGCTGGCGAAATGCAAAGAAAAAGGAATTCTTATAAAACTGGTAGTGGGAATATAAATTAGAACAGCCATCATGGAAAACAGTTTAAGAGTTCCTGAGAAAACTAAAAATAGAAATACCATGTGATCTAGTAATTCCACAACTTGGTATTTATCCAAAATAAAGGAAAACAGTATATTGGAGAGCTATCTGTACCCCCATGTTTACTGCAGTAGTATTCATAACAGCCAAGATATACAATCAACTTAAGTGTCCATCCACAGATAAATGGATAAGGAAATTGTGGTATATATATATATATATATATATACATACACAATGGGATACTATTCAGCCATAAAAAAGGAATGAAACCCTGTCATCACAACAATATGGGTGAGCTGGAGGACATATGGTAAGTGAGTTAAGTCAGGCACACAAAGATATATACTGTATGTTCTCACTCATATGTGGGAGCTAAAAGTGTTGAGCTTATAGTAGAAAAGAACAGAAGTGTGGTTGTTAGAGGCTGAGAAATGTAGCTAGGATGGGAGGATAGGGAGAGGTTGGTAAATAGATATAAAATTACAGCTATACAAGAGATGTAAGTTCTAGTGTTCTATAGCAATATAGAGTGATTGTAGTTAACAATGATTCGTTGTGTACTTTTAACTCTCTAGAAGACACTATTTTGAATGTTCCCACAAAGAAATGGTAAATGTTTGAGATTATAGATATGCTAATTACATTGATTTGATCATTTCATACTGTATTGGATGCATTGAAATAACACTCTTGTACCTCATAAATATGTACAATCATTACATGTCAATTAAGAAATTAAAAAGCTATCTACTGTGTCTTATGCTACATTGCTACTCCATTAAAATTTTGCCCATGGTGACATAACAAATCAGAAGGAAACCTAGAATTTAAAAAAAAATCAGATCTTCTCTTGCCAAATCCAGTGTTCACATCACTCCACAATACTACCTCCATTTATTGGAATTATTTTCTGCAAAAGTAGAATGAACATTCTTCTAAAAAACAGAAAAGCCATATTAGAATCAAACTTCAGTTGCATAATAAAGCATATTTTCATTTATTGGATTTACTTCTAAAATAGTCGATCACCAAGCAAAGTGCCATTGAAAAGGATTGCCAATTACCAAATAATAAATTAGGCAATAATTTTATAATTATCATATTTTCTTTCCTGAATCTTAACCATCATTTACTCAGCATGTGCAAAGTTCAAGAAGACAAGTGCATTATCTGAAATATCATTTTCCAGATTACAATTGAAAAATATATTAATTCCTTATGACTGTGAGGTATCTCACTGTCTTGTGGGCAATCTATTCTGAATATTGACTGGAAATACTCTTATTTGTTTCTATTGAATAATACAATTAAAACACTCTGATTTGTAAAATTTCAATATTAGCACACCCTCTTGAATATGTTACTTAGGCATTTACTGAAGTTGTTCCTTAGACCATTAAATCCTATAGCATTCTTTGTGCTGGGTGTGTGTGGGGGGCGGGGACTTATTTCCAAGATCAAAAAAATTAGCAAACTCTGCAAAGTGTTTCACTTTTGAAGAATAAGTACGAACATAAGAATACTGAAAGTTTTTAAGAGTCCTGTAGTAAAGAGATTTATATAAACTACCATTTACCAATTTAGTGTGGCTACAATTTTTCATAACAAATATAAATGTGGTTAATACATGATTCAGTAAAACAATTTAGGAAATACAGATATACAGAACATGAATAGAAGAGGCGAATTATAAAATAAGAAGCAAGGTTTCTAAACAGAGAAAGGTGGACACATATTCATATGGGATTTTTGGGTTGTATGAAGAGATGTCTGCACTCTCATGTTCATTGTAGTATTATTCACAAGCCAAGATACAGAAACTATCTAAGAGTCTGTCAAAAAATTAATGGATACAGAAAACGTGTTGTGAAAATCATTTTCCTATGGACCATCATTTGCATTTTAGGTGATGGGAAAAATGGTTACTTTGAAGATACGCCTTTTGAGCTCTGAAGCTAAATAATGCCCATGGAAGGAACAAAGTGAAATATGAAAAGCTTGTTTCAAGACTTCTTAGTTGGAATTTGGGAAGGATGGGAAATAAAGCGAAGAGGATGTCAATGGAATATTGAGTCTGATATAATTAACAGATGCAAATTGAACCAAAGGGGTTTCTAAGGAGTAGACAATTTAAGGTGAGAGTTGTCCATAATGGGTTTTGAATGGTGTCTCATGGAAGCTGTGTGTGTGTGCTCTCACGTATATATGTATATATACACATGTGTGTGCTCTCGTGTGTACATATATACATATACATATATATATATATATATGTATACATACATACACACACACACACACATGCTCTTCATCAACATCCTGACAGGACGCCTCTTCATCAACACCCTGAAAGATGGCCAAATTACTACCATATAAGGCAGCCAAGCACATTACAAACCCTTTAGGTCAGCATTGAAGCCCTTCAAAATATGACCAAATGTATCTATTCACATCACAGCATTACTCTCAAGCCCTTATTCTCTTAACTCTTGCTTATGTAAAATACAAGGCATGCTTTTTGAAATCAGCCCAGATCTAACAGATCTCTCTTCTTCTTAGTGATCTACCAGATATTTTGGTATTTGAATTATTTAAATTATTTCACTATAATAATTTATATGTTAATTATTTTTCTGTAAATCTCACACACAATCCTCTGCTAATTTATAAAAAATGTGGAAATAGAGTTAAAGAATAATATTGCTACCTATCACTGTAACACAAGGCTAAGTGAAAAACAAATACTCATGTACACTGTCCAAGCGAACCACATAAATATGTTTAGAGGATAGACTATCTAAATCATTTAAATAAGGATAACATCAAGCATTTTTTAAAAATAACGTCACAAGATTTTTTTTAATTCATTGCTCAAAAAGAATCTTGGAAGGTAAAATATTCTAGCTATTACAGAAATTTAACTCAAAGGAGGCATGATCACTTGAAATGGAAAATACTGCTCTCTGACATCTTAAAACTACCCAAATGGTATGAAAAATAATGTAGGAGATATGTTTACATTCTTTCTTGCTTGCTTGCTAACTAAAATGTGAAAATTATTTTAATGTTCTATCCTTTTTCTCTGCCTCCACCTAGTCCAACACCAACATATTATATTCCTTACTAGTTATTTTTATTTTGGTTAGAATTTGGATAGATTTTAGTTGAAAATCTCATATTCAATCTTGTCTTTGTATTTTGATTCTGACCTTTTATTTAAGTGACAAATTCAGCCAAGACTGTTGTGTAGTTGGACCAGTTTTGAAAGGACGGCAAAATTCTTCAGGTCCTAGCTGCTTAGAATCTAGAATCTAGAATCACAATAATCTTTTATGAGCTTTAGAAAATAAAATTTTACTCAGAATAATTATTTCTTTGAGAAAAGTTACATAAAACTATGATCTGCTGTTTGTCCCTCTGAGATAAATTTTGTGTAATGGTTAAAATATAAGGACCATCACCAAAAGCTGTCTAGGCTTATATCTCAACCATTATAACTTGGACAAAGTATTTAACTTCCCTGAGCCTCCAAAAGCCTAGGGCTTGGGAGCTACGAATATGAGATTTTCCCCCAGCATTTAATTCCTAATATAATTTTTTTAAAGTTTAGATTTTTTTAAGTTTAAAACAAAAGTAGAAAAAAAAAATTTTAGCTTTGATGTATGCAACTTTAAACATCTGTCTACTCAAACTTATTTAAGATTCCAGGGCACTTTTTATAATTCTGAGCACAGTCAAACACTCTGAATAATTGTTTCCCTCCCACTGAACTCCCTTTAGAATGTCAGTTGAAAGAGATATTTCTGTTGTAAAACATTACAGTTATTGTTCCTATTAGGCAATTGATCCATTAACTTTCAAAGGTGATGCATTTCAATACTGGATAAAATATTTGCTTTTGTATAATCTCATTAAGAGATCTCTGGAGCCTTCTGACTGATATAATCTACATGAATACTGATTTAGTAATTGCGAGTGCTACTAAGACTTAACTGGGAAAAAATAGAAAACATACTATTTTAATTATAAACATGTTCATAATCCTTTAGAGTTTACAAAATTTTTTCAAATTCAATCTTTAATCTTCCTGAAATAGAAGAGGTATCAATATCCTCATTTTGTAGATGAAAAATGTAAGCTTGAGAAAATAAGAGAATTACAGAAATGTATACAAATAGAAGGTGGTAAAAAGAGGATTTGTGCATTTTTCTAAATTTCCTAAACTTAATGCCATTTTATGATTTTTAAATTAAGTTTTATTTTGCAATAATGTCATACTCATTTTAAGTCAGGGTTATTTGCAAATACATAAATAATACAAAAAGAATTAATATAACAGTGAAGAAGACTCTTACACAATTTATTTATTTGTCTTTTTGTTTTTAAATAAACAGATTAGGATGAGTGGACACTTTGAATTTGCTATCTAAGTTGGGCAGTGGGTCCAGCATTTCTAGACAGGAGTTGTACTTTTCTTTGAGTAAAAATACCTGACTCTCCCCTGGACTTATGTATTTGAATTCATCATACAAAGCATAAAAATGCACCCATCCATGCATGAATGAGTGAACAAACAAATGTATGAGTAAATGAATAAACAAAAGTCCAGAAATGCAGAAGCCTATTCTGCTCCTAAAATGGAAAATGTATTAGCCATCCCCATTTGTCATCTCTTCCTCTCAGCCTGCCACCCATTCCACAAATCCCAACCACATAGTGTATAGACCTTCCTCACAAGAGTTTTGTTCTTGACTTTGTGAGCTTAGTTTAATAACCCAGACTTTAGAGAATCAGTATCACTAGTCTGTTGTTGTACTCATTCCCTTGGCATATGTGATATTTTAGTGCAAAAGAAGTCATTTCTGTGCCAATTATATTTGTAGCTATTAGTAAACTGGACCGTACTTCAGGGAATTTAGAGGAAAGGGCACTTAATTAAGAATTTGGGACTATCCAATCCATAGTTCTTGAATAAGCTCTTGGCAAGGTGCTTGATTGTGTTGCCCTGGGAGGCTGTATGATATTTCCTCATTAAGTAAATGTATTTTTCACAAGATTCTTGGTTACTTTTTATTAGATAAAAAGAATGGCAAGCAGTGCTTTCCATTTTCATCTCCTAGATCAATAATGTAAGTTTCTTTATCATGAATATCAATATAAAATAAAAATATTTAATGTTGTTCAATATTACAGGTAGTACGAGCTATTCAGGTGATAATAAATAAATAGAACCAGCTTGAAAAATGGTATATAGGATCTTGTTTCTACTTCAAATGCCGATTTCTTGAAATCACATTATTTCACACATAAACCACCACCCTTTTCCCGTCATATACAAGTTACTCTTTTGCTAAAACATGTGAGTGGTTCAGTGGGCAAGCCCTGGAACCTAAGCATCTGAGTGTAACTCTTGGCTTCATCACTTGGAGAAATCATAAACCTTTGACACGTTACTTAAACTTTATTAGCTTCAGTTTTCTTATTTTGTAAATTGTGGTTATAAGAGTGCTATGATTTGAATGTGTCCCCCCAATTTTATATGTTGGAAACTTAATTGCTAATGTAACTACATTAAAAGGTGGAACCTTTAAGAGGTGATTGGATCATGAGTGCATTAATGCTGTTTCATGAGAGCAAGTTAGTTTTTATGAGAGTTGGTTGTTATAAAAGTGAACTCAGCTCACTCTTGTGCTCTCTGTGTCATCAGCTCACTTTTGCCTTCTGCCATTGGATCACCCTCACCAAATGCTGCCGCCATGCTCTTGGACTCCAGTTTTCAGAACAGTGAAAAATAAATTTCTTTTCTTTATACATTTGCTAGTGTCAAGTATTCCGTTATTGCAACAGAAAATGGATTAGGACAAAGAGTAATGCCTACTTTTGAATAAGGTGTGAAGGGACAAATGAGCAAATGCATGCAAAATGCCATGATAACTAGTATATGTTAATTAACAAATGTTAGCTTTTATTGATATTCATCTAGGCCCTGTTAATACTAATGCATTAACATATGCACTAAAATAGGTGCTCATGAAACAATAAATATTAAAATTACATAATTATCAGTGAATCTTGGTTTTTCATTTCTCTCAAACTGTCCCCCTTACAGTATAAATATTTTTCATCAAGTAAACATACAATACAAGCCTGAGCTGAGAAATTTTTTGAAAATATAGCACTGCATTCCTTCCTCAAACCATAACATATAGACAGTTAAGAGTAGAGATGTTTAGGCATTTCTAACTCTTCATAAGTAGTCCAAATGTAAGTTGATTAAAGAACCTACAGAGAAAAATACAATTACAATAAAGTATAATCCATTATCTGACTGTGAAGTAGAGGATGCTGTAGGAGCATAAATATAAGAGTACTACATTCAGTGTGGGGTGCCTGGGCTAGTGGCGTTTTAGGAAAGCTTTATTTTAAAAAGTAAAATTTAAGTTAGAACCTACTAAATATGTAGAAAAGAGCTAAAAGGGAAGGGTAAGGTGGAGATAGAACTGGCAGGTAGGAACAGTTTGATATCTCAGACTGAATGAAGTGTATATAAAGGCTTATAGGTAAGAGCATATGGAATCCCTGCAGAACTCAGTGAGTTTCAATCTTGCAGAAGTGAAAAGATGAAAGTGGGGCAATATGAGAGTTAAAATGAAAAAAATAAAGAAATGGGCTCAAAGTACATATGTTCAAGAGTCTAGAAACTGTCCTAAGGACAATAATCTAATTTGCATTTTATATAGAAAGAACACTGAAGATGTGTAAACAGAAATGAGTTACACATTAGAGTCAGTGAGATCAGTTAAGAGGTAGAAGTAATAATCTAGAAAAGAAATAATAATGGGATGAATGAGTAACAGGTAGGTGATGGTAAGCATGAAGAAAAATAGGCTTGATTAATATTTGAAGGATAGAAAGCTAGGAGGTTGTTATCCTCTCTGTGATTCTGTCTCTATAATATCAGAAGCAGAATAGTTCCAAGGAACAAGGTTCAGGATGAGGCCATGGGAGTAAATGGCTGCATTGGAATGGAAAAATTAATCATTTTAGATAAGAATGTTAAGGAATTGTAGAACAAGATATTGATGACACAGAAGTCACCCAGGATAGAACAAGGGCCTAATAAGAAGAGAAAGATTACCAGTCAGATGTGTGTGTGTTTTTTTTAAATAAATGTAGAAAGAATGACTAAAATGTCAGTGGTTGGGAATAGAGAAGGGAAAGTTTTAATCATGAGTCTCAAAGGCATGTAGAATTGTATACATGTATAGATGATCACGTATGATTGAGAGAGTATGAAACAAAGAAGATACTTAATGTATCTTTTCAATCTGGGGGACGAAAGGAATAGAACAAGCCAGCTCCACCTGAGTAGGATTCTGATTTGCTCTTATGAGCTCCTGGTTTGCTCTGTAACACCCATTCCTCCACACTACCCCAACTCATGTGGACGGGCTCATTCTTACAAGTCTTCTCACCTCTCTTCTTATAGAAGACTGAACTTGGAGGGAGTGAAAAAGCTGAATGGGAGTTTGTTACCCAGCAAAATGTGGCTCCAAATGTCCCAGTGGGGAGTTAAAGAGGATCATCCTACTACCTTGCTGTTTGCTAGCTATCAACTTTGTCTTTGTTCTTGGTCACTGCATTGAGCATTAACTTCAAGAAGACATTGTACAGCCCAAGATTCATTCCCTCCCAAGAGCTCCAGCATCTCATTCTGCTTATAGTTTTGTGTATGTATCATTTCACGTCCCATTGCACTGTCTCCAAAAGAGTCCCCCGTTTTTTGTGGGGGACTAAAAGTCTAACTGACTTTTTCATTTTATGCAACAGTCTTCTAAATTATTTTCTACCTGTATTGAGCTTAGGGTAGATTTTGTATGTAAGAAAGACTTTACAATTTTATGATTTTATTTTAAATTCAACTTATTGATGTTACAAATTAAAAACCCGACTTCTTTCTTAGATACTTAAGCTTAACTGCAAATTCTGTTCAATCTGCTTGTGTTTCTATTCAACATAGTCACATTCTATTCTGCTAGTATTCCTAGTCAACTTGTAAATCTAGAAACATGAGCATCTTTAAAGGGACTTTGGATACTACTTGGTCACATTTACAAGAGGGACTTTGAATACTACCTGGTCACATTTACAAGGTAGTTAAACTAATCAAGCATTTTCAACAGAATTTATAAATATATTTTGCATTCAATTTAAACATTTTGATTTTCTGACAAAAAGTCTTCTCACACTTTAGGGATTTTTATAGATCCGAGAAATTAACTATTAATACAATACAATTAAAGTTTGTATAAATGTTAAAAATATACTATACATAAACTAAGCAAGATTTTAACTTAAAAATCACCCTACTGAATCAACTACTCAAAAACATGTTTTAGGATGGATTTACAAGGCTGTCACTCAAACATGTCAAACTCTATTAAATTTCACATATACAAAAAATTGATATCTAGATTTCACCCCAAGATAAAAAATAATTTTAATTTACTTTTTAAAAAAGTATGCTTGCACTTTATTCTAACTTTTCCTAGACTTTAAAGATTCATATACACTAAGAAATATGCACATATAACAACAGTTACATATGTTCAGAAATTTTGGCTGGTCATAATCTCTGACCTTCAGACATCTAGTTCAGTTCTCACCACTTGAAACTAAACCAAATATTATCTCAAATAATTTTGAATCTTATCTTCTCATCATTTTACTGTTTTGATTCTTGCTGGCAACCCAGATTAGACAGACTAAATTCAATTTAAAGTTGTATCAATAGGTACTAACATAATGAGGGATATGATCCTATGCTCATGTAGCCCTTACTCCTTGTTACAAATATACACATCATGTAGCCTGTCTCTCTATTCGTGAAATCTAGTAGTGGAAAGATATATAGCACCATTGGCAATAACTAAGATTAAATTTTTCATTTATTTGTCTCAAGATATACACATCTTTTAAACAAATACTAAATATATTTGTGCTTAATAAAGTAGCAAAATATAAAAATACGTTTCTGAATGCTGTTAAAATTGTTGATCTCAATGGAACTCTGCATTTATTCCATCACTTATATTTTTAGAACCATACAACTCTTATGGATATTAGCATTTAACTCATCCATTCCTATAGTGAAAGTTATAGTCAATAAGTTGATTTTTTAAAAATAAATGTAGAAAGAATGACTAAAATGTCGGTGGTTGGGAATAGAAAAGGGAAAGTTTTCATCATGAGTCTCAAAGGCATGTAGAATTGTATACATGTATAGAGGATCACGTATGATTGAGAGAGTATGAAACAAAGAAGATACTTAATGTATCTTTTCAATCTGGGGGACGAAAGGATCTTTTTCTCTAGGCCCGAACTCTCTTCCAAGATCCTGGCCGTATACTGAGCTATATAGTCAACATTTCCACTTGGATGCTTTTTAGTACCCAAATACAACTTATCCAAAACTTGAAGTAATTACCCATTCTTTATCTTGCTACTTATAGGGTTTCCAATTCAATAAATGTCAGTGTATTCACCAACTTGCTCAAGACAGAAACCTGATAGTAATGCATGATTTACCTTTTCTTGCCTACTCATGCATAATCAATCATTTGTCAATACTGGCTCCTAAGTGTGTTTTTAATCTCCATTTCTTTCTATCCTCGTATTGCAACTGGTCTCTCAGTATCAACTCTTGCTTTCTGCAATTCATACCTCTTGTGGCACCAAATAATCTTTTAAAAAGGTGAATATGATCATAGTAGCCTGAGGGTACATTGTAAAATTCTTCTCCTGCCATTAAGACACGTAGTCTGTTTTTCCATTCCTTGACTTTGGATTGCTCATGTGATTTATTTGACCAATCAGACACTGGCAGGCATAACAACAGCCAGGCCTTGAAAAACTCTTACACAACTGTTTTTTTGCTTCTTACAGCTCTTGTAACACTTCCATCACATGGGAGAAAGCTCATGTTAGTCTGCTAGAAAGTGGAGGAACATGTGAAGTAGAGACAAGCCATTCCAGTACAGACCTCCTAGACCAATTAGCCTCCAGTTAATCTAGCAGCTAACTAAAGATTCATGAGTAAGACCATCTGAGACCAGGAAAAGCACTGCTATGCTGAGACAGAGAAAATTTGTCATTCCACTGAGTTGTGAGCTAATTAGTTGTGGGCTAATTGTTACAAACAGCTAAGTTGTGGAATGGTCTGTTTCTCATTAAAAGATGTAAGTTTCTTGATTAAATTGCCCATTACCCTTAAAATATATTGCAGACATGTGGAAGGAGAGAAGAGAAGGTAGGGTTGAAGAAGTACTCAAAAAAATAATGGCTGAAAAATTCCCAGATTTTGCAATAGACATAAACCTACAGGTTCAAGAAGCTGAACAAACCCTAAATATAATATAAATTAAATGTATCTATATCAAAATACATTTTAGCCAAACTGCTGAAATTAAAAAAAAAGTTCTTGAAAGCAGTGAGAAAGAAATGATATGTTACCCATAGGGGAAAATATTTTAATGACAGAGGATTTCTCATTAGGAAACATAAAGGTGAAAATAAAGCAACATAACATTTTTAAATTGTTAAAAAATAACTGCCAACCCAGAATACTATGTCCAGTGAAAACATCCTCCAAGAATGAAGAGAAAAATCAAAGCATTCTCAAATGAAAGTAAATTAAAAGAATTCTCCTTTTTACTCTAAAAAACATGGCTAAAGAAAGTTTGCTAAACAGAAAATAATCAATAAATGAAGAAATTTTGGAACATCAGAGAAAAAGAAAAATTATGGTAAGAAAAAATGTGGGTAAATACAATAGACTTTCTTTCTTCTCTTGAATCTTCTAAATTCTCTTTAAGAGTTAAAGCAAAAAATCCAACACTTTTTTATATGGTTCTAAATATATAATTAATATATTTAGAACAAGTGTAAATTAAGACAAGTATATTAGAAACTTGGGAGTGTAAAAAGACAGAAGGAGATAAGGTTTTTGTACTTCATTTGAACTGGTAAAATTATAACATCATTGGATTGTAATGTATATATAACTGAATAGCTACAGAAACTACTAAGAAAGCTATGCAAAGCAATGCACTAAAAAATACTTTTGATAAATCAAATTGGAATTCTGATACATGCTCATGTAAAGTAAAAAAGCCAAGAAAGTTAAAATTGCAAAGCAACAAATTAAAGAAAAAATAAAATTGCAGATTTTATTCCTAAAATGTAAATTATTACATTAAATGTAAATATCTAAACCCACCAACTAAAAGCTTAGCAGAGTGAATTAAAAATTATGACCCAACTATATATCACTATTAAGAAGGTCACTTCAAATATAAATATCATGATATGGGTAGATTGAAAATAAAATAAAGAAATATACATCATTTTAACATTAATAAAGATAAAGCAAGAGTGATTATATAAACACCAGACAAATTAGATTTTAAAGCAAAGAAAATTATCAGAAACAGAAAGGGATATTATGTAATGATAAAGGGATTAATAAACCAAGAAGACATTGCAATTCTATATATGTATGTACCACCCAAAAAAGAGTAGCAAAATATGTAAAGCAAAATAAAATAGAACTAAAAATAAATAAAATATATTAGCTGTACATGTTGGGCATATATACCCAAAATATAGTTGGAGACTTAGATACATTTTTCTAAGCATGTGATAGAATGATTAGGCAGAAAACTAACAAAGACGCAGAGGAAACTCAAAAACCATCAGCCAACAAGATTTACACTTTTAGACCCCTCATCTCAAAAGCAGAATACACACTCTTTTTAAGAGCTCAGGAAACATATGTCAAATTAGACTATATATTGTGCCATTAAACAAAACTCACCAAAAGATAAGAATGGATAACAAATAAGCACATGAAAAGACATACACAACACATTAGACATCTGGAAGAAGCAAATTACAAATACAGTAAGTCACTTCTACACACCTATTAGAATGGCTAAAGTAAAAAATATAGTTGCAATCACAAATACTGAAGAAGGGGTGGAAAAACTGGATCACTTTTACATTGTTGAAAACAAGGTAAAAATGGTACAGCCACTCCAGAAAGTAATTTGACAGTCTTAAAAAAAACTCTGTTTCTCCCTTTCTCTCTCTTTTTACTATAAAACCCAGAAATTGTACTCCTAGGCATTTTTTCCTAGAAAAATACAAACATGTTCACATGAAAATATGTCCACAATGTTTATAGAAATTTTATCCATAATAGCCTCCAAATGGAAAGAACCCAGATATCCTTCAATAGATAGACAGTTAAACAAACTGTGGTACATCTACACTATGGAGCACTATTTGTAAAATAATAAATAAATAAATAATTGATACACATAAAAATCAACCTAGTCTAATCTGTAGACAATTATGGTAAATTTAAAAAGTCAGTCGCCAAAGCTGCATGCAGTGATTCCCTTCATAATGGGGACATTCTTGGAATGTTAACAGTTTTTAAATGGAGAACAGATTAGTGGTTGTCAGGAGTAATAAGGAAAGGGAGAGCTAGGAAGAAAGCAGTAGATGTGGCTAAAAGAGCAACATGAAGAATTCTTATAATGGAAATGTATCTTCACTGTATCAATGTCAATATCCTGGTTGTGATATTGTACTATAGTTATGCAAGATGTTACCATTGGGGTAAATTTAGGAAAGGGTACATGGGGTTTCTCTGTTTTATTTTTTACAATTGCATATAAATCTACAATTACCTCAAAACCAAAAGTTTAATTAAAAAAATTCTTAGGAAAGCTTAACTCCATCAAGTGTTCCCATTGTAGCCTTACATAACATTGAATTTCCACTTCCTAGCAGGTTACAGACTAAACTTACGTAAATCACTATTTGTATAATTATGGCCATCTACAATAGAGTGTAAGCTCTGTGAGGGTAGCAACTGTGTTTACTCTGCTTACCATTCTACTTTTAGTGCTATGCCTGATGCATAGAAGTCCCCCAACAAATATTTATTCATTGCTTACTATCACCTGCCGTCTAATCAAGCTTGTGAAGTCCTTAATTTTATTGTCTTGTTCCTCTGCTCATGCACATCTCCTTGCTCATGCACATCTCCATGCTCATCTGACAGGTAACAGTCAGATTGAGCAATCAGGCACAATGGAAATCGTTCTCTTTCACTGTCCAACAGACAATCTTGTTCCTGCAAGGTACTTCTTCCCACTAAGCTCCCAAATGCAGTTTCAATCTTAGCACCCTTTGCACAAGTTGTTTTCTTTTCTAAAATGACCATAAACCTCCAGCCTATTTATACAAATCCCCTGATCCTTTAAGATTCAGCACAAATTCCACTTCATTCACAAGACAAGCTTCCATTGATTTCTTCCTCAGAGAATTCTGCTACACTATAGTGTAAATTGTCATCAAGGAGTTTCTTTCCCTGTATTCCTGGTTTACCAGCTGTCTGTTTCTTCATGATGACTGTGTGGGAAGTGTACAGATTACTCTGAAGAGAACTCACACGTGAGTGTAATGACACATCATGTCAAACAGCTAAATGTAAAGGAAGCCTTATTCCTAGCTTTTCCAGTCTGAACAAGTTTCAAGCAAGAGAAAACTTTTTGCAGCCTTTGCAAAGATAAGATATGGAAGGAGAATATGGGTGTTATTGGGGAAGGAATAGGACAGATTTGGAGAACAGCCTCTGTAAAGCTTCAGACTCAGTTAATTTGTTCTTTCTTCCCTATTTGTGCAGGGAAGTGGGTAGAAGGATGCTTAATATGTTATCTGATAAATGTTCATCACACCAAGAGAATCTCCTTTGCATCCTGGGAGTAGTTTCTGAAAAAAGGGAATGGTCCCAATTTATAATCTGGAGTTTGACACATGCATGACCTGCAGGGACTTTCAATGATGCCAAGGTTTGGAAGACATAATAGAGGAAAATAGCTACTGCTGTGTAACAAATTTCTCTACAATGTGACCATTTATAAAACAAACATTTATTATTGTAGTTTGTGTAGGTAAAGTGCCCAGCCATGGCCAGACTAGGTACCTCTAGCTCGAAGTCTCTCTTCTTCACTGACTGTTGGCTTGACGTCTTCTTCAGTTTCTTACTACACAGACCTCTCATAAGACTGCCATGCAACATGCACCTGACTTCCCCTAAAGTAAACAGTCAGAGAGGAAGTGATAAAGAGAGGGAGGGAGAGAGAGAGACATTGAAGACTATCTTAGAAACTACCTGTCACATAGGAGAATTATGATGCGTGGCAATGACTCCAAGATTTCTGATAAGCTCAGAGAAGATGATGGACAGGAGCTGTGGCTTGGACCAGATTGCTGCTCATCCGAAGATAGCTAAGGAAAGCAAATAGAGGCTGTGGTTCTTTCATGTGAACTCTGCTATGCCAGAAAGCTGCAGAGGCTGCCCAGCTAAGTGCCGAAGAGCTATCAAGTGTTCTACAAGATAGAGTCTGTTCTATTTGCTGTCAGTACCAGAGGCGATACAGGGTCATAGGAAAACACTGGCTGCCAGAAGCTGCAGAGACATGACAATGAATAAACCATATACAATTTCACATATCCCCAGGAGCAGAAGCAGATGCCCCTTCCTGTCTTGCTTGGAAAAGAAAAAAGTATGGAGAACTGGGGAGGAAGCTTAAAAGGAAAACTTATAATAGTGAACAATGACTGAAAGAATAATACTTGAATTTGATTGACTATTTCCTGAGAGGATCTGTTATTTTATTATTGAGGGTAGAATAAAATTTACTGGTTTGAATTAAATTTACCAGGTTGGTATAAAAATAATTCCCCTTCTGCTGAGCAGGAAAAAAGCATACAAATTTCAGTTATAAAAAAAGTAAAATGAGTTTTTTATCTTTTAAATTAATTTAATGACTGTTCAGTCATAGTACATCACCCTTTGGCATGTAATTGCACTATGCTTAATGATTTATCTGGAGAGGAAGAGAGAAAGAGAGAGAGGTAAATATTCAATAGATATATATAGAGAGGTAAATATTCAATAGACATATAATTGCACTATGCTACTGATTTACCTGGAGAGAGAGAAAGAGAGAGAGAGAGAGAGAGAGAGACAGTGAGAGAGAGAGGTAAATATTCAATAGATATAGAGATGTGTATGTATGTGTGTGTGTGATGTGTGCGTGTCTATGTGTGGTTACATACACACTCTATAGGTCACATATCTATTTATCTGAAGCTTCTATTTCTATTTCAGAGAAATATCTATTTCTCTGAAGCTTCTGGCAGTGAATGTTTTCCTAGTATGTGTGTGTACACAAATATATCCATATGTATATATCTTTACTGTCCAAGTTAAGCTTATGGGAACAGATACTCAAAATAATTTTGCACACTCTTTCTACTCTCTATGGTATGATACATACATACATAGTATGCTCTAGTAAAAGGTTGTGGTCAGAGTAGGGTAAAATTGTATTTGTTTAAAACCTAATGTGATGATATCTTCCCCCCATCATCTCTCCTTAAGGTGGGGCCATCTCTTCTTGGTAATAGTAGTCCCCCTTATCATGGGGATCAGTTTAGGCAAAAAGCTGCTGTATTTACTGGTAACTCATGCAAACTCACAAACGCTAGTAGATGACTCTGTCCTACTGTTTTCACTCTAAAAATTATTTGTTAGTTATCTATTGTTGTGTAAGCAGATTACCCCCAAACTTAGAAGACATTGAGACAACAAATATTTATTATTGTAGTGTCTGCGGGTCAGAAATCAGGCTGTAGCTTACTGAGTGCCTTTGGCTCAAGGTTTCTCATAAGGTTGCATTGAAGCTGTCAGTCAGGGCTACAGGCTCCTATAAAGGGTCATTTACATGTAGAGGGATTGCCTTCTAGTTTCACTCATGTGGTTGCTGGTAAGCCTTAGCTTCTCATCACAGGGCTGCCTTACAACATGGCAGCTAGATCCTCCCAGGTTAAGTGATCTCAGAGTGAGAAAGAGAGAAAGCGGAGAGAGAGAGAGAGAGAGGAGACAGAGAGTGTGTGTGTATATGTGTGTCTGTGTGTGTGTGTGTGTCTGGGTTTGTGTTCTGGAAAGCATGCCCAGAGAGAAGCTATCACATTTTTATAACCAGCTCTCAGAGTGGCATGTATTTCATCAAATTTGCCATATTCTATTCATTAAAAGCAAGGTAATTAGTCCAGCCCACATCTAAGAAGAGAGAATTACATAAGGACATGAATATCAGGATGCAGGGATCACTGGCAACCAACTTAGAGGTTGCCTATGACAAGTTTCCTCCAGGAAGTGATACCCACAAATGCAATAAGTTAGAAAAATTTAATGATAAAAACTTGGATTTACTCTGGTCACAAACACACAACTGGGAGAAAGAATCATCTGATACCATAACCAATTAACCCTGAGTCATTTCCTATGTCGCTTCCTTTGTATTCAACTCAAATTCCTTCTGTCTCCCCCTCTAGGGAAGAGCTTCTTATATTACATGTTGTGTCACCCCCACAACGTTCGTGTGTTTTTTCTCATTGTAATTGCATTAATAAAAGCAACAATAATGACAAATACTTACATAATCCTTCTACAAACCATGTACCATTCTAAGCATTTTACACTCTCGTCTAAACTTTACATGAGAGAGGTAATGTTTATGTACACATTTTACAAATGAAGAAAGTGAGGCACAGAATGTTAAAGGTCTTATTCAACGTCATAGAATTAGGAAGTTTTGGAGCTTGTTTCAGGACCCAAGAAGACTCTTCTAAACCACTGTATTCTTCCATGGCAGAAAGGGAGCCGGCATCTGAAGCAACCTGAAAAGGAAACAGCAGTTTGGTCCCAGCTGGACTTTCTATTCTGGTTGGTTAAATTTAAACAGTGTTTGTGGCTCACTCTTCTTCTTTGGCCACAAGAATAAAATCATTCAACAATCTTCTCATCATTTCTCCCATACTTTAATTCTTCTTCCTAGGGTGACCATCTGCGATTTTGTCTGTCTAGCATCCGTTCCCCTTTCTTCGACTACCATGACCCAATTTTCCTGCTTTCTGTCCCTGTGGTTCGGTGGAGTTGGTGGCAGTCAGCCTTCAAGAATGTGGGCATTCACATTACGGAGAGCCAGGCTGATATTCCACACTCTTGGACAGAGTGATTTATTCAAGGTTGGAAAAGTGACATAAGCCACCTGACATCATTTTGGGAATTTGTGGCAACTAATGCAGAAGAAATACTTCTACCTCCTAGATAGCATAAAGGGGAGCCTAGATCTGCCAATCCACTGTGTATGGAGAAGCTGCCTGAGAATAAACTGAGAAAGAAAAAAAAGAGAGAGTGAAATACAGAGTCCCAAATTATTTGAGGACAAGATAAGGGCTTTATGGGAAACTTCACCTCTAAAGCCATCACATTCTCCTTTATGCCTAAGCTTTTTGGTTAATTTTTGTATCTGGCAATCACAAGTCCTAGAAAATACCTTTACTTAAATTTTTTTCCTAAGTCCAATAATGTAACAGATTCCATTTCTACTAGCATAAAATGCCAAATGCTTCCAGCATTTATAATCATGTAATTATAACTATGGCCCCTCTAACTAAATATATACTAATTATTCAACATGACAAGCATTTTTCTTCCAAAAATCCACTTTTCTTCTCACTAATACTCTTACCAGTCTCTCATCTGTTACACATGCTTTGCTAAATGTCTTATCTTCCTTTACAAAGTCCATCTCTAATTTTTCCCAAATCTTCTCTCTTGACCTCTATCCTCATCAAATTAGTTAATTAATTTTAAAAATAAGGTAAGGAAATCAATCCAGCCTGATTTCTTTGTTCTTATCCCAAAGCACCTACTCCATGCAGAGTAACAGTAACTGCAAGTAACTTTTTGAAAAAATGTATTAACTCCACTTACTGGAACTGATTACTTCTATGTCTGAGATAGTAGAGAAGTAATTGGAGAAAATATTCTCACACAGAAGACATTCCCAAGCTTTACATTCAGGCTCAGTGAATGAGTGTTCTGAGATCTTGATTCAGTCACTCCCATTGCCACTCCTGATGATTAAAGTCCCTCTGTGTCTGTTAGTTTCCTGCTTCAACCAGCAAAGTTCTTGCCTGCAGGTGAGAATTAACTTCTAGGGAAATCATGTTTCTGGGAATCTAGTGAGCCATGTGGAAGTCATGGGCTGAGCATAGGAGAGCCATGTGAATCTAGTGAGCCATGTGGAAGTCATCAGCTGAGCACAGGAGAGAAAAAGAAGAGTTGATATTCTGTTTCACTGTTGATGGCTGCAAAGGATCCTCTCTTTTTTTGTGTATTACTACATGGTTTAATCCCAGCTATGTGCTCATGGTAACTAAATACGTCCTTTTTAAATTCTGTTTTCAATGCCTTGTGTATTCATGCTTTATAATCTGAAACATTTCTTGCAGATGTTTGCACATATCTTCTAACTATAGTTTAGAATAGAAAGTACTTTACTTTTATTTGTCTTTATTAAATAAATATTTTTTAAACTCAATTTATGCTTCTTGCCTTTTTGTTTTCCCCCAGTAAACCTTAGAAACATTTCTACTGCTTGAACTAACATGGTTGAAATTATGTATTCTTACTCTATACATGTCATGATGGTCCTTATGTTGAAAACTCATGCGAAAATATAGTTTATATACTCAACACTCACATTAGACAACCTGAGATACAAACAGTAGCAAGGAAACTCATATACCTAGTGGCGTCTTGCTATCATTGTGCAGCATGAGTCCGTTCTTGTGAATTCACACCCTAACTTCTGTTTAATACCTTGCTGGGCATCCTTCTTTAAAAAAGATATGTTAAAAATCCATAGACACTGCTTAGAAAGAATAAAGAGAAGATTGCCAATAAATATTGAAAAGTATTTCTAAGAAATTCAGAAATGGCTTTTCGATCTTGAAGGAAGTGTTTCATATTTCTGAAAGTTTAAAGTTTGAGAAGTATGAAGCATTCAACAATTAAATATTTTTCCTTTTTATCTGAATACTTTTTTCTGTTTTTAACCTTATGAAAATATATCAATACTTCAGTATAATAGAAATAGTTTGAATTCTTGGACAAAGAAACGCAGATCGCCTAATGCCATGGCATGCACCCACAGTCCCAGCTACTTGAGAGGCTGAGGCAGGAGGATCACTTGAGGTTAGGAATTGCAGGCTCTATTGTGCCATGATCATGCCTGTGAATAGTCACTGCACTACAGCCTTGACAGCAGGGTGAGATTTTGTCTCTAAAAGGGTAGGAAGGAAAGAGAAAAATGAGAGAAGGAAGGAAAGAAGGAAAAAAGGAAGAAAGGAAGGAAGGAAGCAAGAAAGAAAGGAAGGAAATGGAGGGAGGTAGAAGGAAGGATTGATCCTAGATCTAGGTTTGATTGCAGCCTACCATGAATTAGCTGTATGACTTTGTGTCAAATTTCTGAAACTGTCTGAGCCTTCGTTCACTCAACTATAAATGATTGTAATAATATTTATATCTGTTCAAACATTAGCAATAAATATAGCAAATAGCAAGTGTCCAAAAAATGGTAGCTATTACAGTTCTGGATCTTTTAAAATGAATAAATTAATTTGGTTACCACATAAGAGTGTGTACTGCTTAAGAAACGTTTTCACAATTTAAAAATCATATATATATATATATATATGTATATATATATATATACATATATATATATACATATATATATATATATATATATATGATTTCTGCTACAGGTCTGATATGCAGAGAACATGTAACTACTTTATTTTGACTATAGCTAATGTGATCCTGCTAAACTATGTCATGATTTGTCTGAATTGATCCAGAGAGTAGACAAAATATTCCTTGATGGGCTTTACTCTTAAACATTGGTTCTTTTATGAAACTCATGCCCTTGCTTTTGTAATTCAAAACTCCTCTGCATTTTTTTCTCCTTAGCTCTGTCAGTCTTCCTTGCTTCTTCCTTCTTGTCCACTCAACCATTAAATGCTGGCTTTTCAAGATTTGGCTGTCAGCTTATTTTCTTCTCATGATGCACTTTCTTCCAATTTCATGAACTCACTTCACTTTCTCACCTATTTACTGACCATTCCCAATTCAGTTCCTCCAACCCATTTCACTTATCTGGACCCCAGGCCCCTAATGTCTGTACTCAAAAATCAACCTGAGTATTTTCTAGACAACTCAAATGCAGTATGTCCAATAACATAACACATGATTCTTTCCCCCATATCCTCTTGTTCTCCACTTCCAATTTTCCCAGTTTGGAACATTGTATGACTGTGTGCTAATAGTTCTTGTCAGAAAATTCAGAATCATTCTTGACTTGTCTCTGTCTTGCAACACCTACATCCAATCAGTTACCAAGTTGACTTCTCTCTTAATCCAATGCTGTTCTCATGGTAAGATCTGTCATACTCTCTCACATGGGTTATTAGAAAGATTTACCATTCTCTCCAATTGTTTTAAGTAAGTTTTTGTCAGTGAATTTTTGAAAATGAAAGACACATGTGTTTGTGTAGGAGACAAGTAAAATAATAAAAACAAATAATTCTGTTTGCTTTTTCAGAAGAAAATGGCTCCTCAATTTTCTATCTCATGTGGAGGCAACATTTCTGCATCAGATTCAGCCTGTAGGCAAAGGAATGAGGCTTCTTCTACGATCCTTCAGGCTGGCCCTTCCTGAAGTAGCAAAGCATGTGTCATTATAAAACATGATTGTAACTCCTCTTTCAGTGCCACTGATTTTGTCGTGTGGGAAATTTTTGGCAATAAAGTGTCTATCAAGCAATTTTCATGGGATTAGGGCTTTACATTTGTTATGAATCTCAGGAGAGAATTAGGAGAAGACAAATAAATATTAAAAGTAAATTAATGTTTTCAATTTGATTTTATTTAAAAACCTACTGTCCAGATGCAATATTAATCCAAAAGCATATGTCTCCAGTTTCATTAACACTTTATTTTTAGAGTCCCTCTCAAAATTATAAGGAAAGGAAAATTCAGTCAGTAATAGCAAAGAGTTGGCTGGCCAAATTGTCTTCAGGCAGACTGGCTCTTAAATTGAATAGACAAATTTTGTGTTTTAAGAGTGTTGATTGTTAATAATAGCTAATGCCTAAATGGTATTTCCTGCATGTTAGTCACTCTTCTAAGCACTTTATGCACATTAACTTATTTAATAAACTCTATGAGATAAGTACTAGTCTTATTTTAATTTTTCAGAATACGAAATTGAGACACAGAACAGTTTAGAGACTTTACCAAGGTCAAACTGGTAGTACATGACATATCTAAAAATCAGAACCAATCTGCCTAAACTGAGGCCAAACTCTCCCATATAATGCTGAACTGTTAATACCATTTCATTTTCTCTATCTTTCAGCTATTTATACATCACTTTTGCTAAAATTTGGGCTTAAATACATACTTACAAAAACACAAGTGTTTCTAGCAGCAAATTGATTTGACCTGTAGATATTACAATATAAAGTTTACGCTTTTTCATAGACTACAATTATTTCTTTGCAGAACTATGAAAGTTACTCAACACTATTTTTAACATGCCTTACAGATAGCTAGAATATAAAATCTATATCTATATATCTATATCTATGTAAATTATTTTTACTTTAATTGAGACAAATATCAAATCTATAGCATTTTTTTTTCAAATTACTGTAGCGCAAAGAATTTTAATCTTTCCCAGTCTTTAAAATTCTAGCCTTAGAAATAAGGCATAATTGAATCAATGGTCTGAGCTGACAAACAGAAGAAGTATCTTTTTGTCAAGCTGAGGACTGATAACTAAGTCAGGGCTATTAAAATAGCCACATGTTTTATCCAGAAATAAATAAATTGCCTATAGGCCTCTTGAATGTTTTGAATACTAGTGAGTTTTTGAAACTCAAAGGATAAATTGGTTGAAATAGAGAAATATCATCTACAACCTTTACCAATGTTATCCATAAAGGTGAATAACTGTGAATATCTAGACTAATAAGCATTTCTTATATGGAGAATTAAAATTGAATAACAATAAATTAATAATCTGTTAACTGGTTTAAATAGATGATTGAGCACTACAGCCATGGTTTGTTGACTCATCTGTAGGCAAGGTTATATGACCACTCTCAAGCAGTTTAAAGGGAAAAGAATAGGTATTGAGGTTGGCCAGCTTCCTTCTCCTGCAATAAATGCAGATAGACTAGTAGAATAGAATATAAAAAGTGATGTACCAATGACTTGCTTGTAAACCTTGGAGTGAGAATGTAGAAAATTCATATATTTGAAGAATGATCTAAAAGCAGTCCTCAGTCAGGTAAGGCATGACATGACAGCGAAAAGGGGAGCGTCCAGGTGCCTCAAATATTATTATTGAGGCTTTGGGAAGCAGATAATTAATAAAATTTCAAATTATTGAGGCTTTGGAAACCAGATAATTAATACAATTTAATATTATTGAGGCAGTGGAAACCAGATAACTAATAAAAGATAATAAAAGAATAATTAATAAAAGATAATTAATAAAGATTAATGATTAATAAAAGACAAAATAGAAAAAAAAAGTTTGTGTGTTCCATTCCTTTAGATGCCTTAATGAAATGGCTGTAAGAAGTTAAATAATGTTTAATAAATGCAATAATAAAGCAAATTTATTTAAAATTATTTTACAAAGATTAACGCATTATCACTGTAGATCTGACTGATATGATTTCCAAGCCCTGACCTCATTATACATGAGAAAAACTTGTGATCCCTACCTAAGTGACTATTTAAGTTTCAGCACTCATGAAAAGTTTAGGGATTTGATAGTAATGTGAAATATAGTAAAAACCAAACAAACTTCCTAGAGCTTGAGAATGAGGCACACAGAAGCTTGAGTATATAAGAATTCAGGGAAACAAAAACAAGCAAAACAAAACAGAACAGCACTTAGAAGCTATGAAGTCCTCCCCACATTTGCCATTGGTCATTGAGTGCTGCTTACAGTGTAAAGACAGTGAGGAAAAAGAGGCACCATAAAAAAAGAAGAGGAATTAATATAGTGGATACATATTATATAAGAAAGAGAAGTGGTATATCATTTAGAAGTTCTCATCGCTAGTCCTTTACAGTTATTTTACTAATTTGAGTAACTTAAAAAAAATACTATATCAGAAATAAAAATGGAAAATTTGAAATGATCTTAGTAGTTACTAATATTAAAGTTATAAAAATAGTGTTATATCCATGCAGGTATATTAAGTCATCACTATAGGTTAGTCCTTCATTAATTATGCATGATATTCTTTGACAAAGTTCTAGAAAGCCAGAGAAAAAAGTCAAACAATCAATATGAATATTTGAGATTCAGATAAGACATGAATTCAGGTCCTAGCTTCATCATTCTTAGCCTGAGAACTTGAGGAAGTTAATCTCTCTGTGCAACAATTTTCTAATCTGTAATTAAAATAGCGCATCAACTCATAGGTGAGAATTTTACAGAGTATGTGGTACATAGGAAAAATGTTATAGAGTATCTGGTACAACATAATTAGTAGTCATTATTTTCATTACCTTTATTTACCTTAGTCTTAGGTAGGCTTCTGCTATCTTTACCCTTTCCCCTCTTTACACCTACACACTAATAATATCATTTCCTGGTTGGAATTTGGGTCTCCACACTGCACAACTCAAGAAGTGACAGTCACATTGTCTCCTAGGACTTATGCTCCCCTGGCTCTGTGTGACCCCGTGGCCTTACAAATCAGAATGTAAATATTTGCTTGGGGAATTCAGAGAAGTAACTGTCTGATTAGATAATTGTCATACTAATGAGGTTGAGAGGCATTTGATCTTATTTTCCCCACATATAATAATTACAATTGCCTTGCTGGATATATTTGAGACTCTGTTACATTGCTCCCTTCCAGTCTGAAATTTTGCAGAAATAATGTTAGCCTATAATGGCAAATATTTAACCTTTCTCTAGTGCTCAACTTAAACCTCTAGCCCCAAGAAATGAGCATCTCCAGAATACAATTCTCATACTATGCCCACACATGGCCTATGTTTTGGCTCATGCTATTATCAACTGACGTGTCACTTCCATTCCCATGTGATTTTTATTCCTCCTTTACAGTCAGCTATTTAATGAACTATTTCTGAGTTTGCTTATTTTTCCCCTTTCTGATCAGTTTCTGGCAACAGTAAACATCCTTTATTATCCTCAAATAGTTTCATGTGAGTCAAACTGTTCGTTTTCTCACTTTAAGAGACACCAAAGACAAAACCCATTTCAGGAAGACCACAAAAAATCACAATGTACACAAGTTACAGTTATTTTAAAAGTCATTGCTGTGTCAAGACTACCTCCCTGACGTGTCAGAGAAAAATATGTTCTCAATAAGCTCATGGCATTTTGTGTAACAATATGCCGTGGGTTTGTTTGGAAACTAAAAACTCATATCCTTATATTGTTCAAGGTTTCTATGACTCAGAATCCTGGTTTTTGAGCATTGCTTCTTGTGACCACGTAATCCAGGTTTGGAATCTTGGAACCCAACCAAATAATTTTTAATGAGTAAATCAGGTGCATTCTCAAAGAAGTGAAATTGAACTGAATATTATTTAGTGTCAAAATGAGGGAAGAGACTACACACTGATCTAGATAACATGCCTTTCTGGAATTACTGAACTAGATAAATTGCTTTAAAATCTATATCAAAGAAATAGCTTTATCTCTCAAAATTAGCTTTATCTTAACTAGATAATACTTTCAGCATGGACTGCATCAAATACCTCCATATCATCACATGATGAGTAACTTATATGCACTAAATGTATTCGTATAGATTGCCTTTTTAAAGATTATTGGGTAGTTAAATTATAAGCCATGTCTCAGGCTGCTTTATTCGTGGAAGCTTGTTGTATTAGCCAACATAGGCTAGATTATGCTGTGGAAACAAAGAACCCTCATATCTCCTGGATTTATAACAATAAAGGCAAATCCTATTAGAAGTCCATCAAAAGCTGGCTGTGATTCTGACCCATGTTGTATTCACTCCACACAATACCAAGACTACTGGATCAGTCTCTAGCTGGAATGATGCCAATTGTGACAGAGGGCAGGGTGCAGGATGTAGTGCCTGCTGGCCTTAAAGCTTTTGCTGAGAATGGCACATATTATTTCAACTGACATTTCCAGAACCCAAGCAATCATACAGCCCCAGGAAAGTTCAACAAGATAAGGGTGTGTCTTAGATTGGTTTCCCTGGAGTGGACCCTGAGATGAGGATTTCAATGCAAGTCATTTATAAAGGATGAGTTCCCAGGGAGACCATGGTGGACAAAAGAGGACATGGAAGAGAACAAAGCCTGGCAAGGGTGAGATCTGAGGTAGAAGCAAAGGGAAGGTTAAGCTTCAGTTTGACCCCAGGGGGAGACCTCTGGTGCATAGATTACTTCCCACGAAAGGTAAGGAGGCTGGGCTTTCACACTCCTTCACCTCACAATCATTGGTTAGTAGCTGTGGGATAGGCACCCTGGGCTCTCTAAGCTTGTGAGGCCAATATCTCCGGTAGCAAAAACAGTCCACACAAATATAGCATCTGGTGTTGGTCTTTGAAAGCCCCTGAGAGGTGGGCAGGGGGCAGCATTCATAAAGGCAAAATGGGATCTTAAGAGCGCCCAAGGAAGCACAGCACTTTCAGTGTTTGCTAGAAGAAACAAAATCATCCTCTGGAGGAAAGCAAAGGGAAGAGGCACCAAACATGGGTGAACAAAAATACAGTCTACTAGAGTCAGCCTAGAGTCAATAACATTTGCTTCTATTTCTCTGACACGACAAAACAACACAATACTCCTATCCAATCCCTGCTTCAAGTTCAAAGCCCAAGATCTCTGAGTGATGCCTGGGAGTCTCTACAACGTGTCTAGACACTGGAACCAAAAGGAGGATTTGTCTGACCAGTCTCAACAATGTGTATGGGGACACACAAATATGTACACAAACAGATTATACAACTGTGGAATAGACATGGTAGGAATATAGAATATATACAACATATTAAAATATCCAATATAATAGAACATTTGCTATTTGTCTTGTCATTTTTTCCCATTTATGAGTACTCACATGCCCCTTACATTAAATTAAATTAAGTCAAATTAAATTAGTTTAATTGTGGGTACTTTGAGCCTATAAGGCTTTTATGGAAGAGTCATATTTCAACCTCTTTTTCCTGAGCCATTGTTTCCTGAGACATCTGAAAGGTCTTCCTGGGTTCAATATAAGCCATTCATGGGCTTTAGCTCAGGGTGCAATTGGCAGACTCTTGACTTTGTCCTCATCCTAGGCTGTCACTCAAAAGGCCCCTTAGTGTTATCTTGTACTGATTAGATGAGAATCAATAGCAGCGTTCAACCTGGCAAGTCCCTGAATTTCTGAACTCTCAAAATGCTCTTTATTTCTGCTTGTAAACAGGCCAATACTTTTTTTTCTTTTTTTCTGAGATCGCTGCTTTGTTATACAGGTATTACCTTTCTAAAAAAAAAAAAAAAAAAAATCCAATACAAGCTGACTCATGTTACAGGAAGTCTCTTTTCCTACTTTCTTTTTCTTTCGTTCTTCTTTCGTTTTCACCTAAAGGAATAAGCTCATTAGGGACATTGTCTACCTTTCACTATATTGCAAATAATAGGAGATTTTTTACTTCCCAAAATGTTTCCCACAGTGTAATATTAATAACCATTTTTCTAGCTTCAGATAGATAGCAATTTGTTTCACTGTACATAGCCCAGTTTCCAAAATCAGTGCCACCTAATCTAGATTTTGTTGTTGTTGCAACATCCACTTTATTACTGATTTCTGTATTTTCAGGATAAGTAAGTTATGCTGCAGTTACAAAGAAGTCCCAAATCTCAGTAGTTTTCAATAAAAAAGTACATTTATTTTTCATGAGCCTTCGGTTGGCTGAGATTCTGATCCATATTTTCTTTCTCCAAAATATTGACAATGCTTCACTTCAATAACATTCATGTGCCATTGGCTTTACCAAATAGTACAGCCATGCCCGCATTTAATAGGGTAGGGAGACTTAGTCTTCCAGAGGGAGGCACACATGGAGTGCAGGGAGCACCAATTACAGGAGGCAGTACAACAATGTTCCACAGTGACCACATCTCTTAGACCAAAATCCATTTAGCAGCTCAGGATTCACTCATATCTCACAGATCACACTGGGGACATTATTTTAAGAAACAAGTAAGTATGTCTTTAATAGAAATGCCATACACACTTGTGCTTCAGAGGACTCAAAAAAACATATGATGACCATGGATCCCAATTGGCTCTCATAATAAAACTGCCTAGTGGATACATGTGAGCCCAAACCTGCTATCTATATCATGTGTGGCCATTTTTATCATGATGAGTTCCACTCCATTTGATTTTCCATAAAGAAGCCTGCCTTTTCTAGGATGATAGCAAACTCTGTGAGTTACACAGCAGAGCTTTATAGCCGTGGAAACAAGAAAGCCTACCAGGATTGTGCCTTTCCATAAAAGGAAATTTTGAAATATCACCTTTATATTGGTCAGTCCCCTACAAATCCATGTGTCCTCTTTCTGAAATTTCTTCTATAAAGCACTCCACATGCCTATAATCTATCTTTTCAATCACAGTATGCACCTATCACAAATTAGAACCTTTTATAAATTTATATGAAATGGGGATACTATATATGCTCCTGTCTCTTACATGGAAAATGAAATGTCAGAGTCTTTCTTTGTTTTTTTTTTCTTTTTCTCTCAAAATTTTAACAATGTAGAGTTTGACTTGCATGAGTCAGCACCTCACAAGGCTCATTGTATTTGGCATTACTTCCCCAGAAGACCTCAGAAAATTAATATTCAGATGATGAAATTCAAAAAAAAAATCTTTTGGAGCTGCTGTCCCAACCTCATTCGTGTGCTGGATTTCTAAATTTTAATTTAGCCAACAGGGTTCTCACTCTCTGCTTTTCTCTGTGTGATTATCCTTGCCTTTTCAACTTATTTCAACCTTTCTCCGTGTGATTATCCTTGCCTTTTCAACTTACTTCAACCTTTCTCCTATCCAATTATAACTGGTTTCCTATGTCATAGATCTGATGTTTTTAATCTCCAATCCTTTCATTTTTCCTCTACCTCTTCAACTCCATTGTAGATTTCACAAGAAATCTTCAAATATCTGTAGAGAGGGAGATATTCAAGCAGCTCTTGATTCTGGAAAGCAAGCATGAACAGCACAGTGCAATTACTCAGGTTCTGGAAAAAAAGTGAAATTCACAGTGCACAATACCTTTCAAAAGATAAAGTTTAAGGTTGAACTTAAATTCTTAAATTGAGAGAAAGATGGAAATTGTTTTAGTGTATTTTCTTCAACTAAAGACAAAAAAGATTGGAAGTAAGGCAGACAAGTCTCAAAAGTAGAAGCATAACAGGCGAGCTTTCAGACAGAATAGACAAAGGTGCTTGCCAGAGACTTCATTCTTCCCCTCCACAGAAAGGAAATGAGCCCTCAATAAATTATTTTGTCATCAGTAGAATCAAGTGTTGAGATAAAACTGCAGAACAATCTGTAGTTGCCTGATGAAAATGTCCATGTTCTTGGAGTCTCATGTCTGCATTAAACTAAACCTAACATGCTCTGAAACATAGTGATACATAGAAAAACAAATGAACTTGTGTCAAAATCCTGTACCAGCAGCATGTACTCATGTATTTTAATGACTACTTCCCAGTGGAATTTGTCACTCTCAAGTTTATTTTTGAGCATGCAAGCATAATAGTATTAGGATGCAAAAATGATTTGTTGCATACATTTGAAGTTCTTTGCCTTTAATAAAGACATAATCAAAGCCCAACGATTACTGCAAATTATCATGTGATTGATGTTTAATGTCACTGTGTCCTGTCAAAGTTCAGGATAAACTCTACAGATTATTAAAACTCATGATCTTTTATCCATGAATAGGAGAACATTAAAAAATTGAAAGTCTTTACAGAGGTCACATACTGGAAAATGAGCAAGGTTGATGTATTAAACTATTTTAAGAGAAAAAACTGCAACTTTCTAAGAGTATTGAAATGTTGAAGTCACATACTACAGCAGTTGGAATAGATGAGGTTATGTCACCGAGACCATACACGCAATTCTCGGTGTGTTAATATAGTACATGTAACATTTCTTGCTCATGATACGTATCCATCGTGAGTTTACTAAGGGGTGTCTGCATAATTTGCCCTTAGTCAAGAACTCTGTCTGCACAGTTTACTCTTAGTCGAGGAAGAGCGACTGTCTGCAACTTTACTGAGCCCTTGGCAGGACAGGAAAAAAAAAAAAAAAGACAGATTTTGAGGGTCTCAAATTAGCAAACAAATGTTCTGGCACAGCTATCGGAATCAATCACATCACATGAGTCATTCCCTCACCCACGACAAAGGCAGAATTGTAATCCTATGATGTCCCTCAGAGGAGGGAAGCCTGAATTATTTGGCAAACTGTACAAATAAATCCCATACAAATATTTCAGCCACTAACAGACAGAATTTCAGTGGATCAGGTGTTTTTTATTAACTGAATTGGAGCACGTAAATGCTCCCCTTGTTATGAGGAGTAAAAGGTAACAGTTTATTTTTGCCAACTGATTAAACTCCACAATGGATAACATTATATTAGGCAATAGGTAGAAAGCTGCCTTCACTTTGCCATGCTTTTCTGCTTGGTCTTTGTGTCCTTCAATGGCTATGTTGCTCCGTGGTGAGAGGAGAATCCAGGTAAAACATACCAATTCTTTCAGGTTTTTAGAACATCATTTCTTTTATTCTATGCCTCTATGATGAGTTATAAACTGAATCTCAGACACCTCTAAATATTCAGCAGACCTTTACAGAAATTAGGGAATACAAATGAACTCTGAAGAAAGATAACATAATTAAATCCCTAAAATAATTTTACAAATTAATAACCCTAATTGGGTAGCTTACAGGGGGACACCTGGGGCCCTTTTGTTTAATACCCTTGCTCTGGTGAAGAATCTGAAAGCCATGCACTACTTTGTATGGAGCCTTGGAGATCCTTGAAGGTACTATTCACCTTAGTCTCTCACTCCATGATTCATTCAGGCTGACGGCTGCCATCCAGTTCTTTGTGTTAAATAGTTTATTGAAGTTACTTTTTCCTCTCCTCATGGCTTTCTCTTCTGACTCCAAAATGCAGACATTGTGAACGTCCAAAAGTAGACTGAGGGAGAAATCTATGGAGTACGGTGCATTATGAAAATTTTCAGTATTTAGAAAATAGTATGACATAAAATTTGACACCATAATATCACCTTTAGAAATACATAATAAACCTATAAATGCTTATATATATGAATATTTATTATATATTTATTATATAGTGAGTATATAACCAAAGAATGAATAGAAAAATGAACATCTGAAAAAGTAAAACACCAGTGGTCTCACAGCATGCTCAAGGCAAAATAAATAATTTTACTTGAAAGGATTTCAAACTCACTGTTGATGACTGTTATTTACTTCAAGCATGAAAAAATGGCAATTCTAAAACTAAATGTATACTTTTGGCTGTGTTTGGATCTTTTAATTAATCCATTGGTGTCTCTCTAAACAAATTCTAAGATTATAATTTCAAAATAAGTGTCTGAAAATTTAGATAGCTGGAGGAACAATAGTTTTTGTTTTCTACTTTCTGAGTAAGTTTATGTATAAAATTACTTATATATTAGTAGTAGCTTGGCTTTAAGTTTGCCAGTGTTTTTCTTTTGTGTGTGTGTGTGTGTGTGTGTGTGTGTGTAATGTTTATACTTCATTAAGAATTCACAGGGAAAAATAAACATTTCCTACTAGCAATGAGAATTCTACAGAAGTAGTAAGATATCTGCAAATGTTAAATGTCTCCACACTTTCTGAGGGTTTGCAATTTTTTTAAAAAAGCATATTTTTCAAAACCTTAAAACAGTTTTATCTAGGTCACCCCTTCTCCTGGCTAGATGTTAACAGCTAGCCCTGCAGGAGGTATAATATTGAGTAGATGGGCTTGGCAGAGGGAGCTCTTCTTGCTAAAACCTGCAACGTAACACAAAAACTAATGGACTGCACAGAGAGAAGAATAAAACAAAGTTCAAGGTCAATAAACCAGATAAGAAAATGCAAGGGGTTCATGAAAGAATGGAGTGGGAATCAGAAGTTGGTACATATTGAAGGAATAAGAGCCAGGAAAGTGGAAAGTCAGGAAGATGACAGGTGGGAAGAAGCTGAGGGAGTTCCCTCTCTGCTGGTTTCTATTAGCACACAAGAGAAGGACATAGCACGGGAGGAGTAGAAGTAGCAGATGAGACCAAGCTTGCAAACAACCTGCCTTTCAGAAGAGGGCTCTGTTCACTGAAAATTGGCACCTTGATAATCTACAGAACTAAGGACATCAGCATTTATCTTAAATAAAGTATTTATGCAATTTTCCTTCAATGTAGCCACCTAGCATTGTAGGGGTAACCAGTCATCTTTCTGATTGACACAGCCTCTCCTTGGGTGCCCGCTAAGTCTACATTGGTTCATAGATACCAATGCATGTCTGTGGAGATACATAGGGTGCAGCAGTTCTCCATTCAGCTATGAAGAATGGGGATCTTAGCTTCTCTTTACACTCAGCACATAAAAATGCTTTATTTAGTAATGTGGCAGCTTACACACAGGCAGAGAGAAAAGCTAAACCCTCATGAAACTGGGTTAAAAAGTGAGAACTTTTTTCCACTGACAACTAAGTATTATTAATTCTCTTACAGGGCCACTTACTCTCTATGCATATTATGTTACATTATTTCACACTAAAATTACTGCAACATTATCAATTCAAGCAGGATTGAGTATATGAAATATTTATAAGGTTACCACTCATCCAATTTTCAAAGGAATGGCCTATATATAGGGCATGAATATAGTCTCAGAATAGCTTTGGGCTTCTGAGCAGTAGACAAGGTCTCACGAAGCAATGGTGTAATGACTGTCTGTAAAATAAACGTGACCACATAAATTCTAACAGGAGGTAAAAATAATCTGGGACTCCAAAATATATATGTTGAGAGAAACTCAGAAGTTAGGAAATGGGGAAAAGTGATTATTCTGGCGTGATTAATTCCCAAGGCCAATGTGTATACTGGAATGAAGATTGGCCATGCAGTCAGAATATAAACTCAAATTCAGATTCTGCCCCCAAATGTTGCATTAATTTAAACGAAGTAATAAAATTGAGCTTTAGTTTTTTTCAATAAAATGGAATGAAAATACAAACATCCACCTCACAGTGATGTTGCAATGAACACATAAGATTGATAAGCAGTCTGAACACTTTAAGAATGTATAACTTTATTAACACTATCATTATTGCATTTCTCTGCATAAAGCTTTATTTTTTTAAGTTTAATAGCACCACCCATTCAAAAATGTATTCAGTATTTCACAACAAGTTTTAAGTACCTACCATGTCCATGGCTTTATGTTCTTAAATCATATCTGAAGGCTATAGAATGAGACTTCAATAATATGTAAAAAGTGACACTTACAGAAAAAAAAAGAATGCATGTTCTGATATCTGATAGATTTAGACTTAAATTCTGGATATGCCTCACATGATCTGAGGAGAATGTAGGTTAATTGTCCATACATTGTTACCTCAGTTTATTCACATGTAAAAAAGTCAGGAATAAAAGTATCTACTTCCTATGGTTAACATTAGCATTAAATGAATGATCAGGTCAAGTTCTTAGAACAGTGCATAACATGTAACGGCCATTCAATAAATCTTGCTATTGTTGTTTTTATATTACAATTATTTTAAGTTGTATTTTTAAACACAAACTATATCCTTGAGATATATGTATATAAAATACATTAGGAGTCTATACAAATTATGCTTTACTAGAAGAACTTAATTTAAATTCACTACACTTCATATAATACTTCTGAGAAATTTCAAATGTTTTATCCATTTCATTATAAATTGTATTTGTATTACAGAGATTCTCTAAGGATAGTCCCAATATTATTTACATTTTATCTTACATGCAGTCATTCTGTCAGAAAAATAATAATAATAGAGAAAATAATGGGAATTCTCAATTTTATATTTCCAATATTCAATTTCTTTCAAATTAGTCATAATTCACATATTGTTTTCTCTCCTAACATTTCTCAACCCCACCTTCACCCCAATTAGATGTTCACATTAAAAAGATATTGTGTGTCTCAGTTTCCTCTTCCCTGAATTAAGCACAGTGTTTTACAGTCTCACCAGGACAAAACCCCTTATTCAAATAATACAAAGAACATAGACTTTAGAATCTGGCAGACCCTTAATAGATTATTTCTAGAGCCATGACCTTAAGCTACAAATGTACTACTTGGGTCGACAGGTCTGTGAACCTCAAAATATAACCATTATCATGCTCACTCCTCCATGTGATGGTTCTGTTGGAGAGTAGGAAACTAATGAAGATATCCAGCCTCCAGATAGATTAAACAGAAACCTCAACATCACTGAGTCCTGGAGGACCCTGTCCTGACCACTCCTTTAGGAGGTCACTGAGTCCATGCTGAGAAGACTGACCTAGATCATGAGGATGACTTAAGACAAATGGTTTAAAGCTATTTGTTGGCTAAGGAACCCTAGGGTCTCTGGATCACACATACATAGAAGGAAGCTTCTATTATTGGTAAAATCAGCTTTCAGTCACTTAATAAGAATAATAAGTCACCTATACATTTGCATAGACAGTTGACTTCCTTCAAATAGAATTCTCTGATTAATAAGGTAAGTTTACATTTCTGAACAAGAGGAAAAGAAGGTTCTAACAATTCCACATGTTAACATCAAGTCTGATCCACAATTAAGAATTTGTCACAGATAATCCACATGCATAAGATTTATGTGGATAATTATCATTTTTTAAATTCAGTAATTTAATTACTCTGTAATCACCAAGAACTGATATCTACATACCTGAATCTCTCAGATGATAAATAATGATTGGAGATCCAAATGCCATTTAAAAATTATAATTATTTTTAATGAAAATTGGTCTTAAATAATGCAAAAGAATGTGAAAAAAAGAATGTAAGTAAAATTTTACATTTTTTAGTGATCTCATTATTTAGAAAATTGCTATTTTTTTCTTTGTAGTACATTTTTAAATTAAATCGCTCTAATTGATTTTAATTGACAAATAAAAATTGTGTATATTTATGGGGTAGTGTGATGTTTTGATCTATATAAACATTGTGTAGTAAAGCTGGTTAACATATCTATCACTTACCAATTTATCATATTTTTGGTGTAAAAACATTAAATATCTATTCCTTTAATATTTTTGAAATATACATTATTATTACTGTGTTTATAAGACTGTGATCATCTTCATTTTCTTTATCCCTCTTCCCACCCCTAGCATCTGGTAACTGCCTTCCTACCTTCTGTTTCTATGAAGTAAACTATTTAGATTCCACATGTAAGTGAGATCTTTCGTGGCTTATTTCGCTTAGCATAATGTTCTTCAGTCTCATCAGCAAATGAATGAAGAAAATGTCATATGTACACACACACATACACATACATACAAAATGGAATAATATATAGTATTTAAAAAGAAAGAAAATCTGTCTTTTTTTGAGACTGTGTTTTGCTCTTGTTACCCAGGCTGGAATGCAGTGGTGCGATCTCAGCTCACTGAAACCTCCACCTCCTGGGTTTAATTGATTCTCCTGCCGCAGCCTCCTGAGTAGCTGAGATTATGGTCATGCACCACTACGCTCAGCTAATTTTGTATTTTTAGTAGAGATGGAGTTTTGCTATGTTGGTCAGGTTGGTCTCGAGCTCCTGATCTGAGGTGATCCACCCGCCTCAGCCTCCCAAAGTGCTGGGATTACAGGTGTGAGCCACTGCACCTGACAGAAAATCTGTCTTCATAGTACTTTTCTATGTTTATCTTTCAGTTTTAAATGCCTTTTCTTTTTTTTTTTTTTCTTTTTTTTTTTTTGAGACGGAGTCTCGCTCTGTCGCCCAGGCTGGAGTGCAGTGGCGGGATCTCGGCTCACTGCAAGCTCCGCCTCCCGGGTTCACGCCATTCTCCTGCCTCAGCCTCCCAAGTAGCTGGGACTACAGGCGCCCGCCACTACGCCCGGCTAATTTTTTTGTATTTTTAGTAGAGACGGGGTTTCACCGTTTTAGCCGGGATGGTCTCGATCTCTTGACCTCGTGATCCGCCCGCCTCGGCCTCCCAAAGTGCTGGGATTACAGGCGTGAGCCACCGCGCCCGGCCAATGCCTTTTCTTTTGAAGGACTGTTAACTTCTCCCGTCATTGCATCTACTTCTAAAAACTACTTTCCCAACCTTTAGAGGAGTATTTCCTAATATACTGAGAAATTTTGTAAAAACTCAATATGCCTAAATTTTAAAAGGTTCAATAAGCTACTGAATGTACACCCTGAAATATGCTTCATCTCAAGCAGACATTTAAGAACTATTTGGGAAAGTAAAAATTTTTTAAAATTTATACCTCTGCATCTTTTGCCCAAATGTTGAGATCCTTGAAAGTCTAAAATACTGAACATCAAAGTTTTATATCTATATTTCTGCCACATTTAAAAAATCATATCTTGTTTTCAGGGGTGTACTTTTATGATCTAAAATTAGCCCTCTATTTTAAAAGCAGGAACCAGAATCAGGGAACAGAGCTTAAACATCTTAATGAAATTTATGGAGTTAATTATAAAAAGGCCTTAGCTAGCACTTTTAAGCCCATCCCAGTGCTTATAAGGTTCTACTCCAGATATCCTTGGAACATGCTAGGCTACAGAAAAGAGAAACTCTGCACTGAGTATTCCCCAAATTACATTTTATCATTCCATTACATTCTGATGGATTCTTTATAGCAAAGGTATCCAATCTTCTGGCTTTCCTGGGTCACATTGGAAGAATTGTCTCAGGCCACACATGAAATACACTAACACTAATGATAGCAGATGAGCTAAAAAAAAAAATTAGAAAAAAAAAGTCTCGTAATGTTTTCAGAAAATTTACAAACTTGTGTTCAGCCTTATTCAAAACCATCCTGGGCCACATGCGGCCCATGGGCCACAGGTTGGACAAGCTTGCTTTATAGATTCTCTGCCACAGCACCTGCATTATGACACAGCATTGCTGAGAGCCCAGGATTCTGACCTCTGCCTTGGTACCCTGGACTGAATCAAAATGTCTTCCGTAACTGTAATCTATTAACCCCATTGCATTCTCCCTCTTGATATAGTTCTAGAATCCCCCATATATTTGAGCTTCCCTCCTAGACTCTAATTCCAGATAAGGCCTTACCCCTGGAGTGGAAAGGAATAGGATAGAACTTTTCCACTATTATTTTACTGCTATGTGGCCTCTCTAGACAAATGTCTGCACTTGGTTTTGAGAGGCTAGCACAGCTCAAATAATTATAAGGAAGTGAACTAAAAATGAAAATCTGGTCATAGGCTTAAGAAATAGGCCAAGTTTGAAGTGAATCTGAATTCTATAAATAGTTAAGAATAAAATGTAAGCATCATGATATAGACTTCTGGGATTATTAGTCCATGGCTTTTGGAGTTCTCCAACATTTTGGGTTCAAGTATTAAGGCAATATTTTATAAAGTTTTGCAAAATCTTAAGCACAGATTGAAAAACACGCAGTCTTACTGGCTTGTCAATGTTACCTCAAGCAAATTATTTTCAATAGTCAATTGCACTCAAAAGGCCAGGGTAGAAATCTAAAACAAGTCCAGGGTTGTGCATAGATAAACTAGAATTTACAAATAGTAAATTCCGAGACAAACAATATCATGCCAAAGTGTAATGTGCTGCTTTCATTTTGGTACGTTCTTTTCTTACGTGGTGGAAGATTTATTTGCTACTCCTGTGCTTTGCTTGACTTGGGTTGTATAAACCACATGAGAAACACAAATTATCTACTAAAGGTATAAACATCCCCCTCACACAAGCACACACACACTGATAAAAACTGAAATAATTTTTTGAAGAGACCTTCATCCCTCATAAGCATGTTTTATGTAAACAATCAAGGAAAACATATGAGCTTGATTGAGTTCTTCAGAAAAAGTTTTAGTTCAGCCTGCTTGCTAATGATCTTAAATTAAGGTCTACAGTGCTGCTTTCAATTGTGAAACATGTTTTCTTTGTTCTCTCCCTAACCCACTTCCCATCCCCAATTTCACAGAAAAGTTTTCTCACAGGAAGAACCAATTTATGCAGAACCAAACAGGAAACAGGCCCCTTGTCATCTCCCCTTTGTGACTATGTTAATAAACAATCTGTAAAACTAATCTGCCTTCAAATTATTCTGACAGTTTGGAGACTGACAACCAGCTGTCAATTCCACAGCTTCCCCTTCTCACTCCCTTGGATGCTCCGAAAGAGGAGATAGAATCTTGCTTGGTCACAACTTGAGATATTTTTATATCTACAATCTTACACATCCTTAATAAAGTGCTAAAGTTACCATGATATTTAAGATAGGCAAATTATATGGATTAAAAAGGACAGCTCAAGTCTCTCAAATAAATGTTAAAAAGAAAATTGGCCAGGCGCGGTGGCTCATGCCTGTAATCCCAGCACTTTGGGAGGCTGAGGTGGGCGGATCACAAGGTCAGGAGATCAAAACCATCCTGGCTAACATGGTGAAACCCTGTCTCTACTGAAAATACAAAAAATTAGCCGGGCGTGGTGGCGGGCACCTGTAGTCCCAGCTACCCGGGAGGCTGAGGCAGAAGAATGGCGTGAACCTGGGAGGCAGAGCTGGCAGTGAGCCGAGATTGCACGACTGCACTCCAGCCTGGGTGACAGAGCGAGACTCTATCTCAAAAAAAAAAAAAAAAAAAAAGAAAGAAGGAAAACTGACTTGAAAGCATTGCAATATGAGGCCAAATAGCAAAAGAAACAGTTGGAATTGGTATGTAGACATTTCTACTGATATCTTGTATGATAACACAAATATTTTAAGCTTAGCAAAATGAAGAAGTGACTTGTAAGGGATATTGGAAAAGAAAACTTCAGTAAGAATAGGATATGATAGCTGACATTAATACATATCAATTTCTATTCCCCATCAAATCTAATCTTCTCTGAAGATTTCTATTCCTAAATATGAAGATCAAAACAAGCAGCCTGAAGCTACTAAAGTTAATTAGTGTATACACATTAACCTTTTGTAAAAACTGAAAACACAGGTCTGAATTTTTTTTCCTTACATAAAGGCTGATTGTCTACATCATACTTTAAAAAGAGAAAGGAAAAACTGGGTGTTTAATATTGTCAAGTGGATTTATTTTACAAAGAATAGAGAATCTGTTTCTAAATAGAATATTCACAGAGTCAAAATATTTAGCCATGGTCAATAGCAGTTATGTCTGCAGATTCCAGATGGCTGCCTCCAAAGTGGCGTGTACATTCACAGGAATGGGTGCACATTTGGGGTATGAGAAGAAATATTAGAAATCCCTTTTCTATTTTTTCCTAAATATAAAGAAGGAATTAAGATTTTATTCTAATTTTCTTAATGTATTGACTTGATGACCTTGCCATATCTGTATGTCAGAAATTCACTTCCTCCACTTCTCGATGGAAAGAGGGCTCAGCGGAGCATATAGATATTGGCAGTTCCCACCACACTCCATCATACTCCTCCAGTGCCATATGGCAAATTGCAATGTATATATGACAGCTTATGTGGATTTAAATTCAACCAACCCAAATATTGGTATCCTTACAAGACTTTGTAATAAGAAAAGAAGTAATTAGGTAAAGTTATGTCAGGCAACATTTCAAATTTAGTGGTGGTGAGTAACATAATACCAAGCAGATATTTTGGAAAAAAATGAACACAATCTGCCCCTTCAAGGTAAGAGAATATCATGAAAACTTGAGCATTTTATTAAGGATGTGTAAGATTATAGGTCCAAAAATATCTCAAGTTGTGACCAGACAACTTGTGTTTTAAAATTATGAGAAAGTAATAGTCTTTCAGAAAATATCCATGAGCACTTTGAAAATAGTTGCTTGGAGATGTTTGTCTAGTTAGGTAATTATATTCCAAAATTTACCTAAGAGTTTCATCTGTGTACTGTACTTATAAATATGAAGTTACTAAAAAGTAGAGTTTTTAACTGTTTTAACATTCCAAATGAGGAATTTCAGGAGGTTTAATTCGTTTGCTAAGAAATATAATTATTTAACCCTTTCTAAGTTGTTTGAAATAACAATTGATAGACATTAGGAAAGATTGAAATTAACAAGCTAAATTTCAAAAAAATTATTTGCATAATTGCTCAGATAGATGAAAGTTTAAAATATGTATAATGATGGGGCAAGTGTAGTTGGTGATCTCGTATTTGGATTATTGTGTCTTTGTAAGGTTATCTCTAGCTATGAGAGCCATGAAAATCAAATGACTTAGATTAACTTACAATCAGCAATTTTATCCTAATGTATTTCACCACTATTTTTCAGAAAAACAAAATGGATTAAATAATATTGCTAACACTAAAAGTCACAGTTATTAGTTATTAGTAGTGTTTTACTGTAAAAAGTTTAACAGTGATAAATAGAATATATATATAAAATGTTGAATATTGCTTATTTCAACTCACTTTAACATTTCTAATTTGGAGTATGTTTTATGCATATAATAATGAGATGGGAAAATTTCTTTTGTCCTCCCCGCATGGGGGTGTGGCTCACTTCTTTGGTTCCCTGTTGCTCAAAAACCCTTGGGGGAGCAGGCAGATGAGCGGGTTGTGGGGCTCCGACCCCACAGCAGTGCCTATGGGTGAATGTTTACAGCTCCTGAGGCCCCAGTGCACATGTGTTACAGGGTACTCTTTTAGTTAAGCCATCCGTAGGCGGCTTGTGTTAATCAGCTCAATTATACCCACTGCCTCATTGCGAGGACAGAGGGTTTTCTGTATCCCGGGGTTTCTTGCCTTGGTGTACGGAAAGAATTGGATCACACATGGGTTTGGAGAATGAGTGCAAGGTTTTATTGAGTGAAAGTAGCTCTTAGCAGATGGGGGAGCCAGAAGGGAGATGGAGTGGGAAGGTGGATTTTCCCTAGAGTCAGGCGGCCTGGACTCTCCTCCCACCGCCCCAGCCAAACTCCACGTTGTTCTGCCGGTCGATGGCCTGCTGGCCTGCCGGCGTCTGTTGATGTGCTCTTACGCTGCAGTGTGCCTCTTGACGTCTAGCTGCTTGTGTCTTCTTCCACCAATGTGTTCCTCTCAAAGTTCAGCCACTTGTGACCCCGCCTACTAGGGTCTCTGGGATTTTATAAGTACAGAATAGGGGCGTGACAGGCCAGGGTGGTCCGGGAAATACCTGTTCTCACCTAGGTCTGTGGGCACAGGCCTGGGGGTGGAGCCGTAGCCAGGGACCACGCCCTCCTCTACCCAGCACTTCTCTGCTCCCCTCCCATATCAATAATACTAGCAGAATACCTATGCCTTTAAAATAAATATGCATGCATATATTAAAGGCTCAAAACATTTTAATAATGAAGCACAGTATCACAAATGTTTGGCTATCACTTCCTTCAGAATTCCATTATGCAGCCATCTGCACATATAGATTTGAGAATACATTATATAGCTAAAATAAAAAATGCCATTCTGAAACACTGGAAAATAATATTGAGCTACTATAAATAAATTTCTATCGGGTAGTTTTTGTAATATTTAGGGAAAAATAATAAATTTTGAGAGAACAGTTCTTCTCACATCAGGTAAGTCTGTTATGTACCATTTATTTATTAACTCATTCAACAGATATTTATGGTGCATCTACATGTGGAAGACACTGTTCTGGAACCTAAGGATATCACAATGAACAAAACAGAGCTTCTGCTCTTATAAAGCTTATATTTTAGAAGCAGGAGATCCAGACCCAAAGGTAGGAACACAAATGTCAAATAAATACAGGGCTGATATTCCACTGGGATGGGCTAGAATAGCTGTACAGAGTCTGAACTACTAAAATATTTCTGTTTCACATGATAAGTAGTCCCTTAAGTATACCTCTTTTGCTGTGGCCTCCACAGACACTCCCTAGGGATTCCCTAGACTTCCTCTAGATCTAAGATCTAGAAGATTAGTGTCTGGCTCAATAGGAACTTGGCAGGCACCTGCCCTGACTAGCGGTCCTGGCATCCCCATGCTGATTGTTACATATTTTGACTTTTACTCCCAGGTTAATATTTACAGAGGGGTAACATTATATAAAAGGAGAGCAGAATAAGGGGTAGATAATAAAGTGGCAAAGATGTTTTTGTGAACAGGGCCATCAGGAAGGAGTATAGGCCAAGAGCTAAAGGAAGAGAGAGGAGTGAGCACATGTGTATGTGAGTGGTGAAAGGCGACAGAGAGAAATCTCAAAGGCCTAGAGATTCAAAAGTGAACACTCAATGGTATTCACAGAAAGCACTTTGTCAAAATAATGTCAATTTTACAAAAGTAATCAGAAATTTGGGTTCAGATATTAAACGAATTACAAATATTTCCACTTATCAGTCAAGCCTAATCCAAACAATGCTTTTATATAGAACTTTCAATATCACTCCTGAGTAGACCTAGTATTATTTTTTTTTTAGTTTCTAGAACCCTGAATTCAAATTCAGAAGACTTAGGCTCTCTTTTACAATAAGATCTGATATTTTTCTATTGTCTCTCTTGCATAGTTTTGTCTTCAGTAAAAAACACGAATATTTACAATTATTCCAATATTTGTGCTTTTCTTCCATTTATTCAACCAACAGATATTGAGAACTCACAACTATGAGCTGGGGATATCAAAGATCCCTGCTTTCTAGGAGTTTACTATATAGTTGGGGACATAGTCACATAAATGGGCGAAACACTGTAAAATGTGATAAATCTAAAATGCATGTTTAGAACACTTACTAGTGCTGAATTTTCTCCTATTCTTTAGCAAAATTAAAGAATTTTTATGATCACTTTTCATCATTTTCATTAGAAGATGAAATGCACCAATGATGAGATGCACCAACCTCATATTTTATTATTTTAAAGCTACCTTGAACATAAAATCAAACCACTCATAGAGTTAATGAGGAAAAAAGAGAGAGACCTGGTTGAAATGCCTGAAGTTTGTAACCCTGATTTGATTAATATATTTTTTCACTTTCAGAAGACATAGACATAATGAAATTATAGTGCATATACTCTTATCAAGCATAGTGATCAGAAATGCACCAAACTTCTCAATGATCACACTGATTTTACCTATGGCCATTGGCACTATGCACTGGTTGAAAAGTCTTTGTTTTCTCCCTTTCTTTCTCTTTTTTTCTCTAATGGTCCTATCTTCTAATGTAATAGAATCCATTTACCAGTGCACTGTAAAGCAGAGAAACAAGGAGGTTTGAACAATTTTTACCACATCCATCATAATCTTGAATATTTGCAGAGTCACACACAGCACTCTTGTTTCATGCCAGTTCTATGCTTGAGACACAATTACATGAGTTTTACTATTTCCTTGGCATCATTTGTACTTTACTTTTATCAAAGCCTCTTGATCCCCAGAGCTTCAATTTTCTCTCTGGCTTAGGAAGCAGGGAAAAAAAATACAGTTCCTATAGAGTAAAAAAGTGGTTGCTACATAGTGCTCCCCCATAGGCTCTGTCCTAATGCTACGTATTAGAAAAATCACTATTTTGTTTGCCTTTGGCTGGAGAGAGAAAAGGGAGAAAAGAAATATATGATTTTTAAATATTTTTAATTGATATATCATAGTTGTACATATTTTGGGAGTATGTATGATACTAGAAGTAAATTTGGGTTGCCCCTGTGAAGTTGTCACAGAATTCTGTAGACACACAGTCTTTACGATAAACACAAAATGCTAGAATTTTAACATTAGCTAGCTGTTTTTAAAAATTCCCCTATAAACACTTGGAGTACAGGAAAATGATACTAAAATACAGAGGGAAAAGATAAAAATGGTCGTATCAAGTCACTGAAAACATCTCATACCTACAGAATCTCTACAGACTAAGCCAACAAATGTGATGACCTGGAATTTCCTACCTCAATTCTTAATGACGGCATTCCAGCTACAGGTTCTCCGTAGTAACCAAAGACAAAGAAGAAAAACAAAAACAAAACCAAAATTGCATCTTGTCTATACTAAGTTTAAATAACACACTATATGCAAGAGAAGAACATTTAATCACAAATTACCAGTGGCCTGATGTTGACCTGCATTCTCTGTAATTGCTGTTGTTTCAAAAGTATTAGATGAAAATATACAAACTGAAGGACACAACATTCTAGTAAATCACCAGCAAGCTGTCACATATTCCTTCATGAAAAAAATGTAGCTGTGTGTACCATATTGTTCAAAAACAATATTGGTTGAAAATTAAGATACATAGATTCTTCTCTGGGTTCTCTCACTTAGGTTCTCTGAGTTTCAGTTCATTTGGTTGAAAATGGTGATAATGAGTCGATATTCACAAGATTATTTTGAGGGTTAAATGAAATAACATCATAAGTAAAATATAGAGAACTAAATAACTATTAATATAGGATCATTACAATGAATACATTATTGGCATCCTTCTTCAAATATTGTTTTTATTTTTTCAACCTCTATGTCCACAATAATTCCCAAACCACCCGCTGAATAATGCTCCTCTGAAGCAGAATACCCTAGAAATGGGATTATCAAAGTGTGGTGCTGGACTGGCAGCATCATCTGGGACCATGTTAGAAATGTAATCTTGAAGGCCCTACCTCAGACCTGCCGAATCAGATACTCAGGACGGAGCCAGGACATTTGAATTTTAACGTGCTCCCATGGGCATTCCAATGCACACTCCAGTTTGAGAACCACTGAGCTGGTTGACAGAAAGTAAGTGTGTTTATCTTACATGCCATCCTGGTGATTATTTATCTGACTTTATGTCGTGCCATCTTGAGGCAGTAAATAATCAGAAATGATACTCCAAGTACCAGGCCTCTAGATATCATTCATAAACTTCATCATGGATCCTTTATATTACCAGGGCCATCAGGGTTAGTTACAATTAAAGGGGCCTAATATGCTTAGCTTTACACTTTTTAGAAAACTAAATATAATTGGTCTGTTATGTTGTATAATGGCCAGTGAATACAACTTGCCTTATAATATATAATTTTAGAATTTAGTTCAGTAATGTTTTCTAATCTGAATCATTGGTCTGTTTTCATTGACCATATGTGAATAATCTATAATATATTGTTATTTGTTGTGGTTCCCAGGAAATTCAAAATTAAATTTAACATGCATTGAAATGTAAAAGAAGGGACTTCAATTATATTTTATAATCAGTCATTAAATAATCTTTTAAACAAATAAGGAACTTTATATTTCTTGTAAACATTTAGTAAATAAAGTATATAGAAGGGCTCTATTATATATGTTTTATATGTAAAACATATATAATATGTTGATATGTTTTATATGTAAAACATATATAATATGTTGATATGTTTTACATGTAAAACATATATAATATGTTGATATGTTTTATATGTAAAACATATATATGTGCGTATATATATTTATATACTAATATATCTACACATGTACTAATATACTTATATCTAGTTATACATATATACACAAAGGGAAAAAAGTAAAGATTATAGAATAATTTTAATATGGAATGAATCTTACTGAACATTCTCCTTTCATTGATTCATTTTTATTTATTCAAATTCACCTATAAGATTTTAAACATAAAATGTAGAAGACCTGTTTCTGGTGTCCTGTGCCAGGTGGAAGTCAATCCACTTGAACCTTGGTTTACCATGGTGATTCCACAGCACTCAGAAACTTCGCTGTTAGAAGAACCATTAGGACAGCCTTTAAGAGCTTACTTTCTCTAAAAGGGCTTTTTATCATGATGAGCACTCTTCTGAAAGGTAAGACCTAACATGATGCTTTAGAGCTCTTCTCTGGCATAGCAATGTGTCCTTCCATAACACTGACAACAGCAACTTGAAGGAAGCTGACCACAACTATATTGTGTACCTAGAACAGAGACCAGGATGCACAAAAATTTAAACGATGAAAGCTGGCATCTTAAAGTATTTTTAATGAGCACAGAGAAGTCTTTTTAACACAAAGAATATTTTACCTCCTGGGACGATATTCAATCTCTGATACATCTTCCTTTCCCCTGACTTTGGTGTGGCCTTAGACTTCTTATATGGGCATAAGGTACCAAGAGAGTGAGCGGATTTGAAGATGGAGCATTTACAACATTTAGGAGCAAAATAAAAGGCCAGAGGTGTTGTCACTTCATTTGAGGCAAAAAATTAACAGGGGACTTATTAAAGCTATTCTGCAGTATAAAAATATAAAGTAATTTAAAAGTGGATAAAGACAATGTTTTTTTAATAATATATTTAACAGGAAACAAAAGCAAAATGAGATAGAATCTGTTTGCTTTAAGGAAGTAAAGGCAGATATGTTTTCTATGAAAAGGAAGTGAAATGCTTGAAAATGAAAATAAAATAGGGGTTGGAAAAGTTTAAGAGAAGTGGAAAAATGTCATAACAGAATTTTGAATGATATTTGAAATAGGAATGAAAACATTGACCATAATTTAAAAAACACAAATCTGTAATGTAGGAAAGATATTTAAGAAGATTTTCTGGGATGCAGAGAAAGAGACCTAACATCCAGATGATCTATACTCCTGAATAAAATACAGAATGAATGGAAACAAACTAACAGTGAAAAGAGAAAAGAATAAAAATTTCCTGGGCAGAAAAGATATCTGAGAATACAGGTCAAGGAAGCATAATATATATTCTTGACAAAATTAGGTAAAAGACAACAATATAAGATATAAATGCTGATAAAAGAACTATCAGGCTTCCTTCAAGGAAGGTTTAGTCACAAGTAGGATCATAGCAGAATTGTGATAATGAATAACAACTATAGGGTGAAATACATTAACTGAAATGAAAACATCTTCATAATAGTTTGTCAAGTGACCACGGTAAATAGCAAAACAGATTGTACCATATCATGTCATTTTTACAACTTATGTATGCATACAAGAGAAAGTTAATAGCAACTATCTATTGTGATGTGTAATGAGAGTACATTTTCCTTATTTTTTCGTGTCTACATTTACTAAGTATATAGCGCTCTCTCTCTCTCTCTCTATATATATATATATAGTGTTTCTAAATAAAAGAAAAAATAATATATTAAATAGTGAGTCTGTCTATTGTGCAAAATTACCTCATATAGGGAAAAACTATTTCAAGCTGAGTGAGAACTGATAAAGGCTGTAGGGAAGTGAAATGATTTAGAAATGTGGTTGGGTTAGAAATATAGCTTTGTAGCTATTATGGAGAGGAAAACCATTGGCTGGCGCTGATGTCCCTTGAACTCATGTCTGTTATTTTTTTCTTCTCTTCAGTTTGTTGTTGTTATGGTCTATATCTCATCCAATAAAATAAAGGAACAGAGTATTATTAGTTAAATAAAGAAAACTTGAATTAAATATAACAATTTAATTTACTAAAACCTTAATTTATTGCAAAAAGTACTTAGCCTGTAAAATAATCTGCTTAATATGTACATAAATATAGACTAAATGTACATAAATATAGTGTGGACCCAACTAAACATTATTTCACAGAGAACAACAAACTTAAACACTGCTTATGAGGCACATCAATTACTTGCCTTGACATTTTGCAATGAAATATCTTTACCTGATATTTATTTGAATGGTAGAAATTTATATTTAAAGGCCTTTGCAAATATCATCCCAAAACATTTATACCATGTCACATTTCACGTGACTTACTAATTTTATTTTAGGTACAAGTACACTTAGAAAGCCAACAGGCCAAAGGAAACTTTAAAGCTAGGGTGAAAAAAGAGATCTTTGTGTATTCGGAAACAGAGATCCCTGTGGATCCTGCAAACGATCACTGCAGCCCTAAGTTACACAGTTTCACAATCTTTCTGTTTGGCTTGTGACATCATAATGAAAAAAGTTAATGTCAAGATAACTTCAGCATCAACTTCTGGCCTACAAAATCAAGAAGTCTAGAAAACAAATGATTACATTAAATTTCAAATTTTGAAGTTTTCCAATGTGATGAAGACATAGAATAAAACTCAGAAGCTCTTTATTTGCTTATTTCTTGGAGCAAATTCAATTATTAAAGACGACTGACACATTGAGCAGTTCCTGAAAGAGTTGTTTAATTTGGAAATGCAATGAAACTTTTAGCAGGGATCTAGGGGAATTTAATTTCTTTCGAATATTAAACATTCATTTTTTAAATCAGGTACTTTTTCATTGATACAATCTAAAGCATTCGTCTGAAAAATTATCATATTATTCATTCTGAGAGCCTAGATTTTCACTTTCATTTTTAGTGTTCCTTTTCCCTCTTTACCCATTAAATTGTTACTGAGTAATTTAGTAAATGAGGAGAAACAATTTTCTAACTAAAAAGTTATGGACTGAGTTATATTCTCTTTATATAATTCATCCATCACCTTGTAATGAGCATTCAGACTTCAAATGAAATAAAGTCTAGTTATTTAGTGTGTATATTTCAAATTTCAATGTGAAACTGAAAATAGAGTTACTCAATATGCAATCCTTAAATCATTGAATATATTTTATTTTCTCAACAAATATTTAGTAACCACCTGGTGAAACACAATATCACATTTGATCTGATCTTCAGCATGTTTGAATTTTGCCAGATTTTTCTATATGTATCTGAGAAAGATTATTGAAATACATACAGAGTATTAACTATTTGGATTATGTAACTACAAGTACTTATATTAACCTCTAAAGTGAAAGAAAAAATAATCTTTCTCACATAATTGTTCTGTATTTTTTGACTGCATTAGTCTTCTGTTGCAGAGATGAATCACGTCTTACAGGTATATCAAGAGGAGGAGAACAGAGTAGTTAAAGCAATGAGAATCGCCACCATTCATATATTTACACTCATCAGCAACCAGGACAGTTGTAAATGTAAGTCAACACTAGAAACCCTCAGATACCCATTTATACATTTATGTAATCACATTAAACCTCAAACCTCTTTTTTTCTTTGTTCTTTTGACTGATATCAATATTACCACTAACTTCAAGGTTCTAAAATGGGTTGTATTGTATTAAGCCATATAAAGGAAAAAGGTGAGACAGCTATTCACATCTAACTGCAAGTACAATCAAGTAAATTAAGAATCCAAAACATCTTTAAAAAGTCATAATTTAGAAAAATATAAATTTATATTTACATATGTCTAAAGACCCCATCAAGAAAGTAGGCTAGATGCCAGTAGAAAATTTTGAAAAACAAATGAATAAACAAAATATCACTATGTATAGAGATATTCACAGGATGAAATATGATGATGCACACAAAATACTATACAATTATGAAGTATTATTTTTTCTTATCCCACAAAATTATAAAGTATCATTTTTGGTTATCATGATAATTCAAGAACTATATGACAATTCTGTGACTTGTCTATTTACTATATTCTTGGAGTAGTAGTAGTACCTTGAAAAGCACAGAATTGCAACTTTGCTTGAATTGAGAATCTGAAAATAAGAGTTTGCTAGGAGTTGTCATAATTAATGGTTAAGTGAATATTAATACTACTGACATACCTGTTGCTCTGAAATGAAGTGTGCTCACATAGGTCACAGAATAGGTATAGTAGGTGTGGCCTTTAATTTCTTCTAAGTGAAAACACATTTAACCCTGCCTGTAAGTCAAAACAAGCTTGAGATTTTGATAAGATAATTTAAAATAGCTGTAAGACAGTTGGTCAATTATTTATTTACTACCAACAATGTGCCAGGCAGAGTTTGATGACAACGATGTTACATTGAACAAGAGAATAGGTAGCTACCCTTAAAAAGATTAGATTTTACTTGGAGAGAGTAGTAGACAATAAAACCAAAAGAGGTAATAAATTTAAACAATTTTACACAGTGATTAGTGCTCTGAAGGTAGTAACTTAGGGTAATGAAAAAGAGTGATTAGAGGAAGTAGAAATGTTTTCTAATGTGGTTAGATTCAGTTTTTAAGCTGAACATGAGAATGAGCTTAGCTTCTTCCCTACTATGGATCCTGTACTTCAAAAATATTCTAAAATATTGAAAGAGGACTCTCAATATGAAAGAATATTAGTAGAATGTTCTGCTAAGAACTATATTTGTTTTTGGACATAGTAAATAAATAAAGTGAAATAATATATAACACCATCCTAACTCTGTACTAAGTACCTTGTAAGGTTGTTTATATATTTTTTGTCTAATCTTTGCCAGAAACATATGAAGTAGATCTTATCATCATCATTTCCCAAAGGAGAAAACAGACGAGAGGGGCAGTGATCTGCCTTGGGCTACACAGGCAAAACTAGTATTTGAACCGGATGTCTGATTGCTAGTATGAACTCTTTCTGGTATTCCACATTCATAATTCTATTTAATGTGCATTATTATACACAATAGTTTGGAGAATGTGTGTGTACTTGACACATAAACATCCTCATTGTCATTTCCTATTCCTTTTCAGTCCCTCAGTTTATTTTGGTAAAAAGAACAATTAAAGGGTTGATACAGAAATTTGTACTTCCAGAATTTCAGGAATTCCTATTAGTTGAATTTTCTCTGGGAATATGTTTTATGTGTATAAAAGAAGAATCTTAAATCTTTTTTGGGAGGGGGCAGTAAACACTGGTGTTACCCTAACCAGGTCCCTTTCCTGGAACAGTGCACCCACGCTGGGGTTGCTATGAATGATGAGCATTCAACTGTATCCCTTCTCGGGAGACTTCCTGGGCAGACTAAAGCTGTCCAGCTTGGAAATGTCTGGGATTTTTCACGTTCTCTCCCCAGGCGGCCCACAGTTAAAAACTGAATGGCATAAGGATACTGAAGGCAAGCCCTGTTGCCTCAAGAGGGAACAACTCTGTGGTGCCCCTCACACTCCAGAGACATCCTGGGATCAGGCTGAGCCTAGAACTCATCTGAAATCACTTACTTGCTTGGTTCCTTTCCCAGCTTTGTATCCTGCTTCCCCCGCTTCCTTACAACTTCTCCTAAGAGAGCTTCTTCAATAAATCACTGGATAAGAATTTCAGTCTCAGGTTCTGTTTCTAGGGAATCCGACCTAAGACATTTATTCAACAAATGTTTATTGAACACTTGCTTTGTGCCAAGTTTTGAGCTAAACTCCAGGGATTCAGATATCAATATACCACAGTTCGTTCTTTCTGGAGTTTGAGTTCTTGGAGGGGATGGGGGGTGGGGGGCCAGTACATGGACAGCTAATAAAATGTGAAAAAAGACCATAACCAACAGACTCTATCAGAAACATGTCACAGGATCAAAGAGAAGAGAACACCTAGCTCTGCATAGAGTGAGGAGAAAGGTGAGACATCATGAAAGACTCCACAAAGAAGACTGCAAGTGATAAAATAGGAGTTCATCAAGTTGATTAGTGTAAGAAAGATTTAAAGGAAAGAGGGGCAGTCCTGTGAAACAGTGGAGTGACACAAAAGAGCAAGGTAAGATGAGGGGAATCTTAAGGAGCTGGGTGAGACTAAATAAGTGTGTGTAGAGAAGACAGTAATGGTTATCTGAAAATCTGTTGTAACAGTCATGGTCTGCTAAAGAGTTTGGATTGTACAGAATATAAATTATTAAAGGTACAAAGGAAAATGCACAAATGATAAAGCTAACACACTTGCAATATGTCTTTTGTGAATATTAGATTGTCTGTTTGAATTTAATTGCTAACTTAAGGCTTACCAGCACTTCCTGAAGTGTAATTGATGGATAAAGTACATTCATATTTCTTAACTCTACAGTGTGACCGGAATTGTATTAGTCATAGGGCTCCTCACATTCTTATTCAGCATTGAATAGGCTGCATTTTCAGAATGTTCTGGCTGGGGGTTGAGCCTTTTACTTCTTTAACATCTGTGTAGACATTAGCTATTGTAGGTCTTTAGCAAGTTGCTTTTACGAAGTTAACACAAATCATGTAGTTGCTAACTAGGCACAGTTCAAATTATCTGTCATGTTTAGTTATTTTTATATTCAACTGTGCATCATTTGACCATATGAATCAGGCAGTGATTTGATTTGCTTATTATGAAGGCTAAAAATAATCCATCTGACCTTCAGTAAACCATTTACTTTAGTCATTAAATTATGGCCATTGTCTCATTGCTGTCTTTCATTTTATATATGAAGCAAGGTCAACACTGGGAAAATCATGAAGTATGTAATATCCTCATTCTCCTCCCTGCTTCCAGTAGTCTCTAAAAAGACTTTGAGCTATTCCAAAATATTCCATTTTTCTCTACATTCATCCAAATACTATCCCCAGGCTTCACGAGCAGCAGAAGAAAAGCTGTGAAATTGACACCGGTGTATGATAGGTAGATCCTGGGTTTATTTTCTCAGTGGGAGGTGAGGTGGGTATGGTACAGTAAGTCTCAGAATTCTCTAAGAGAGTAAGAAGCTTACATGATCTGTTTCCCATTTGAGACCAAAAGAAAAGTTCCACATTTACTTGTATATGGTAAAGCTACAGTGACTACCATGTGATAAGTGTTGAGTCATTTAGTTAACAAAATCTTTCAAAACACAAAGTCCATAAAACAAAAGGGAAAAACATAGAAGTGGTAAAAAAAAAAAAAAAAAAAAAAAGAAGTTGTAAAAAGACTTGTATAATGGAAAGAACATTATCCTAGTAGTATGAAGAATGGGAGTCTTATCCCACTAAGTCATTTATCAGATTTGTGACTTTATGTAAGTCACACAATGTCTCCAAACCTCATTTTGTGTCTTCCTCATGGATAGCATGAAGATCTACCCATCTATGCTGACCCATTGAGTTTGTACCTGGTCCACTGAGTTATTATAAGGATTAAAGGAACTCAAGTGAATTTATTTTGTATACTGGAAAACACAAGAAAAATTTTATGATCTGTGTAAGATTGTTGTCTTAGTCAGTTTTGACTGCAGTAACAAGACACCACTGACTTCATGACTTAAATATCAAACATTTATTTCTCACAGTTTTGGAGTCTGGAAGACCCAGATCATGGTGCCAATATGGTTGAGTTCTTGGCAAGGGCCCTCCTCTTGGTTTACAGATGGCCAATTTCTCATAGTATTTTTATATGGCTGAGAGATAGTTCTGGTCTCTTCTCCACTTACAGGGACATGAATCCCTTTCTTGAGGGTTTCCCCTTAATGGCCTAATTAGCTCCCAAAGGCCCCACCTCCAAATACCATCACATTAGAGGTTTACCTTCAACATATGAATTTGGGGTGGACAGAAACATTCAGTCCATAGCAGTTGTAAACTTTGGCTATGGTTCTCACTTAAAGATGGTTCTTGTAGCTGACAGTGAAGCTATCTGCTATCCTGGCTACACTCTGCTATGTCTTGGGTGATCACATTGTCCATTAGAATCATAGGTCAGCCCAGTGGAGGTTTATGAGGATCAATGTTTAAGTTGTTTAAAAACCTCTTGTCTATCTGTACAAAGAATCCCCATATTTAAAATGTTCACCAGGAGTATACATCCAATTTTTCTTTTTCCAACATTTATTTAAAGTGGCAGTGATGTATAATTCACATAAACAGCCACATGTTTTTTTGGTGAAATGGTGAGTCAACTTTAATATTCCACTCTTCTGTGCTTTCAAATTTATCAGTATACCCAGAGGAAAAATGATAAGTAAAGCCTGTCCATATGTAGTTCTTACAACAGAAAGTGAATGTTTTCTTCCGGTTAATATCAAGCACAAGTGTCTGAATCATCCTCATGCAGTTATTCTCTCTGAGTGTCAGATATTAGAGGATTTTAATGCATCTCTCCTTCTGGCGTCTGTCTGTTTTATGTGATTCCAGATATCCTACTGACTTTTTTTGTTGTTTTGACAAGAGGAATAAAATGCACTTTATGACCAAATTCATGTATGTTTTGGACTGCTTCACTCAGAGATGCTTGGGGGAACTTAAGAGAGCTTTTATAGAGTTTAATACAGAAAATAAAGCTGAGAAAGTAAGCACTGAAAATAAATTACCTTGAAAATGGTGTAAATCCTTTTTATCTGTCTGTCTATATTTAATTTCTCTCATTTTCAGATGAAAGAGAATGCTGCTCTGAAAAAAAGGGTTGTATCTCATGGTTTAACAGACTTATTCTGACTTCCTAAGCAATGGGACAATGTCATCACTGAAATCATTATGGTCTTTTATTGTTCACCACAGAGTCATTACTCCTGTCTCAGTTATTTTTAAATATTTGCTGTAGAATTGGTCATATTTTCAGCAAATAACCAATATTTCTTAACCACACCATCTACATTACATGCACAATTTAGAGTATATGGACAGAAAGAGTCCGTTTTTTATGTTCTGCTTTCACAAATGGATTGCTAATTGCTCTACCCTGAGAACTGAATCTAAGAAAGGCCACAGTGGCGACAGAGTTTGCAAGTGATATGCCAGAGAGGAAACCAACAACAGTTTTTGTCTTCCTAGAAATAATGCTAACAATTTGGAAAACTACTTCTTCCTCAGTGTTTTTCAATTTTATTCTTTTTACCTGTAAGAGAACTATAGCTATTGTTGAAAATTCTGAAAAATCCACAGCACCTTTTTATCTTTGTTTTTCTTTCAGGGAAGAAGGACACTTTCATAGACTCCTCGTTAAATTAGGGCTCAGACTACCCAGTTTAGCTCCAGTTGGATGTGGAATAAAACATGGTCACATTATAGTGTTTTCTTAATGATTTTGTCTTATTTATTATTTTAAGCTTCAGTTTTATTGATAGCTCTTTATGTCTCTATAGATGGGGTTTACATATTTGAATTCACTCTATTCTTTTTTTCCTATCAAAACTTCCAGTCCTAGCTGCTTCCTATACTCCTAAATATGCACCAGAGGAGGCAGCATTTGGATGAGAAGCACTCCCTTGGCTTTGAGACCCACTCTTATTAAATTTCAAGCCACATAAAGTGGCAATGGAGATAATTCAAGAAACAAGCTCTTCCCTGAAACCATCTTTATCAAGGAATAGTTCAGCACCATTGTTGTAATTTACACCCTTGTCTTTACAAATCCCTTCTATATCATTTTCTGTTTAGTTTAAAGGAGTAATGTGAGTTCTGTTGAATTAGAACTGAATCCCTGGGCTGTGATGTTCTGCTCACATCTGCCCTAAGCCCTGCAAGGGAATGCAGCCGACACCAGTGTCAATAGAGTCCTATAAAGATTAATGGGGCACCTGAAAAGCAACAAGGACTTTGAGTGATTTCAGGGATTTCAGACTCCAAAAATCAATTTCCCTGAAAATGTGCTTGCTAATTTAACTGATAGTATTTGACATTCCTCTTGTGCAGTGGAAGCTGTAAGTATAAGAATCAAGACTTTATTTTGACTAAGGGTATAAATTAATGCACACAGGCAGATATGTATGCTCCAATATGTAAACTTGTGTGTGCATGTATTGATGCAGTCACTCAGATTAGACAAAAGGAAAGGAAGGTTATTGCTTTGCATAGCTTATTGGTATATAGTATGAACAATGCTCCACTGTATCCTTTTGTATTTTGAACTCCAGTAGATTACTGAACAAAGCAACTTTGAAATCTCAGCAGAAAGAATTGTAATACAGTTTCACAATGTAAATGCCTAACTTTTATTAAAAATTCAAAATAGGACAAAAAGATTACAAAACTGAGCATCCTGTGGAAAATTTTTAAAGTATTTAATAAATGTTTGTGGAAATAGTTTTAAGTGTGCTAAGTACACTTGGCAAATACTTGGAAATAATTATTGTTACTTTTTCTGCATAAAATGAGGATATCATGTCTTAAGTGGAGTTCTCCAAAAATTCCTTTTTTCAAAATGTGTATTTAAGAGAATTTTAGGTTGACTTGACCCTAGCATCTGGATTTAGTAATTGCCTTTTCTAGTATTTGTGAAAACTTGTGAAAAGACAGCCCGAAATGAAAAAGTTAAGAAAAATGAAAGAAAGAAGGTAAAGCTTTGGAAACCGTCTGGTCGTGTTTGCCACTGGCAACTCTTAAGAAGTATACTTTTTGAAGTCTCATTGATCCCTGATTTGAGATTCCAGGTTTAGTAACAAAATATGACATGATTTCTCACTCTAGTGCAGTGCAATTTACTGCAAAAGAAAATGCAAAGTCCTGCTTAGTGTAAGATTTTGACCCATTCAGAAAATGCATGAAGTTCACTAACCCTGCCTATTTTAATTCAGAACCCCCATTTTCAATTTTGTTACATGAGACTAACAGAGTGTGATGTAAGTGGCTTACAGTGCTGGTGAAGTGAAGTAGTTGACAACTAATACAAGCTTGTGCAAGTGCAGGATACAACTTTACAGGATCTGGTGCCTGCTCTCTCTCCCTCTTTTCATTTTCTCTCTTTCTCTCTCTTTCTCTTATCATACATACCTTCACAGAGTGGTTTTCTTGTTCTTGTTATCAGCACGGCTTCTATGTGCAATTATACTACACATATCACAGTTGTCTGCCAAATGCACAGAGCTTTCCCAAGTAGCAAATCTGGCAAAGTTCTTTTGAGTTTTTGCTTCTCCTAAGATTCACATAACTTGGCTCTACTGATAAAAGTGAATGAAAATATTTTAAAGGGGGAAGAATGGCATTTCAAAACAGCCAGACTTAGGAAATGTCATAATATTAGAAAAAGGTGCAAATGAATTGATTGTTGGAAAGGCAGACAACAATAAAGCACACCTTCACATGGACGTACACTATAGAGATATCGAACTGAGGGAGAAATTGGAATGTTCACAGCCACAAGCATATGAGATTTAGGAAGGTACATTTCACTTTTGTGATAGAGAAAATGTGGCTGTTGCTTTGGTACTAGCACATCTGCTTTGCTGGGTCATTCAATGTCACATGCTGTTAGCTCACTGACAGGAGCAAAAGAGTTTTTGTGATCAGCTCTGCCAACAGGATTTGTGGACGGAACAGTCATTACCAAATTGCTACATAAAGAGGGAAGGTCATCGCTACTCGGTATCCTTCTATCAATGATGGTTCACAATGAGTTTTAAACTCCTTCTTACCCCTCCTTGGAGCCCAAAAACCCAGCTAGCTTTTCAGGTATCAGGCTTAAGGCAGAAACTGAGTTATCACAAAATCAGAATATAAGCCAACTCAAAATGGCAATTGCTGACAATAAAATATTCTGGTTCACTAAGATAGGTCCAAATTATGCTTATGTTTTGTGGAAGACAAAAAGAGTCAATAAATATCCGGCACTTGAACTTTTTTGATACCTAGCAGACTTCTATTTTGTAAAACAAACGTATTATTTGTTTACATTCATTTGTGATAAACTTTGTTATTAGTGATACATGGTTTCAAATTCAACATCACACAAACCATACCTACACATTTTTGTCCTGACACTTAACAAGTAGAATTTTTGTTTATTTTTGCCCTTTCCTTTTGGAAAACCTAGAATGAAATATAAATTAGAGGGAGAGAGAAAAATAAGACATTATGAAATATTCAATATTGCTCCTGAAATTTCATCATCTTTTCAAGTGACAAGAATGCAGACTTTTTTTTTCCCAATTCTTCCCTTTGCTGGCAGCTTCCCTGGAGCAGAGGCCAGTTGATTCAAAGGAGGCCTACTATACATGAAATACAGTCTTTTTCAAGCCCTGGGAGAAACGATCACTTATTATAAAGGAACCACAGGAAATGTGCTCTAGCAGATAGAGAAGTTTCTGATTTTCTAGAATATATTTTTGTTGTTTGCTTTACTAATCCAAAAATTGCCTTAACACTGAGGATTTTTGTGTGCATTTTTTCCACTTCCATTCCTACATTTAAGCAAACAACTGCATACGTGGGCCCCATTCATTCTCTAGGATTAGGCGATGTAAATTCTGCAGAGCAAGTATCAGTAAAATATGAAATATGTTCTTTGAGAAATGCTATAGTCTTATCCAGAGTTTGATAGCTAGATGTCTCTTCTCTACTTATATCCTCTGACAATATGCCATCATTTTTTATGGTTCCTTCTTCATCCTTTTCCCAGCCTCAAATACATCACTTGAAGGTCTTAACAGGTTTCTCAGAAAGGTGGTAAAAGAAAGAAACAGAGGTGATCAGGATGAATAAGAGCACAGATGTATAGCAAAGGCCCCTCTTCTTATTTTCAACTCCAACTGGCAGCCTTGCCTTAGGTGATAAAGGCATAGATATGGCCAAAGATTTTGTTCTGATCTGTCATCTGAGTTAATTATTTTCAAATGTCTGTCACAGAACACACAGGGATAAAACACCCTTTCATCGGTTGTTGTTCTTTCTACCATGGTAATCTCAAAGGGATCAGGGTGGTTTGTGGAGACAAAGCTTGTAGAAGTTGACAGTTTGACCAAAACAAGTAGCTCCCACATCTGGATAGAATGCCTGGATAGAATGTTCACAAGTTCTACAGACATAACATTCTTTACTGTCATTTTGCCTGTTTTTCCTCCTTATTTTATATTAAAAATTATAACCCAATATAAAAACACAATTAAATGCCTTTAAGTATAAACAAATAATTATTTTTAGATGTCATTAGGAACCTAATAACACGGATAACTTTGTTATTTCTTTAAGAAAACTTTCCAAGGGTAGGAGTTAAAGAATAAAAATAATTTTCCCTAAGAAGTCTACTCAATTAAACTTATCATCAACCCTATATATAAGTACATATGTTTATGCATTTATATCTTTTATGTATATAAATATATGTGTATATGTGTTTATATATACTTGATATCAGTATTATAGAATTATAAATATATAGAAATTAGATATCATTAATTAAAAAGTAAATATAAATTAACAGTTATACTTGGCATCTCATTTGACTTAATTTTATTAAATACATCTAAACTTTAAGAATAATCTTGACATGTTTACACCTCTTTGTCTGTGAGTTATCTGCTCCTGCCTTTGATCTACTTGGCCATTTGTATTTATTTCCATCTTTTTTTGTGTGAGAAAATTCCTCACTATATTTTGCTCTTTAATGGTAAAACTAAACAAAATATATTAACAACTTGCAGACCCAGAAAATTATTGCAAAAATTAGAGAAAATATTGTCACACGTTTCCCTGAAGTTCAATTGCTATTAGCATATGAAAAGTATATAACAGCTGTCCCCAAACTTTTTGGCACCAGGGACCAGTTTCAAGGAAGACAATTTTTCCACGGACAGGTTGGATGGGGCAAGGGAGTCTGATGGTTTTGTGATGAAACCGTTCCACATCAGATCATCAGGCATTAGTCAAATTCTCATAAGGATCACGCAACCTAGATCCGCCACATGCACAGTTCACAAATAAGAGTTCACCCTCCTATGAGCATCTAATGCCCCAGCTGATCTCACAGGAGGAGGAGCTTAGGTGGTAATGCTCACTGCAGGCCACTCACCTCATGCTGTGTGACCCGGTTCCTAGCAGGCCACAAACAGTACCGGTAGGCAGCCTAAAGGTTAGAGACCCCTAGTATATAATATTGTTAGCTTTCAAAACCATATACTAACACAAAGCTAATTAATAACATCTGTCACCATACTTTTTAATACTATACTGGCTTGGAAGAGGTAAATTCCCTTCTAGACATACCCAACAATTAATTTGGATACTGAGATAATTAAAGTAATTCTATATTTATGTGCAATAGGATCTTTGGTAGTAAATAAAATAAATGTAAGCTATTTTATATAAAGACATTTGGGTAGTTTTTGCTTAAAACTCATGGTGCAAGTTTTCTTCCAAAATTCCAATACCCAGATTTCCTGAACAATTTCAAAGATAGGGTATTTTCACTGAATACTTTATCTATATAGCAAGACATACTATATTAATTTTAGAAATTCATCTATTTTCTGTGATAACAAGTATATGCACAATTTTTTTAAAGTAGTTTTTATGACTTTACTTTCCCTCCTTGATTCTCAATATATTTGTACAGACGTATTTGAAATTTGTGTTTCATATCACTCCCAAAGTTTATGCATCAGTATACATGCATACACTTGCATTGTTATAGGATTATCACATGATAAATTTATAAATATTAGCACTATTTTAAATATCCAAACCTAACATAATTCTAACTGTATCTTAACCTAGAAGGATGTAATAATATTATACACATTTGCTCTCCAATTTCTGCAGAGCTGCTCCGAAATCAAGACTCAAGTTGTACAGATGAATATATGTTTTGCTCCTATTAGGATTCGCTTTGAGCTTTTTAATAATTAGTATGTTTCTATTGGTGATTATAACTATCTATCCTATACATTTCACACAGGCCCATAGCATTTGAAAACTAAATATAAGTTGCAAATACAAAGCATGCTATCTAAAACTTTTTGAAAAATGCCAACCACTATGCATTAAATATCAAATTTAAATCTGCTTTGAAGAAAAAATTAAATGCTCACTGTGGACTGTGAGAGAATCCATTTCTAATGGTGAATTTATTTCAGTCCACAGGGAGCCCTATCAAGGCACAGCTGACTAATGACTATCATTTTCAGTTGATTTCATTAGTATTTAAGTTATAGTATAAAGTACATTCCCTTTGGTGCTCTGAAAGTCAGTGATTTACATACATTTGGTGTGAAGCTTTTGCTTTGGATAATACAAAACTGATTTAATAGCTAAGTGAAGATTTTTCTTATGCCTACCTAAATCCACTTCTTCAAAAATAAATATTAACTTTTAATAAAATAGCTTTTAATGCATTATTGTCACCCATTAAAATAAAACAAATGATACTGTCAGCTGACCATCTTCATGCCAGGATAATACACTATTATAACCCTCTTTTTGTTGGAAGCATTTGATCATTCTTGACTGAGAGTGTAATTTTTATGAATGATATGCACTTTACTTATATAGTAAGCTAGTGGGATTCTGATCCACAGATTAAAGAAAGCAGTTGTTATGCAAAGGATAGATATCCCATCCAACTCCTTCATATAAGAGATAACTTTTTCTCCTCTGGGTTTTAAAATTAAACCATAAAAAAAAGTGTTCCTTGGAATTTTGGCCTTATATATGACTCCATTTTTATGATGTATGATTTTGATTCCAAGAGATATTGAAGGTGAAAAGAGCAAGTTACGGAATCAACTATAGCACACTACATATTTTCTGTGTTATGAGAGTTTCAGAGGAAAAAAAGGCTTTCTTCCTAAAATCAAGGAGGGGTCATATAAAACATGAGTATTTCTGTAGCTAGTAATCCACGTCTGCTTATGCCACGGGCCAAATTAGCGACATAGTCAATAAATGTTATGGATGGTAGATAGAAAATGTTGTGCTTTTCTCATTGAAGAAAATCTAAAGAATCAAAAGCTTACATCAGATATTTAAAAATATTCAAATATCTCACTCTATAGCATAGTTTCCTGGACTATAAGCATTCATATTTTCAGAATTTATTTTGTAAGAATTTAATGAGAAAAAAGAATATGCTTTGAAAAACATAAAAAACTGTTTCTTGTAAGACTAAATTCAAAGAAAAATATCAGTATGCTTTATTTTCTGAGTACTTGATATTTTTACCATATTGTTTACTCCAGTGGAGAACCAAAATTAATGCTTCAAAATAGCCATTAGTAATAATCAAGAGAAATATATATGCACAATTCTTTCAGATTTAAATAGGTCATCCTAACTAATTTTTCAGTATAGAGTAAGAAAATAGACTGAAACCCTAAGGAAAGGAAAGTGCATTAAAAAAACAGTCTTTCAAATCAGACCCACTAAGCACTAAAAGCTGGTCTCTACATTTTTACTTCCATACAAATAAAGTGGTTGATTGGCCCAATTTGCCTTTATTTTCATCTTTAATTTCAACATACACTTGCACGGGGGTGGTAGAATGCATTTAGTTAAGCTCATACATAAAATGGGCATAAAATTTTATTAACCTTCTCCCACCACACCTCTGTTGCTTTCTTCCAATTGTCTGATTTAAGTCCTTTACAGGACTGGCATTTACTATATCTGTGCTTGTTTACAGCTTCTAATCAGATCCCTGGAGTAAAGAAGTATTTCTGTGGGTATTATTGACCAAGGGAAACCACAATGAGCAAATGTTTTGAATGAAACAAAATTTACTTTAAAATTTAGGATAGAGGAAATTCCATGAAGAATTTGCCCTAGGATGTTTACATAAAGTTGCAAAGAATTTCTTACTATTCCTAGAATTAACCATCAATCAAAGTTTTATGAGATAATATAATTCACATATTCATATCAAGCTACTCACTGCAAATGCCCCTATACACATGCTCGTAATGTTTCCAAATTATTTCAGAATAACACCTGCGTCTAAAGTCACCCGACTCTGCTTCCCAACTTGGGAAATACTGGAATGTAACTAAGACTGCACCTGCCACAGGTCACAATAAGCTGGTTTATATAACTGAAAAGCCAGAGGTGGAGGTAAAATGCAGTCTCTTGCACTGCCATATTACCTATTAAACAAGTGAAAATCTACAGCTATGGAACTATTTGGCTAACATGATGGTATCATTCAATGAAAGTGCTATCCAGCATGACTATGAAATAATACCTACTGTTCCAGTATCACAAAATAAAAGCAGTCAAATAGTTTTAAGGTATAAGGGTTTTCCTATAATAACTGTTACTTCTTGAGTAACTGTTTATGATCTCAACTGAGAGGAACCAACATTTGAATATATAGCTCTAATTTTATTTTTGGAATCCCTGTCATTTCTTCTCCTAATTTTGTGGAAAGATCTCTGGTACAAAATATTATGTGTTAGTTTATAGAACTGAGGGTAAGGAAAAGGTTGTGTCTTTTTAAGAAATTCAAAGGAATTATATTATTTGGCAAAAATTGTGGTTGAAGCAACATTAAGCAACAGGCATAATGTGTTGATCTAAAAATTCATAGGTGAAATTATGCATTGTTGTACCAAGGATGAGCAATACTATAGAAACTAAGGCAGAAAAGAGGTTCAAAAAGCTAATATGAAAATGTAATACAGTAGATTGGTTATGTGCTAGTTATAATTATCAAGAAGTAAACCTGGTGGGAGAACAAGTTAATGGTGTGTTTTTCAGAGGATGAAAATTTATTTTTAAAACTTCTTTTCAAAGGAATGTTACACATGATATTGGACTAAATAAAATCCATGGTAAAAATATCATTAGCTAATAAATTTCAATCTTAGACATTTACCTTAGTATTCTCTCCATTAGTCCCCAATAGTTAATTCCTCAGAAACTGTCATGCTATTACTAAATGAAGATTAAGATTTAGAAAGCATTTATTATTTTTTCAAATTCATTGAACTGTTCCTAGAAAATCTTTCAAGTTGATACTAATGCAAATGGATTTTTAAAACTTACACTTTCCCTCACATGAGACTTAAACTAATATTTTCACAATAATTGAGGGTGGGGGTTGCAAATAATTGAAAATAGCGTTTTGTTCTACCAATATCTGAAAATCATTTTATGAATTCATATATTTTGTTCACAAAATTAAAGTCTTTTACAAAGGGAAAATAAAGACTATTAATAACGTAATTTCAAGTCATAAGTTTCTATTATATTTATTTCTTAGCAATATATCAAAATTTTTTCATGTCATCAAATATTTTTAGAAAATGAAATGAAACTTAAAATATACTATTGAAAGGATTATCATAACTTAATCACCCTATTGTTGGACATTTAAATTAAGAAAAACACATTTTTAATTAGTTAATACATGTCACTGGATAGTGTTGTATCTCCAGAATATGGTATGCAAAGGAAGAGAAAAGTGAAAGCAAAAGATAACTAAGATCAGAAAACAAAATTACACCATTTAGGCCTAGAACATGGAAACTGAATCAATACACTAAAAAAAAAAGTTCTAGTAGAAGGACAGAAAAATTAGTTATAGCATAAATACATATAAATTAGAAACAGTAATATATCAAATACAAACATACATCTTTTATCATAAAATTTTCAGTAGGTCCAAATTCTTGCAAAGCTTAGAAAGATCTTTAACAATGGTCATCTTATTCTGGAGCTATTACAAACAGTGTTTCTAGCTTTATGGAGATATAATTGATAAATAAAAATTGTATATATTTAAGGTGTACAACGTAATGTCTTGATATATGCATACATTATGAAATGATGACCATAGCCAAGCTGGTTAACATATCTATTACCTCATACAGATATGTGTGTGATGAAAATACTTAAGATCTAGTCATTTAGCAAATTTCAACTATGCATTATAGCTACCATGTATATTTCAACTGCACATTATAAGGACCATGTATATTTCAACTATACATTACAGCAACCATGTATATTTCAATTATACATTACAGCAACCATGTATATTTCAACTATACATTACAGCAACCATGTATATTTCAACTATATACATCACAGTGACCATGTATATTAGGTCTCCAGAATTTATTCATCTTATAACTGAAAATATGTACCCTCTAACCAATATTTTCCTACTTCTCCCACACCTAATCTCAGGTAACTACCACTTTACTTTCTCTTTCTATGAGTTTGACTTTCTTTGATTCCACATATAAGTGAAATCATGTAGTATTTATCTTCCTGAATCTGGCTTATTTCACTTAGTGGAATGTCCTCCAGGGCCAGCCATACATGTTGTTGCATATGACAGGGTTTCATTCTTTTTTAAAACTAAATAACACTCCATCTTACACACACACACACACACACACACACACACACACACACACACACACGACATTCATCCATTCATAAACAGGCCATTTCCATTTCTTAGCTATTGTGAATAATGCTGCAATGAACATGGCGGTGCAGATATCTATTTGAGATAGTGATTTTATTTCCTTTGCATTTACCCTCATAAGAGGGTATGTTACTGAATTTTACCCTCATAAGAGGGGTTGCTGGATCATATGGCAATTCTGTTTTTAAATTTTTGAGGAAACTTCATAGTTTTCTTTATAATGGCCATATTGATTTACATTCCCACCAACAGTACACAAGGGTTCTCTTCTCCATATCCTCACACACACTTGTTATCTTTTGACTTTTTGGTAGTAGCCATCCCAACAAGTGTGAGACGGATATCTTATTGTGGTTTTGATTTGCATTTGGGGATGAGTGATGTTAAGCACCCTTTCATATGTTTTTTGGCCATTTTTATGTTTTCTTTGGAAAAAATGTCTATTTAAGTCCTTTGTCCACTTTTAAATCAGGTTTTTTTTTTTTTTTTTTGGCTGTTGAGTTGTATGTGTTCTGCTATGATTTAAAGATAATTTTTTCCCCACCAAAATTCATGTTTAAATTTGGACTCCAATGAGGCAGTGTTGGGAAGTGGTGCCTGTAAGAGGTGATTAGACTGTTAAGAGTGTTTAATGCCTTTCTTTCAGGAGTGAGTTCTCACTCTCAGAGGACTTGACTTGTTACCCTGAGAGTGAGTGGTTATAAACCGAGGCTGCCTCTCACTTTTGTTCTCTGTATGCACTCATTTTCCCTTTTGCTTCTCCACCATTATAATGCAGCAAAGGCCTTCACCAGAAGCTGAGCTGATGTGGTTACCCAAGTCTTGGACCTCCCAACCTCCAGAATTGTGAGCTACATAAACTGTTTCCTTTATAAATTACCCAGGCTCAGGTTTCTGTTATAGTGACAGAAAACAACTAAGATTTGCTCCTTGTATATTTTGCATATTATCCTCTTATTAGATATATGGATTACAAATATTTTCTCCTATTCTGTAGGTTGCCTTTGCATTTGTTGATTGTTTTATTTTTCTGTGTAGAAACCTTATATGTAGTCCCAATTTTTATTTTTGCTTTTGTTGTCTGTGCTTTTATTGTCATATCCAAAAAATCATTGCCAGGATGAAATTATGGAGCTTTTCCTCTATGTTTTCTTCTGAGAGTTTCACAGTCAAGACTTATGCTTTAAGTCTTAATCCATTTTGCATTGATTTTTGTGCATAGTGTAAAATAAAGATCCAATTTTATTTGTTTGCATCTGGATATTCAGTTTTCCCAACATTATTTATTGAAGAGACTATCCTTTCCTCACTGTGTATTCTTGGTCCCTTTGTCCAAAATTAGTTGGTTGTATGGGTGTGATTTATTTCTGAGTTTTCTATTGTGTTCCATTTGTCTATGTGTCTTTTTATATACTAGCACCATACTGTTTTAACTGTGGAAGCTTCATAATATAATTTGAAACCAGGAATTATGGTGTCTCCAGCATTATGCTTCTTGCTTAAGATTGCTTCAGTTATTGGGGGTCTTTTTGGTTTCATAGCAGTTTTAGAATTGTTTTTCTGTTTCTGTGAAAAATGCCATTGGAACTTTGAGAGGGATTGTGTAGATCACTTTGAGTAGTATGGACATTTCGATATTAATTCTTCCAACACATGAATACAAGATATTTGCCCACTTATTTACATATTCTTCAATTTCATCGATATTTTATAATTTTCAGTATACAGATTTTTCCACTTCCTTGGTTAAATTTTTTTTCCTCTTTTATTTATGTTTTATAAATTTATTTATTTGTAAATTTATTTTGTAAATAAAAATGTTTTCTTAATTCCTTTTCTTGGATAGTTTGTTGTTAGTGCATTGAAACAAAACTGATTTTTGTATGTCAGTTTTGTATCCTGCAAAGTAACTGAATTTGTTATTAACTCTAAGAGATTTTTTTTGATGGAACTTATAGAATTTTTTATATATGAGATTATATCTTCTACAAACAGAGACAGTTTTACTTCTTTCTTACCAATTTGGATAGCTTTTCTTTTTCTTGTGTAAGTACTCTGGCTAGGACTTCAGTAGCATATTTAATAAAAATGGCAAGAGTAGCCATGCTTATCTCATTCTTGATCTTAGAGGACACATATTCAGCTTTTTACCTTACTTTCTTGATAATGTTCTTTGATGCATAAAATTTTTCACTTGGAGGAGGCTCAATTTATCTATTTTTGTATTGTTTCTTGTGCTTTTGATGTCAAATATAAAAATCCCTTGACAAATCTGAGTTCATAAAGATTTACCCCTATATTTTTGTTTAAGATTGTTATAGTTTTAGTTCTTATATTTAGTTCATTCATCCTTTTTAAGTTAATTTTTGTAAATGGAGTGAAGTAGAAGATGGGATGAAAAGAAAGAAACTGCAGGAAGAAAGGTTGGCAAAGGGTGATGAGAAACTTTTTTGCATGTGATATATACGTGTATTATCTTGATTGTATCTTGGTTTCACATATGTAGACAATTATTAAAACATAACATTTTACACTTCAAATGTGTACAGTCTATTTTTTTAAAAATGTTAATGAGTCTGTTAAAAAGAAAAAAGTCATAGAAGAAATACAAACCCATAACTTTAAAGCCAGCTGTTACAAAGTTCCATAAAACTGAGTTAAGTATAAAAATATTTTTTTAAAAAACTCTTCAGTTTACATTGAGCTACAGTATGAGGTTAGAGGGTACTGTAGCCATCAATAAAAGTGTTTACTACGGCTGTACACTTTGAAGTTCTGTGCTTAGCTTTTCAGCCTAGGTCAACCATGCACATGAATCCCTTTATTCAATCATGTGCATAACCAACATCTGTTGACTATATTATATGCATTTAGCAGTGCCAGGACCTGAAACTGCCAGGCATACTGTAGGTATTTGATAAATCATTATTGATTGAATTAGTGAAGAAGAAAATTAATGGTAGGCATTGTTTTAGTACTTCAGATGTAGAAATTTAAAAAAAGTTATGTACTTTAGTCTCTTAGAATAAAAATTAAATGTGTTATGTGAAAGAACAGGTAACAGAATTTTTTATATTGGCTTTTTTAATATTTACTTAGAGCATACTGCATCTTTTACATTAGGTAGTTGAATCTGTTATTACCATTTAAATTTATGCCATGGTTTTGTAGCATTAAAAAAATATATCTACTTCTGAGGAAACTAAAACATAAATTTCTTTGCCTTACTGAAAACAATGATTTTGCTCTGACAACTAGCAAATGGGCCTCTTTGAGCAATACATTTTCTTTTTAAATATTTGTAATGCCTCTGAGTGTCTTTGTTCATCATCATAAAATGAGTTTCAAAAATAAATTGCAGTATTCAAGAGGGAGAGAGGAATATGAATTAGAAAATAAAGAGACCATATTCCATGAACACATTCCTTTTTAAAAATGGTGTCTATAAATCACATTATTCAAAATAAGTGTGCCCTGTTTTTTGTGTTTTATGTGGTTAGGCCAATCTACATTTAATATCTCTTAAATTAATATATTAAATGAATCTCAAAAAGTAAATAATAATAATTCACTAAATAAGTCATAATTATCATTTAAGCTGATTTATTACAGTGTGGAGCCACACCATGATTTCTTTCACACCATCTTAATTATTATAGCTTTATAGAAAGTATTGAAATCTATAGTGTAAGTCCTCCAATGTTGTTGTTGTTTTTTGGTCAAAAATGTTTTACGACTTCTAAATCCTTGAATTTCCATTTATGTTTTAGAATCAGCTTGTCAATTTTTATTTTAAAAAGGGCCTTCTGGTATTTTTACTGAGTTTATATTGACCCTATAGATAATTTATCAGAACAGAAAAAATAAACCACAATTAAAATTGAAAATAAAAGCAATAAAATTGGAAATATTTTAGGAAACTTGAATGTTAACTTCAAATGTAACTCTGGCTTTTCCAGGGTATTGAACATCAAGAAAAGTGAAGGGTCATAGAGTTTACCTAATTTGTAAGCAAACAAGTTAGCTTGCTATCATGTTATGGCTGATGGCAAGAGAAAGGAGATTCCTAGTTCAGAAACAAAGGACTTTATCACTTATGGCACAGCAGGCTCAACAAGCTTCGTGTTTGCAAAGGTGCCACTTGCCTTCTACCCTGCTACCCACGGGATGAAAAATGGTATCTGTGGATTCTGATCATGAAGTAGATTGTGTCACAAATGAGGAACCCTGGGCTTAGAAAATGCCAATGTTTTGGAGTCCTTGTCCATGCCTATGTCCTGAATGGTAATGCCTAGGTTTTCTTCTAGGGTTTTTATGGTTTTAGGTCTAACATTTAAGTCTTTAATCCATCTTGAATTAATTTTTGTATAAGGTGTAAGGAAGGGATCCAGTTTCAGCTTTCTACATATGGCTAGCCAGTTTTCCCAGCACCATTTATTCAATAGGGAATCCTTTCCCTATTTCTCATTTTTGTCAGGTTTGTCAAAGATCAGATGGTTGTAGATATGCGGCATTATTTCTGAGGGCTCTGTTCTGTTCCATTGGTCTATACATCTGCTTTGGTACCAGTACCATGCTGTTTTGGTTACTGTAGCCTTGTAGTATAGTTTGAAGTCAGGTAGCATGATGCCTCCAGCTTTGTTCTTTTGGCTTAGGATTGACTTGGCCATGCGGTCTCTTTTTTGGCTCCATATGAACTTGAAAGTAGTTTTTTCCAATTCTGTGAAGAAAGTCATTGGTAGCTTGATGGGGATGGCATTGAATCTATAAATTACCTTGGGCAGTATGGCCATTTTCACGATATTGATTCTTCCTACCCATGAGCATGGAATGTTCTTCCATTTGTTTGTATCCTCTTTTATTTCATTGAGCAGTGGTTTGCAGTTCTCCTTGAAGAGGTCCTTCACATCCCTTGTAAGTTGGATTCCTAGGCATTTTATTCTCTTTGAAGCAATTGTGAATGGGAGTTCACTCATGATTTGGCTCTCTGTTTGTCTGTTATTGGTGTATAAGAATGCTTGTTATTTTTGCATATTGATTTTGTATCCTGAGATTTTGCTGAATTTGCCTATCAGCTTAAGGAGATTTTGGGCTGAGACGATGGGGTTTTCTAGATATACAATCATGTCATCTGCAAAGAGAGACAATTTGACTTCCTCTTTTCCTAATTGAATACCCTTTATTTCCTTCTCCTGCCTGATTGTCCTGGCCAGAACTTCCAACACTATGTTGAATAGGAGTGGTGAGAGAGGGCATCCCTGTCTTGTGCCAGTTTTCAAAGGGAATGCTTCCAGTTATTGCCCATTCAGTATGATATTTGCTGTGGGTTTGTCATAAATAGATCTTATTATTTTAAGATATGTCCCATCAATACCTAATTTATTGAGAGTTTTTAGCATGAAGGGCTGTTGAATTTTGTCAAAGGCCTTTTCTGCATCTATTGAGATAATCATGTGTTTTTTGTCTTTGGTTCTGTTATATGCTGGATTACATTTATTGATTTGCGTATGTTGAACCAGCCTTGCATCCCAGGGATGAAGCCCACTTGATCATGGTGGATAAGCTTTTTGATGTGCTGCTGGATTCAGTTTGCCAGTATTTTATTGAGGATTTTTACACTGATGTTCATCAGGGATATTGGTCTAAAATTATCTTTTTTTGTTGTGTCTCTGCCGGGCTTTGGTATCAGGATGATGCTGGCCTCATAAAATGAGTTAGGGAGGATTGCCTCTTTTTCTATTGATTGGAATAGTTTCATAAGGAATGGTATCAGCTCCTCCTTGTACCTCTGCTAGAATTCGGCTGTGAATCCATCTGGTCCTGGACAACAAAGTTAATATTTTATGTGACAGAAAAGTTGAATAAGTTAATAACTGCCACAATTTCCACATAGCGAGTTGGCTCTGTGACATGTGGCAATTCATAAGGATTTTTCTAGATTAACTGACTTCTTTTTGAGTAATCACAGCCAGCCAGGTCTCATCAGGAGTAGGCAAAAGAGTTCTGTTACTACCATTGTTGACTTAATTTTTACAGCGTAATAGCTTTGGGGTCACTGAAAATTCTAGTTTAATGAGAGTGGCTATTTCTCTTGTGACATATTTTTTTCCTTCCCAGAGAAGCTAGCGTTTTTGAGAATTTTAGGTAGTCTTAAGGGCAATTCCTAAATGGACTGATAGCCTTGAACCTTGGCAGCTCTGGCAGCTAAGTATATGGATTTTGTACCATGCTTTATATTTCCAGGCCTAAATAACTATGTAATTATTTTGTAATTATAAGGCAATCATTTACTGGCAAGTAGAAGTTTTTCATTTTTATGGTAATTCCAAGTATAACTAGCATATAATTTGTAAGAAAGAAATAGCTGTGCAATTACTCTGTATTAACACAGTAATTACCAAATATGTCCAGGCTTATTTGTGTCTTATGAAATAGAGATTTTCACACCTGCATACTGCAAATTACATAGCAGCTACATATGCTTTCTTCATGTGGCCTATCATAAAACAAAAGGCAATGGGGGTTGGTTTCTGTTTCATTATATCATTGTATTAGGTTATCAATTGAATATAGTATTTTGTCACAGCTGCTTCTCTGTGCTTGCAATTGAATTTCTCCATCATAGAAAAGTAGAATTAATTTCATAGCTGCAAGGAAAAGGATAGCTCAGTGGAAAGAGGTGGAGCTTTAAAGTCAAACAGATGTGAATTTAAATTCCACCTTGTCTACTTTTGGGCAGAGCATTTTGAATAAATTACTTAATTTTCCTCATCTGTAAAATAATAATTAAATTTATAAATTTGAGAGATTTTGTAGACTAGATAGGCAATTTGTGTACATTATCTATCATTATGATGGTTTCATTCAGCCAACAGTACATTTCACAAATATCTATGTGCCAGGCATGTCTCAGTTAGTGCTGCTATATCAGAAAACCATAGAGAGACTAGGAGGCTTAAACTACAGAATTTATCTCTCATGTTATGAAGGCTGGGACATATGAAGCAGGATGCTAGGGTGATCAGGTTCCAGTGGGGCCCCTTTTTCTGGTTTGCTGGTGGCCATTTTCTTGCTGTCTCCCCACATGTTGAAAAACAGAGGGAAGGGACTCAAGTTCTCTCCTGTCTCTTTCCTAAAGGGCACTAATCCCATTCACGGGAGCCTGACTCTCATGACCTAATTACCTCCTTTAAGCCCCATATACCATCACATTGGCAATTAGGTTTCAACATATGGATTTGGAGGGTACACAAATATTCACTCACTAGCAAGCCATTATATTATCAACTAGAAAAACAATGATGAAAAAAACAGACATAAATCCTGGCCCTGTGGAGCTCAAGGTCCAAGAGAACATCTTAACTGTAATTGAATTATCACAACCACATAAATGAAAAATTATATTTCTGATAAGTGCCTTAAAAGAAAAGATGCAATTCAATGAAAGCATGCCCTCCCTTAGATAAGTCTTCACTAGGAGAAGAGTTAAAAGCGATCATGCAAACACTTACACACAAATGTTGACAGCAGCTTTATTTGTAAGACCCAGAAACTGCAACAGGCCAGGTGTCCTGCAGTGGGTTTATACTATAAAAAACTGTAGTACATATATACTATTCAGAATAAATGCTCTTGGGCAATAAAAAGAAGCAACTTGAATGAATCTCCAAGGAATTATGCTGAGTGAAAAAGTCAATCCCAAAAGGTTACATATTACATGGTTCCATTTATAGAATATTTTTGAAATGATAAAAGTTTAGAAAATGGGAGAGTTTTGTGATTGCCGGGGGATGGGAGGGAGATGACTGTGTTATAAAAGAGCAACACAAGGATCCTTGTGTTAATATAAATACTCAGTGTCTTGACTGTGGTAGTGGATACATAAACCTACACATGCATTAAAACTGCACAGAAACAAATACACACACACACACAGAGACACAAATAAATAGAAGTTAAATTGGGGAAGTACTAAGATAAGTGGACTTGATATCAATGTCTTGGTTGTGGTGTTATACTACAGTTTGCAAAATGTTACAATTGGGAAAAGAGGATAAAGGTCACAAGGGATCTCTCTGTATTATTTCTAATTACAACTACTATAAATTTGCAAGTATCCCAATAAAAATTTTAATTAAGAAACAACTTTACATTTCAGTAATAAATCCTGTCCCCTAGCCTCTCCCCTCAAAAAAAAATAAACAGAGCTAAAAACAAAAGCTATCTTCAGAGAGAATGAGGCCTGTGACAGAAGAAGCATGACATATTCAGATAACCAAAATAGATGTGTGCGTGTGTGTGTGTATGTGTGTGTGTAACAAAGGGAATGAGGAATACAAAATTCAAGATGATAGTAGAGATATATTGAGATCCAGTAGCAACATCAAAAGATTTGGTAATCAACCTACAAAAATTTACATCATCAGATTTAGACTTTGACACTATCATTCTAAAAGACTTATGTTTGCAGTAAATGAAATAAATACACAATTGTTTACTTACTTTCTCCTCCAAAACTCCAAAATCACAAAAATAAAAGAATTGAAAAAGTATACACACACAAATGTTAACTGATTTGGACAGGAGCAGGTGAGGTATTTCAAGCCTTTTTGAAGGATAGAAAGATTTACAGATAACTGATTCAGTAAAAGGATCAGAGCTTTAAGGTAAAGACCTTCAGTAGAAATAAATATTTTAAACTTCAGAATTTCTGAGAGGCTCAAGTCTTGGATTCACAGGGTACAATGACAAACCTGCCAGAATATAATTGCTTCACACAGAGCAATGGTGAAGCTGGAGCTGGGTAGGTGGTGGTGGGTGCAGAGAGGAAGACAGCTTGGAAGTTTGAATACAGAGAAGGTGGGTACCTTGATTCCCATTCCTGCCCCCAGCAGCAAGGACGCTGCTGCCCAGGGAGAAGCTCGTCTCCCTCTCAATACTCTCAGACCATGCCTTCCACCTTCTCTCATAATTTCAGCTGCCAGACATTTGTTCCACCTCAACCCACCCACAATCACCCAGGCACGAAATTCAAGGGAAGGAGGAAAGGAAAGACAGAGAAATGGAATGACAAAAGGGTAAAGGAGGTTAATTCAAAGCAACTTATAAAAAAGAGAAGTGAAAGATTAGCATTAAAATTATTAAAATGAGAGCAAATGTGTACAACATGTATTTCCTCCCCCTAGCACATTAAGTAGTTGGTTTATTGCAAACATTTGGACAAAAATAATTTAAAGCTCTCATTGAAAACTTTGACAGAATGAGAAACAGATAATTTTAAAAATTTTGAAAAACTTGTATTATGCATCTGCAATGCATAGGGAAACCACGCATACTGCTTTGCTCTTGGTTGTGCTGGTTTTCACTGGTAGTCCAGAGGTCACATCTGAACAAAACACCCTCTTTCACTATCAAAACATCCAGTTCAGATGATAAACTTCATATTTCATGGTTGCCACACGATGTATAAACCCCTCCTTTTTTTTTTTCTTGAGACAGTGTCTCTCTCTGTTACCCAGGCCTGAGCGCAGTGGCGCAATCATCAATCATGGTAGCCTCAACCTCCTGGACTCAAGAGATCCTCACACCTCAGCCTACCAAGTGGTTTGAACCACAGGCACCTGCCACCTCATCAAGATAATTTTTTAAAAAAGAATTTTGTGGAGAAAGGGTCTCGCGATGTTGTTCAGGCTGGTCTTGCCCTCCTGGGCCCAAGTGGTCCTCCCTCCTGGGCCTCCAAAAGTGCTGAGATTACAGGCGTGAGTCATTGCACCCACCCTAACTTTTCTTCCAATTGCCATGTTAAATACACATGATAATAAGAGATAAGCCTCCAATATATCCTCAATAAAACTGTAATCTTTAATTGGCCAGAGACCAATGACCTGATATGGGTGATGATAAATTATTAATAATGACAAATGTAACACTTGTTTAGTAAAAGCTTCAAGATGTTAACAATTTTAAAAGGAAAAAGTACCTTAAAATTTTGAATGAACTTAGTTTTCAAGGACTTTATATAAAGATAGACCCTATCGTAACAGAGTATTGGAAAATGTTTATTTTCTTTCCATATATAACAACTGGCACAGAATGCAAACAACGTAGGATAATATGCAGATTTTAGAGATTCATTTTAAAGCCCCTATTTTGCTGTTTTTTTTTTTTGAGGTGTCAAGTGTTTTTTGCATAGCTGGCAGAATGAAGTCTCTCATAATTTATTGAAATTCACTTAATGCTCTGTCAGCCATTACAATTTATTGCAGTATTGTCCAGACAAGCCAGAATATAATAATAGGATACCATATGATATATTACATAATAAGCTAAGAAAGGAAGAGCCTTAATTAGGCAGGAAAATTAGGATGTTTTAAGAATATCAAACTGAAAGTGTATCTATACTTTGTAATTTCTCAGCCTGGAGTAACTTGAACTTTCAAAGGAAAAAGGAAAGAATTGAGTGGATATTTTTTAAACTATTGCATAATAAGGAGGCTGTTGCCATCTACTCCAATAAGTCTAGAGTGATAAATGCTCCAGTGGGATTATTAATAGTCAGCAAGTGACAATTCTCCCTAGAGTATAAGTTACTGCAAGAATACAGATGCATACACTGCTACCCATCACTATTAGATAACCTCGCTAACCAAACTTATTAGCGATGGTCTATTTTCAAAAGCATCTGGGAAGTATCAATGCAGCCATATTGAGCATATTTTAGTGTCTAAATTTAAAAAAAAAAGAATTATAAATGGAAAAGGAGAATTCTGCCAGCTAAAAAAGTTAACTCATTCCAAAAATAAAAAAGTCACATTTTTATAATTTGTTCCAAGGATACCTAAAGGCAGTACCATGATACAGGTAGAGACTTCCCATTATAGGTAACCTTATATTAGAAGAGGTTTCCAGCCTAAAGAAAATTCAATTATCAAGATTACCTTCTCTTTAAACTTGTTCTTTGCCCTAAATGTGAGAAGTCACATATTTCAGACAGTAAGAGACATAGAGGAAAACATACAGAGAAAATATATACTGATGGTTTAAAGAAAACTTTGAGTAGTTATCTGATAAATAACAATGACCTTGTGACAATAATACTTTGTAAATGCTTCACTGAATATTCAGTGAGGCTATGTATGTGTGTGTGTGTGCCCTCATTTGCTTAAAGACAAATACCCCCTGCCATTTTAAATGATGCTTCCAGAATGGGATTAAGTTCATGAACTTTCTGAAAAAAAATCCTTCCACAGGACCTCATTATAAATCATACTGGATCATTACCAAATAAATGGATTACGAGTGAAAACATCTGTAATGATATTATGACAAACAACACTTCATCATTTTGAATCTGGATATTAGATGCCATTCTTTAAAATGACTATAAATTACAGTTTTTGAGAAGGGTGAATTAATGTGAATACTTCAAAATGTCCATCTGGGACCAAAAACTATGAAAACCTAGAAAATTATTGAGAGAAATACATTTCACAGGAAAAGTTCTATATGTGGCTGGTTTTCATCCCAACTTATCCTTATATCCTCCTAGATAAAGGAAATATAATATTTCCATTAAAATACATCATTTTATAATAAACACTTTCTCGATCAAGGTGGCCGTATGATCTGTCTCTCTGCTCTCACCCCACCTGCAATAGTGACATCTGGCTCTTTGGTCATCTCTGTTACTCAGCCTTTTTGCCATCCTCTGAATACAGCAGGTGCATGATACGATTTGCCTGCAGTTTCCTTGCTTTCCTGTTCAGAATGGGCGTATGAACCTCTGCCGGAGATTGTGTTGACTAAAATGCTAACAAACATCTGCATTTTGTGACTAAAGCTTTGAATAGCTTAATCAACATATGGATAGGGATAAAGTGGTGTGCACATTACCTTATCCTCCATTGCTCAGATTCTATTTTTCTGTTACTGCAATTACAGATTTCTCAGAGCTGAGAGAAATACCTATTGGCACTGTAAAGTGCAATTATTTGCAGATATTGCTGCAAATTTTGGTGTCATTTCTTGCAGTGAATTATAAATATATTCAAATTTACTTGATGAACATGAAAATCTATTTCTGCATGTTCTTGGGTATTAGACTTGGTATAGAAAGAAACCTTGTTTAAAGCATCTCCTTTTCTCATATAAGGTATTAATAATATTCATTGTTTTTCAATACTATGGAGTTTACCAGTGGGTGATTCAGTAATGGAAATGCAGGGGAAAAAATGAGAAATATAAACAGCAAAGCAGAAAAAACACGTTGACAAATGTAATTTGTTCATTAAGCAGTCTTAACTCTTTGTGCTATAAATACTAAAAAAAATTGATATCCCCCAATTGCTGCCTTATATCATCAACCTCCTTTCATTTTCCTTAAATAATACCTTGAGAAAATTCCATAGTTGGATGATCACTTTTGGTTCCTAAAATCAGCCCAATTTAAAATTTTAACCTCAAATTTGATTATAATAATCTCCTTCCTTCCCTTCTCACAGCAGAGCTAGAGCTGGGATCCTGACTTCTCAGTGCAGAGGGAAGATAATTTGTTTAATCTGCAATAACAGAATAGGGAGGGTGATAGTTTTAGAAAGGCAGCTGACATCTAAGTCCCATAGAAAAAAAAAAGTGGGGCTAGGGTATTGGGATTCTGGGTCATCAAATAAATGCTCAATCTGCCATGGGCTCTAATTTTTGGTCTCATTTGCCTTTTCCCTAACAATGTGAATTTGCAGACATACTTGCTTTAGTCTCTGAATTTTTCAACATAGTGTTTTTCCAACTGCAGGTCATTTTTGTAGCGTTTCTCAATCTTTTTGAAAAATTGCCTTCTAGGGAGACTTTTTAGACATTTTTCCCCTAATATTTTACCCTCCTGAAATGTTAATACCTATTTATGTATTGTGACCTTTTGGAAGGCCACAAACCATTTTACTGTCTAAGTTTTCTTTGTCCCTAAGAAACCATTTTTCCCCTTTGGGGACAATATCACCCCCATTGAGAATGCGTGATTTAGAGGATTGCTATCAAATTTTTTTAGATGACACTAAAGAAAAAGGAAGGTAGTAAATGTCAGTGTGTATCACAAGCAGTATAACAGTAGGTATTATTTTATAAAAATGTTTTCCAAAATTATATAATTTATTGCATGTGTATTTATATACACTCACAATATAAAATGCCCTTCTTACTTTAGGATACAACCAAATGATGAAAATCACTGTCTAAAAGGTAACTGCTGGTACAAGAACATACAGCACAAACACATACACATATGTGCACACACACAAGACTAAACCAGTAAGTAGGAAGATCATTTTCCTAACTTAATTTTCAAAACAGTGTTCTTGGTTAAGTTACTATAGGATGAACCTCTAGTGCTATGCAGGGCAACAACTAATTCCTGTCCTTTTCCTCCTCAATTCCAAATTGCTCCTCTGTGGATCTTGTCAGGAAACAGAAAGGGGTCCATTGCTGAGCCAAGATCTTCTTAGTAGCTATGCCTTTCCTCCCATTAAGTTATCACTATTAGCAAGGACTCAATTAAATTCTCGAAGCCCCATTATCCTCCTTTGTATTTTTTAATAGAGCAATTAATTTTTTCTTATATTAATAATAGATATGATTATCAGGTAGTATAATTTTATCATAGTTATAGTGTCACAAACTAGGCCACTTTCTATGTTGTTGTTCCTGATCATAGTTCTACAATGACTGAGTTGAAACATTGCTTTGGAAAATGTGAAAAGATTGGTGCAAACTGTTGCTCACTCTCTTTCCTTCTGTTAATTGGAGGGAAGGAGCAGAGAGCAATCAGAGCAGTGTCACAAACTCCATGTCCTAGGCAGGGACAAAAAAGACCAGAGATGCTTAGGATTGAAAGGAGCTGCCATTTTGGTGGTTGTTTTGCTGGTTGGTTTTGTTTGCATATTTTGTTTTGGGAAGTGTCATTTACTGCAAGGAGGATACAAATTAGAAAAGGGCCAGTTTCTAATGGTCTGGAAAAGCTTTAAAAGCCAAAGGCTATAGAAGGCAAGACAAGTAGTATGGATGGTGAAGTTGGCTGTCTGGGTTGGCGTCCTTGATGGTGCTGAAGACTTGGGTGATGCCCCACGCTTCTTCTAAAGGGGACTGCTGAGACCCCTAGAGAGAGATTTAGTTTTACAAGATTTTCAAATAGCAGACAGACATCTAGATTTTTACTTGGAATTAGTGTGCAACTGATCCATATTTTTATGAACGCTGTACAGATCCAAAATGAGTCAGTTAAAAACAACCCTAAGGTTCTCAGTTTGCAACTTCTGAAATAAAGCTTTGTCTTTTGATAAGATCACTTGCTCCCAGAGAGGAAAATAGCTAACCAGGCCCACCTCAAAACTGGTTTGAGCCTGGGGCAAGAGTAGCATTGAAGTCCCACACACCATATCTCTAAATATTTGTAAGCTACAAATAAAGCTAACAAACATTTATATTAAATACATTTTAGGGTTGTATTGATAAATATTCTTCAAACAACAAAATTTTAAATATTTCTATAAAGCTATGGTTTCTTTTATGGCTAAGAGTAGGCAAAGTATCAGAAGACTAAATTTAATTACTGTTATCATGTTCATGTGTTCTGTTAGTGGATTTTGCTGTTTTACTGAGTAATGAAATAAAGACATAATTGATAAATCATTTATACTAACTTAAATGTAAGGAAAATTACTAATTGTAGTACTAAAGTGAGATTTTCACATAATTTTTATTCAATTACAGTACAAATTAAAAGCAATTGTTGTAGAACTAAAGCTGTTGAGTTAGCTGCCTGGGTTTGTAAATAAAATTTTATTAGAACACAGCCTTGTCCATTATTTACATATTGTCTTTGGCAGCTTTTGCACTACAATTTCAGAGTTAAGTAGTAGTAACCTTTTCTTACCCTTTACAGAAAAAGTTTGCCAATCCCTGGTCCTAAGAATTCAAAATTAAAATGTAACTTTATGAAAGTCTACAAATTTAAATGTATTCATCATTAAAACATAAAGTGAACGTTTAAGACTGACATTATTCTCAAAATATTTTTTCTTCTAAAATACTGAAAGTTGTTAAAAGCAAAAAGAAACATCAATTATGACTAATAAATATCAAAATTTAAAGAAAATATTTAATGAAAATGCATTTATTTTATTACACATTTTTATAAAAACAAAATTATTTGCAATTTCGCTTTTTGATGTCTATTTATTTACCAATAGCTTTAAGCAAGTTAGATCTTGACCTACATATATATATAATATAAATTTAAAAGAAATGTGAATTGTGGAGTTTCAAAACTGTTTCTTTCACTCGTTGGTGCAGTCATTGGCATTACCTCCTTCTAATTCAACACTAACTCTAGAACTATGAATTGGAACAGGAAGAGCAAAAAGAAAAATGGGTACACTACACTACTAGGAGAAGATATTTCATTAGGCAAGAAACTATTGCATCCATATCTGAAAAAAGTTGATATTATTTTTTTCTTACCTATGAGCATCCACCATGAAAATTTTTCCTGATCCTAAAATAGTATCTCTCTCCCACATTATCAAAAGCACGACCTCTAACCTTTAAAGGTTTGGACACAAAGCTTTTGGTTTCAAGACAACAGAAAAAATGTGGAGAAATATTTTCTTGTGGCCTAACACTGCTAGTCATGAGAGCAGATGTTTAGCTTTTCAGGTAGTGCCACACCTGTGCTAACTACTAGATTTCAAGTGACAGAGGCATCCAGATGTTTTTTAATGAATATATTCTCATTATTTCATGTTTGTGGTAAGTGAAGCTTTATAAAGCACGGGGCCTCCTCTTGTCTGTGTCTGAAGGCAGCTGTGCTGCTAATAGAATAAGGAATGATGTGGGAGGGATAGGTTTAGTAATAGACATGACTCCTAGGGTAAAGCAATTCTACCTTTCTATGTTAGTCAAGTCTCATAGACCATGCTCAAATGGGGAAGCCTAGGAGTATATAGTAAAGGAACTACTTACAAAAGTATAAGCAGGGTTCAGAGAAACCAACAAGGGATGCTGAAACACTACTAGAGCTGGCCTCATTGAAAAACAGTGAGAAACAGTGAAAAAAATTGGGACTAGTCACAGGAGAACACATGACCAGCCCCTAATCTAAACTTCAAGGGCAGGGAAGAGTTACCAAATCCCTAAGAGAGAGCTGTAGTGTCCTCCACAGCCCAGGATGGAGGGAGTCAGGGAATGAATACTCCAATCTCACTCTCCTGCACCCAGCAGTCTCCACTCAGTGCCCCTCATTGGCCAAGTCAACCAAAGCCAGAGGGCAAAGGGCACTCCAAGTGGACAGAGTGGAGAGTGGATCTGGGTCTTGAGAAGGGGAGTTGATGGGGAATATTCCACACTCTACATGCACACAAAGTATTCTCTAGTTTTGCGGACAGAAAGAAGCAGCTAAAGCACTTTCAGCCTGGATATCTTCCCACCTTTAATAATCTGTTTTCCAGATTTAATAGTCTGTTCCCAGATTTCAAAATGCATGTTTTTGACCTTTATTTAGGAAATTGGCAATTCTGGCAGTGTTATTATTATGCAGTTGTAAACGCCAATGATTATTATTTCTGAGAAGTTATTCTATATTCAAACTACGTTCTTATTGGCTCTGTCTACAATTCACATGGTTATCATAATCTGTAGATGTAGGAGCTATGCAACATTCTTTCTCACAATGAAATGGGGTTGATCTATTTGAACAGTTGATTGCCAAAAGTCAAGTCTCATTGTTTGACCAGATCCTATGATTTTTTTTCTAAACTCTCTATTTGCAAACTCTCTACTCTGCCCACTCTTTAACAACTGCTTTACTATCCTGGCTGCAACCATGCTCTGAATCCAACTGGTGCAGTGGAGCAGAGCAGAGCTGTAGCAAGGAGAGATGTTCATTGGTGATACAAAGCTGTCATCAAATTCTGCTGCCTTAGTAATACATTCTCCAATTTGGAGTTGGCAAAGCAGATCACAGAGGTAAATACAGAGAGCAGATCAAGGCAGCTTATACATCCTTAAAAAGTCAGTGGGAAGGAAATTAATAAACTCTTGCTTGCTCCTAAAAGAGCTGAAATTACCATCAGTGTTCTGGATTTTTTTTTTTTTTTTTTTTTTTTTTGCCTATAGTGGGAGTTTAGGTAAAAATAGTAATAGTTACTTTAAAATAGCCTACTTAGAATTATAATTACCTCATCCCAAAGGTTGATATTTAGTATACTGTAGAAGCAAACCTTGCCACTGCTTTGTGTAAGGTTTGTAAAGGTTGATATTTAGTATACTGTAGAAGTAAACCTTGCCACTAACTCCTGTATTGGACCCTGGCTCCCTCTCACTGTCTTTCCTAGCACCTCAACCCTCTCTAGTCACAGTTCTTGAAAGACTCCAGACTGTTCATTAACATCTGTGTCATAATCAACTTTAAGAATTTTTACGGGGTCTAGGAAAGTAAAACATCTTTGATGCAGCTCAACCCAATTTCTTTTAAACCAATTGGTGTGTCCACAGGCTGATGTCTGCCTAGATCTCCTTGGACCTATTTTATTATTTCTGTGATTACCTCTCTCAGCTTTAAAAGGCATTTGTTCAACTTTCCTATGAGACTCCATTTCTAGGGGCCATTGAAACTGGCAATTCCATGAGCTGGCATCCCCAAAGGGTGACCTTAGTAAATGACCAGGAGGTAAGAGAGTAGAAAGCCTAACTCTATGACCTCAAGGTGAAATCACTTCCCTGAAAGGTGGGATCAGGCAATCATCAAGAGGATTTTGCCAGAAATTTTACCTTTGTTGGTGTTTTAATCAGTTCAAGCTACCATAACAAAATAATATAAACTGAGTGGCTTGTATACAACAGAAATTTATTTCTGATGGTTTTAGAGGCTGAGAAGTCTAAGATCTAGGCATCAGCAGATTCAGTGTCTGGTAAGGTCCTGCTCTCTGATTCATAGATGACTCCTTCTCACTGTGTACACACATGGCAGAAGGGGCACAGGAGCTCTTTGGGGCCTTTTCTATAATGGCACTAACCCTATTCATAAGGACTCTGCTCTTATCATCTAATCATCTGCTAAATTCTCCACCTCCTAAAATTATCACATTGGTGATTAGCTTTCAACATATGAATTTTTTGGGGTACACACATTCATACTATAGTGCTGGCTTCTTCCTCTTTCTTGTTCTGCTTCTGCCTTTCCATATTAGTGTCTCCAGGAAGTACCTTCTTAATGTGTCTCTTGGGCATAAAAGCTCATCTCAAGATTTGTTTCTAGGGATATTGACCTAAGAAAGCAACTTCTATAGTGGAAAATAATGCCTGTAACAAGAGCCACTGCTAATTCCTCATATACTCTCTTATCTTACTATTCATGAAATCTTATGTAAAATTCAGAAGGGGTAAGAAATGACAAATTCATGATATCAACCCAAACAAAATAGCATATCTTTGGAGACAAATCATGGATATTTTCTTGTTTTTAATGTGGTTATGAAAAGGTAAAGTAAGGGAGAAACTGGAAAAATTAGTTTACGCTTAAAACAAGCCCCCAGTTTAAAGCTGACATTGATGTGTTTTCACCACAGGGGCTTCTCAAGGCTGCTCCAGGCTGTTCTCTATCAGTGGTTAGCCAAGAGGACTATAGAAAAAGGGAGGAAAATAACATCAATGCTCTGACCTCCTGCTTTGTTTGAAATTACTAGTAGTAAAGACTGAGCTGGTAAGAGCTTTTAAAAGCATCTGCTCACCAAATCTTTTGAAAAGTTCTGTAGTCTTCCACTCAAACCAACAAATAATCTCTCTTTTTCACTTACTCCTAAAATAAATTTTTTTTTGTATGATTGTAGAAGCTTCTTAACTTCGTACCAACTCAGAGGGAAAGATTTTGTCAACTCTGCCCCGAACATGGTTTTATTTAACATCCTAATCCTAACAAATTTCACTTTCAATTGATTTCTGATTTCTTTTTTATTAAATAAAGGCTGCATATGGCTATAGGCTTCCAGAAGGGAGTGTGTCACTTCCATCCAAATGTAATATAGCCTTTAATTACAGGAAGCTCTGTCAGTGCATAATAGACATGCTGGGCTCTAGGGAATTCCAAAATACTTCTTATTCCTTGTCAGAGATAAGATAAATGAAACATTCCCAGCTTGCTTGTGGCTTCCTCTTTCAAATCTTTCAGAGGCGGAAGGGCAGTTTAAAAAATTAACTCCCTAATTCTTTCCTCATAATAGAAACTGTTTGCCTTTAGATACTAGACCATTTTTGTCTTACGTAATGTAGGATCATGGAAAGAATCCCAGACATTGAGTCAGAAGATTAAGGTTCAAGTTCCAGTTTTGTCATTTAATTGCTACAAGGAACATTCTTGATTTCCTTACCTATAAAATGAACATAAAAAGAAACAGTCACATCTACTAAAAAAAAGTTGTTTTGAAGAGAAAATAAAATACAAAATTAACTAACTCAATTTACAATGAGATGTGGCAAGAAAATGTACACTATAATAACTAGAGAAATAAAAGGCTTCAATAAAGGTGTCAATTTCAAAGGGATGACAAAGACTATATCCCTTCTTGCCAGGCTCAAGAATTACTTGTAGTGCTAATCAACACAACAAAAATAACCTTATTTTTTATTTTTTTTTTTTGAGACGGAGTTTCGCTCTGTCGCCCAGGCTGGAGTGCAGTGGCGCGATCTCGACTCACTGCAAGCTCCGCCTCCCGGGTTCACGCCATTCTCCTGCCTCAGCCTCCCGTGCGTAGCTGGGACTACAGGCGCGCGCCACCATGCCCGGCTAATTTTTTTTGTATTTTTAGTAGAGACGGGGTTTCACCGTGTTAGCCAGGATGGTCTCGATCTCCTGACCTCGTGATCCGCCCGTCTCGGCCTCCCAAAGTGCTGGGATTACAGGCGTGAGCCACTGCGCCCGGCCCAAAAATAACCTTATTTCTAATTGTCTTTAATTTTGTGAATTTTACCTTTAATATTTCAACCTTTATACTTTTGTTTTGCCTATTTATTTGCCTGTTTTTCCTCCTCCTGGCAGAGAAAGAAAATCACTGCATGATATTTACAAAATAAAAAATAAACAAAATAATAAGAGCACTTCATACTCATCATGAATCTAATTGGGTATTTTGAATCCAGTGGTGTACACGCAAGGCAACTCTGATGGAATGTTCAGAAGCTTAAATTTGGAGTAAATACATTTGAATTTCACCCTTTTTTGTAACTTGTCAGCCATCTAAATTTTTGTAATACACTTAACCTTTCTGAATTTTCATTTTCATCTATAAAGTGTCAATAATATCCATGTATCAGGAGAGTTGTTGTGAGGATTAGTATAAACACTTATTATCTATCTAACACTACTGTCAATACTGTTATTACTATGTCAGTCAGGTGTGGTATCGGGGATGATAAGGGAACTTTTTTTCATTTAATATCTTTATAACTGTCCAAGGGGTTCTTCCTGTCTGCTGCATGAAGGACTACAGCATCACAGTAGAGAAAGAGTTTAATAGACACGAGCCCAACCATGTCACAGGGGAGACAGAGTTCATACTCCAATCATCTTGTCCAAAGCTCATAGGTTAGGGGTTTTTCAAAAGCAGTTTGAAGGAAGGGGTGGGGAAGGCCAGGTAATGGTCTGATTGGTAATTGGTGAGGAAGGCCAGGTAATTGCTGCTGATTGGTTGGGGCTGAGATGACATCATAAGGGGTCAAAGCTGTCCTCCTGCAGGCTGACTTGCCTCTAAGTGGGGCCACAGGAGCAGAGTTGACGGGTCTAGGTGGAGCCATGTTTGTCAGACACGCAAAAAACCTGAAAAGATATCTCAAAAGACCAATCTACAACAGTGATGTTATTTGCAGGAATAATTGGGGAAGTCGCATATCTTATAACTTCCCGAATAATGGCTGATAATCGTTTATATAAGTCTGCACTTTAGCAGGACTCAGGATTCTCTCGTCCCATCAGCCTGATGGCTCCCCATTAGCTTTACAAAACTGTTGAGTTTCCTGGCAAGGCCTATTATCTTTTAAACTACAGCCTAAATGTTTTACAAAGTTAGCTTTGCCCAATAGCCCAGGAATAATTAAGGGAAAGGCAAGATGAGGGTAGGTTAGCTTACTTTACTCTCATAATTTTTCTCACTGATATAATTTTGGCAAAGGCGTCTTCATCTTTTTCCTGACATGAGTCCTCTCTTCTACATATTCTTCTTTCAGGGGCATCCATTGCTCCAATACCTACATTTAGTAAGTCATAAAATCCTTTTGGTGCTCTATTCTAATTTTTTCACACTTTATTTTGATCCCATTACCCTAGTCAGCTCCTCACAGTTTCTGTTTTCACTTTCTTTCTTAAGTAAACTATTGTAAAGGCCTCTGTGCTCTTCTCCAAATCATTCTCCTATTTGCCAGTTGTTTTCTCCATAAAGCATAGAACTGATCACACCACTCCTCTGTGTATAATCCTCATATTAATTTCTATTACCTACATGATTAATTCAAAACTTTTATAACAAGTTTCTAACCCTCTGTATCTTACTTCTGGCCTGTCTTTATCTTTGTAAGAAACCGACTTTCCTAGGAAATTGTAATCCCTTGCCATTCCCCACCCACACCCTTTCTCACATTCACATATCCATATCCACCCCTGTTTTACCCCCTCTCCCAGGAGTTCTCCCTCCCTTTCTCCTACCTTTCCTGATCCTAGTCACAGTTCAGAGCAGAGCACAAATGCCAGTTCCTCTCTAAGCCAGTCCATCTGAGAGATGGTTAATTTCCAATTCCTCTGCTTATACACAAAACTTTGCTTACATCTCTGATTTCATTGCCAGTATTTTCTCATATTATACACACACACACACATATACATATTTATATGTATATATACCCTAATTAAATTACCTATTTAATTTCCCAGCACCACAGTCTCTTGAATAAAATAGGTGATAGGTAAATATGCATTGAAAGATCACAGCTGGCAGAGCATGGTGGCTCACACCTGTAATCCCAGCACTTTGGGAGGCAGAGACAGGTGGGTCACTTGAGGCCAGGAGTTCAAGACCAGACTGGCCAACATGGTGAAACCCCATCTCAATAAAAATACAAAAATCAGCTGGGCATTAATGGCTGGCGCCTCTACTCAGCTCAGCTACTCAAGAGGCTGAGGTAAGAGAATTGCTTTAACCCAGGAGGCAGAGGGTGCTGTGAGCTAAGATGGCCCTACTTCACTCCAGCCTGGGCATGAAACTCTGTCAAAAAAAAAAAAATCACAGTTACATAAGTTAGTTTCAAATAGAAGGAATGAAAAAAAAATTCTGTGTATTCAAATGTCTTCACCTGAATTTTATTCCCATGTCCTTTCATCTCTGAATCAAAACTTGATCATGTTGGTGTCTCTTTCTTTGATATACAGTGAACCAGATAATCAGATAAACTGAATTATAATGTTTTGGTAGTGAATGCTAATACTTGAGTAAAAGTACATTGGGGTACAATGACCTCTTAGAAGTGGAAACTCTGGGAGAAGACATCAGATATTGGAAGAGATTACTACAAAGGTAGGGACTTTCAGTCTCAGTATATCAGATGATATTCAACTCTCTATTCTGCCTCCATGCGAAATGTCCTGCTCTTGCATACAGTGCAAAAAGAATGAGTATAAACCTAGAGGAGAACTGGGAGATATTAATTGCCATTAAACAGACAGTATGTTCTAAGAGCTAAAATATTACAAAAACAGAGCAACAGTCTACCCGTCTAGTGATGAAACTTCAGGACAAGGCTGGCGACCCTGAAATGTGAATACAAAGTGAACTTTGATCCCAGCCTGCCAAAGTGGTACTTTTCTTTAGCACAACAGTCCATACTAAACTGAGGCTATTTGCCAATAAGCTCTAACTCTTTAGTTCTAAATTTGCTATTATAAGGGAGTTCTCTTCCATCTAAAGAGTTGCCCTTAGCAGACCTCACTCTTGAATGAAGGTCACCAGCATTATTTAAGAATGTAAAACTCAAGCAACAAAGACTGACCCTTGAAGCAGTATTTCCAACTTCTTGCAGAGTTGAATGAGTTGTTAAAATGGGTTTAAAGGCAAATTTTGGATTCACACATTCAGTAATCCTTGTTTTGGGGCTGTTTTCTAACCAGGGCCAACACTGCATTTAGATTTCCACCTGTTCCCACTGAGAGGGGACATTTTCCTCAAATGCACCCGGGGCCAGTATGAGGCTTTTGAAATGTCTTGAGTTAAGTCTCCAATCGATAGGTTTATGGAGGTCATGTTATGTAGTAGGCTGCCACAGTCTGGCACTTTAAAACTCAACGATGTGTAAAGAATGCAAAGGCTGACAGATACTCCTTTTAAAAACCATCACCAATCCTGGCTTGGAGAACTCCTCAAGCATGGTTCAGGTAAAGAAAAAAAAAAAAAAAAACACTGTGAACAGACTTTGCACAGATGTGAACAGACTTTGCACAGAAAACTTCAACAGAGAAATGCTTTCACTTGGGCAAAAGTATGCAGTATAAGGGAGCTGCAGTGAAGAGCCCCAATAGCAATGAGGCAGTGTAACCACCCAATAGGATCACCTTGCCCGCTAGACAGAGCCAATTTTTCAAGACAGGGGAATTGCAATGGAGAAAGAGTAATTCATGCAGAGCCATCTGTGCAGGAGGCCAGAGTTTTATTATTACTCAAATCAGCATTTGGAGATCAGAGTTTTGCTTCTTGTTTGTTTGTTTGTTTGAGATGGAGTTTTTGCTCGTTGCCCAGGCTGGAGTGCAATGGCGGGACCCTGGCTCACTGCAACCTCCACCTCCCAGGTTCAAGCAATTCTCCTGCCTCAGCCTTCCTAGTAGCTAGGATTACAGGCATGTGCCACCATGCCCAGCTGAGGCGGGTGGATCACCTGAGGCTGGGAGTTCGAGACCAGCCTGACCAACATGGAGAAACCCCGTCTCTACTAAAAATACAAAATTAGCCAGGGATCAATGTTTTTAAAGATAACTTGGCAGGTAGGGGCTTGGGAAGTGGGGAGTGCTGATTAGTCAGGTTGGAATCATAGAGGGTTAAAATAAGGTTTTCTTGAGTCTTCTGCTCCTGGGTAGGATGGCAGAAGTGGTTGAGCCAGATTACTGGTCTGAGTGTTGTCAGCTGATCCAACCAGTGCAGGGTCTGCAAAATATCTCAAGCACTGATCTTAAGTTTTATAATACTGATATTATTCCAAGAAGCAATTTGGGGAGGTTCAGTCTTTTGGAGCCAGAGGCTACATGACCCCTAAACTGTAATTTCTAAACTTGTAGCTAATTGGTTAGTCTTGCAAAGGCCGACTGGTGCCCAGGCAAGAAGGGGGTATTTTAAGGAAAGGGCTGTTATCAATTTTGTTTCAGAGTCAAACCATGAACTGAATTCCTTCCCAAAATTAGTTTGGCCTATGCCCAGGAATGAACAAGGACGGCTTAAAAGTTAGAAGCAAGATAGAGTCTGTTAGGTCTGATTCTTTCACTGTCATAATTTCCTCAGTTATAATTTTGCAAAAGTGGTTTCAGTAGTAGTAGGTAGTAGTAGTAATACTACTAATAATAATAATCAATGTCACAATGTCACCTCAACATATACAAAAAGATAAGTTCAAAGTACCACCAGAATATAGATTCAATATCTTTAAAACCTTCATTTTTCTCATCAGTAAAATAGGGATAATAATTAATTTTTCCATTTAGGCTGCTATAGGAGAATACCACAGACTATGTGGCTTATAAACAGCAGAAATTTATTTTTCACAGTTCTGGAGGCTGGGAAGTCCAAGATCAAGGCACCAGTAGACTCAGTATCTGGTGAATGCCTGCTTCCTGATTTATAGATGGCTGTCTTCTTGCTGCATTCTCACATGGGAGAAGGGGTTAACCAGCTTTCTGGAGACTCTTTTATAAGGACACTAATCTCATTCATGAAGGCCCCACCTTCATGACCTAATCATTTCACAAAGGTCCCATCCTGTAATGCCATTACATTGACAATTAGGTTTCAACATATGAATGCTGGGGCACACAAACTTTCAGTCTATGGTGATAATTCATTTCATTTCTTCTCCAAAGAACACTTGTATTAGCATTATTAAAAAACAATTATAAAACTGGAGGATTATGTGAACATTATGTGAACATTAGGTGATTATTAATAATACATTTACTCATAAAAGAGCTTGTCTTTGGAATAATCACACTTGATAGATACTGTAAGTGAATGCAGTGAACTGGAGGTATCAATAATGCCCCATAGCCAGAATTTTAAAAGCATGAAGCAGGAATTGGACATGACTTGTGTTCATTTTATTTGATATGGTTTGTATAATTTGGGCATCACTCTTATTTTTAGGCAGTAATAAAACCTTAAGATAAAATGGGTTGACATCTCGGTTCTTAGAGATGTCCTGGTAGCATTAGGACAGAGTTATGATCTAGGTAGTTGTATAAAATTAAACCTGGTGGCCTATACAGAAGACAGCTGCAACAATGGTTTCTCATCTCTTCTCCTGGCATGTGACTCACTTCAGAAAAATTATCTTAGGAAAATCCACCAAAGCCTAAGAATTGTAAGAGTCACCTGAATAATATTCTGCCTTTATCATAAAGAAAACAAGTTTTTATTGAGGAAAATTTATATATATTTAGCCAATGCTAGAAAAATCAAGTAGAAAATAATTGCATATATGTATTTCTCTTTATGTAATACCACTATTGTGAGAATTGTTTTGTTTTTGTTAATAACTAAAATAACTGATTAAATGACTGATTTTCCTGAACCGACTGTATTGGATCATCATACAAGTCACCTCAACCTAACTCCATCATAAAAGGAAAAATGAAACCTATTATTTTCTCCCAAAAGTATATTTGAGTTTCCAAACTCTTGAAGAATGTGATCTGGGTAGTTTACTATTTTCAAACCAGAAGACATGATACATCATGTTAAAATGCTAAGCCTGTAGCCAGATGTGTCCCTGACGGGGTTTCCTTTATTCTGTCAACTCCATGCTGGGAGAGCTTCATTGTCATAATTCTGTACATCCTGCCCTAATACTTCTGATGTCTTCCCTTAGAAAAATCAAACCAAACTTGACTGGTCCTAGTTTTAAAAATAGCAAAATACAAAGGCTTTGATGTCTTTTATTATTATTTCTTTGGGCAGTTTGAGTAACCTGATTTTTAAAATTTGGTTAATAACTCATCTGAGATTAAGTACTTCTAGAAGCGGCTCTAAAAAAATAAAAATGCAAACAGTAAAAACTAAAGTGCAAACGCAATGCTTTAAAATACATTCAACACAACAGAGGTGGCAATGCCATCTTGTTATGACTTCTTTTATATAAATACTGTTTAAGAAACCGAAAAGAGGCAAGCAATTATTTAATAAGTAAAATAAACACAAAACTATTAAAAGATGTAAATATTTGACAGAAAGAGAAAATGTTTGGAAATATTACACGTTTGCTGATGCTGTACATGTTTGCTTAGATTTATTTAATATGTGACCAGATTTAATATAGTTCATATCCAGGTTAAATGTGTACTTTGAATCTTTATAAGCAGGCTGGAAGTTTTCTAATTTGTTTACAGTAGAAGGCTCCAGAACTGCCAGGGCATTATGTTTTCCTAATACACATACTACTTTCCACTCCTCGCTGTTGTTAAAAAGGAGAATGTTAATGTAATTATGGAAATACACAATTTGACCTTTTTTTCTTATTGGTTGGGTACAGATGAATAGTGTAAAAAAAATTCTATTAATAGTCATTTTGATATAAAATTTATTAAATTCATGTACAAGAAACTAATGAATATAAAGCCTAATATAAAAATTTCTGATTAATACTATGCCATATGTGCTGCTTTTATGCTACAAATTGTTGCAAATGATATCTTCCCTAAAAGTTTTACAAGTATAATGCATCTAATTTATCTTTTCTTAGTTAATAGCTCGATAAACAAAAAAGCCTTTTCCTTTCATCTTCCTAGGAGGTGTCCTACAAATATAATCAATTCTCAATCTATGTGTTCTGTCCCTCCTTACTGTTTTTCTAATTAATTCTTATTATTCCTTCAAATAACTCAACTGTCACTCCCTCAAGGAAGAATTTCTTAAAATACCTCACTATCTCAAGAGTTCCTAGGTTTACCCCTGACTCCTCTCTTTTTCCCTTTGCTATTAAATCCAGCAGCCAGCTCTGAGGCTGTACCTTGAAATTATATCTGGAACACAACCACTTTTCACTATCTGTAATTTTGCCACCAATACCTGAACTACCCTTATTTGTGCCTAGAATGTGGAAATGTGGAGTAGACTTCTCATGGGTCTCCATGCCTCTCTCTTTGCTACTTAACAGCCAGAGTGATTTTTTTATTTTTTATTATTATTTTTTGACAGAGTTTAGCTCTTGTTGCCCAGGCTGGAGTCCAATGGCAAAATCTCTGCTCACTGTAACCTCCAACTCCCGAGTTCAAGCAATTCTCCTGCCTCAACCTTCTGAGTAGCTGGGATTACAGGTGCCCACCACCACACCCAGCTAATTTTTGTGGTTTTAGTAGAGATGGGGTTTCACCATCTTATCCAGGCTAGTCTTGAACTCCTGACCTCAGGTGATCCACCTGCCTCGGCTTCCCAAAGTGTTGGGATTACAGGCATGAGCCACCGTGCCCAGCCGAGGGTGACCTTCTTAAGACATGTCAGACCATGCCACTCCTCCAACTCTCCACAACTTTCCATGTTACTAGGATACAAGCCTATGGCCCTGAAATGAGCTAGAAGGCCCTACTTTTTCTATCTCCTACCTCAATTCAGTTCCTCTCTGATCACATCTTCTATTATTCCATATCTCCTATTATACCATATCTGTGATTGATATAAGATTTTCAAGAATTTCTGTATTTATTTTGTTTATTGCTTCTCCAAAAGCAGAGATTTTTGCTGATTTTTTTCAATTAAAAAAGAACACTTTGCTGATTTTTGTTCACTATTATATCCTCAAAAGGGAAAGGGCACATATAGTAGCTACTCAATAAGTATTCTTGTGTGAGTAATTCACGATACTTCTTTCTCAAGGCATTGCACAGACACACCTTAAATCTCACATTTTGTGCAATTATTTGTTTAATGTTTGCATTCCCTATGCTCAGTGCTGACATAAGCACCAGGAGTTCAGAGACCATTTATGTTTTGTCTACCTTGCATCCTCAATGCCCAGCACATGCCATATGTATGATATGCATGATATATATTTATTTATTTATTTAAGGAATTAATAAAAGGAGAATAGTACTAAATCTTCCTCTTTATTTTCTAATGTGTTTATATTATTCAAAAATTACAGTATTTTTGTAATAAGTAATTACTCATTATCTGATCTTTCCATAATATTTCCATGAAGCAATCCAAATTTTAAGCTGTCTTGCATAAGTATCTTATTTAACAGTTACTTTTGTTTTCTGTTTTGCATAAGAACCTTATTTAAAAGATCAGTATTTGTTTTTCTTCACAATAGGCAGAAATAGATTTAATTCCTGTGTTCATTCCTTAGAAGCAGAGTGTAATTTTGCAGCCATCATTCAAAACCACTATGCTAAACAAATAAAATATATATAACACCTTGTTGTGTGAGTTCACACAAGAAGCAAACATAAAATGAGCATAGCATAATCAGGAAAAGAAGAAGTGGCCACCTATAAATCAGGAAGGTCCGTGCACTACAGCCTTTGTCTAGGTCTATTGACTCATCACCAGGTTTTTTGCTAAAAGCAGTCATTTAAAACGAAGTCTGCCACTCTTTGTTTTTCTGGCCCAAATAATATTCACTCAAGAGTATCTGGCCATGCCAGTGGTTGGGCAAACTTGTTAACATGCACATCCTTCTGGTGCAGCACTGCCATCCTTTCATCAAATACATTTGATGTAAAGGGACTTGAGGTTTCCCATTAATAACTCTAGAAAGCAAACTGCAGGTGCAGGAGTAAGTGTGGTGATAACATATAGGCATGACATGTTTCCAGACCTCTTCCAAATGGGCCTTGGGCTATGAGTCTGTTTGTGGTTGATGTCCAATGTAGACAGCTGTGTGAGTCACATTGTGCTTGGCTTGCACTGGTTCAGGCAAAATGGAAAATTCTGTGAAGTCCGCATATACTGTGTAATTAAAATACAATTTTTTTATTTCAAATTTATTTAAGCTTTTAACTTCTGAATTTTGAAAGAAAGTATGTAATAGACCTCTATTGTCTCTGAATCATGTTTGTTAAGAAATCTTAGGATCATCATTGAAATTAAACTTAACAAGCACCTTATACCGCCCTCAGAGAAGCAAGATGACCATAGCAGTGTTTCCCAAATTATATCTTACATGTTCCATGGTTCTCTTTCCTCATTCAGGTACTTCTCTTATGCTTGCTCAGTTAATTAATGACTTTTTATGTAGAAAGTTAGAGCAGTTTAACCTACATATTTCTTACTGAGACAATTTACAAGCAATTACAAATTATCAAATTATTAATATAATAACTCTAGCTATAATCACAGCTTATTTTAATTAGTTATTGTTCTTTTTTGTCTGACTCTTTCTTTGGTTCTTCTATTCTAATTTCCTCTAATGTAACACTAATTTGTATCTGGGTGAAAAGATGATGTGTTTTAAATAGATGTCCCTGTGAAACTTTTAGGAAGCACTCAGCAGAAACATTTTGAATGAAGGAATGAATAGATAAATTATTGAACATATTTAAGTACTTTTTATCTTTTAAATGTGAATTATATAAATAAATATATTTGCCTTCTAGAGCATAAGTTTAGTCAACATGTATTTTTAAAACCTATTCTAAACACCAAGAACACAATAGTGAACAGACAGACAAATATTTTGCACTGATGCAAATCATATTCCAATAAGGAAAGAATAAATAAACACTAGTTTGCTAAAAATAATATAGTAATAATTATAATACGTGACATTTCTATAACATTTATTTTGTGTTGAATATTGTCTTAAGTGTTGTCTTTCTCTCTCTCCCCCTCCCTTCTTTTATTCCTCCCCACAACTCTTTTTTTTTTTTTTTGAGATGGAATCTCACTCTTTCACCCAGGCTGGAGTACAGTGGCAGGATCTCCACTCACTGCAACCTCCACCTTCCGGTTTCAAGCAATTCTCCTGCCTCAGCCTCCCAAGTAGCTGAGATTACAGGCGCCTACCACCACACCCAGCTAATTTTTGTATTTTTAGTAAAGACGGAGTTTCACCATGTTGGCCAGGCTGGTCACAAACTCCTGACCTCATGATCAACCTGCCTTGGCCTCCCAAAGTGCTAGGATTACAGGCATGAGCCACAACGTCCGGCACCCACAACTCTTTAAGGTAGGTGCTCAGTGGCCAATTTTAAAGATCTAAAAACTGAGTCACAGAGAAGTTATATAATTTGTCTGAGGTTTTACTCTCCATAAGTCATAGACTTGGGACTTGAATTCACAAAACCTGGTCTAAGGATTCTTAACTTTACCTTATTGTCTCTATTCTTAACTTTACCTTATTGTCTATTTAGAGAGATATAATGAGTCATAAATGGCATAAAGATGAATGAAGCAGGACACAGAGAGAGACAGTTGTAGGAGGAATGGCATGAGGAATACAGTTTTACTTGTTTTAGTGGTTTCCAGAACCTTCTGGCCAGGTGTGGTGGCTCACATTTGTAATCCCAGCACTTTGGGAGGCTGAGACAGGTGAGTTGCTTGAGCCCAGAAGTTCAAGACCAGCCTGAGTAACATGGCAAAACCCCATATCTACAAAAAAACACAAAAGTTAGCCTAGTGTATGTGCCTATAGTCCCAGTTACTCAGGAGGCAGAGCTGGGAGGATAACTTGAGCCCTGGAGGTCGAGGGTGCAGTGAGCCATGATCACGCCACTGCACTCCCACCTGGATGACAGAGCAAGACGTTGTCTCAAAAGAAAGAAAGGGGAAAAAAAGGTCTGCAAATTATTTGATACTCCTCCTTCCAAGAGGAGGTGGTTAATTTCTCTCTCCTTGAGTAACAGTTGGATTTAGTATTCCACCAAGTAGAATAAAATGAAAGAGAAGGTGTGCTGACTTCCAAGATTAAGTTATAAAGAGCATTGAGGCTTCCTTTTTATTCTGTCTTCACCCACTCATCCTGGGAAAAGCCAGCTACCGTGTTTTGAAAATATGGAATCATCCCTGGATTGTCGATTTGATGATCAGAGGTCTTCTGAAGACATCCAGCATTGATTTGCTAGGACTTTGAGGGAGCCTCCTTAGAATTTGGTACTTCAGCTCCAGTCAAGCCTTCAGGTGACTACCTTCCTGGCTGACAACTTAACTGAAACCTCTGAGTCAGAACCATCAAGCTAAGTTGCTTTCAGATTCCTTACCCACATAAACTATGTAAGATAATAAGTATTTATTATGTTAAGCCACTGAGTTTTGGGGTTTTTAAAAAGCAATAGGAATCAGTTTTCTATTTTAAATAGCTATAGAAAACTAATAGGGCAGTCAAGAAAAGGTTCTTTTGTGAGGCAACATTAGACCAGACATTTCATCAAGTTAAGAAGCAAACAATCAGTATGATTTAAGGAAAAGATTTTAAGCATTGAGAAAAAAAAAACTTGTACAGTACAAAAACTTTGAGCACATTTGTTATGTTCAAGAAACTGTAAGTTGGCCTATTTGGCTGGAATACAGACAAAGAGAAGAATGGTAGAGGCTGAAGTCAGAAACCAAGGCTTCACTGTGTACTATAGAAGAATCTGGATCTCCCTCTGTCTGTAATATGAATCTGCTAAACGGTTATGAAATGGGAGTGACTATGATTTACTGTGAAAAAGAACACTATAGGTTTTGAGTCAAGAATAGACCATAGCAGAGCAAGGGTAGAATCATGCAGTTCAGTTCACTTAGGAAGCTATTTCAATAACTAACCTAGGTGGGATATGATAGTGGCGTGGACTAGGGTAGTTCTGGTGGAAGTGGTGGGAAAAACAGAGTCAGAATTTGAAGGTACAGAAATTAGGACTTGCTGATAAAGTGGATGAAGATGTATTATGTGGATTCTTTGCCTACCAGTAATTTCGAGGTCCGTGATTCCACTGGGAGAAAGTATTTTGGAACGCCCAGATTTAGAACCCTTGGTTGGAATGTGTAGACACTTGCTTTTCCTTGGGCTTACTAGGAAGAGAATTAAAATATAAGGACAAATAAGAGCAAATGCTCATTTCATTTTTATTTTCTCTTCTTTTGAAGAATGTTATGTCTTCTGGTGAGATAAATGAAAGCTTTCACTCCAAGTCACACTCTTGTAAAATGTGAAATTAAAAGTGAAGACTGTTAATGACATAAAATATTTACCTAGCATTTGTCCTACAGGAGAAGACTGTGGAATTAGCTTGCTCCTCCTTCAAAGTGAGAAACTATGATATTAGCAATGGGATGGCTTTTGACATTGATACACACTCCAATTAGTGTGGTGTGGCAGCTGCGTGGGGCACTTTGCTAAGGAGGGGTGAACTCTTCTCTGGTAGAGTCAGCTCTGCAGGTGGACACTGAAGAATAATACCATGGTTATTGCTACATTCCATGGCTTTTAACGACTGCAACCATATGTAATTTTTTTTTAAATAATCAAAAGCAAACCATCTAGGACAGAGGGAGAAGTGATAAGGGGGGGTGAACATGCAAGTTGGCTGGGCAAGACTTTTATTAGACATTTTTGGAGGGCTTAATTAGATTTGAGCAGGAAGCATCCAAACTCACCTGCCATCAATTTTGGTTTTTACGCAAAAGCTATAAAGTTTTTGTTTTAAAAACAGCACATGGGCCTCTCAGTTTATGATCTGTATTCGTTGCTCCTAACCCTGTCTTCTCCTTATCCTGTAGAGAAGAGACTATCCTAAATATTGAACCTTGGCCCTGGGCTGAGGTACAGGAAGATGCTTAAGACAAGAAAAGATATTCATGAAGTCATGCAGCTAGAAACCCAAGAGATCAGGTTGTGGGTGCTCCTAAATTCTCAGCACTCACCAGCATGTCTAAGATTCCTATATCTCCTGTTTTTACATTAAGACTATTGGTTATGTATTCTATTTCACATCTTTTACCCATTTCCTTTAAAATTATTCAAAGTCATGTAACTTGCTTTGGCATAAGAAAAGTAGTCTGAATCTGAAGTGACATCTAATTTTTACCAGACAGAAGCCTTATGAGCCAATGTGTAATTACCACATTTCCTTTTCCTCCTCTGGTCATTGAAAACACTGGAATTGAGGTAGGCCTTCTTTTAGCCTGACTCTAGATGATTATATTAAGCTCAAGACTTCCATACCCCTCTTTGCTGCACATGTAACATTAGCAAGTAATACACTTTTGCTTGGTTTAGCTGTTTAGACTTGAAGGTTGCTTGTTACTGCAGCATAACCCAGACTAACCTGACTGATGCAGTCAAACCTTGATTAATGAGAAGATGGAAGGGACACTGTAGAACAGGAGAAGGCTGACAGCAGGTTCCAGGATATCCTAAAGTAAGTCCCAGATGGCCAAGGAACTTCAAGGTATAAGGAAACAATTTGTCTATTTCCTTAATAAGGATACTCATCTAGCCACATTCATGCATTTATCTCAAGGAGAGCTATCTGGTGTTTTTTTGTTGTTGTTGCCAGAGCAGCCTCAAAACAATTCCCTGAGAAATAAATTGCCACACATCCATGGGTAAGTTAATGGGAACAACAGGACTCAGGCACCAGTTGCCAAATAGAAGTGTCTTGATTTTTCTGAAATTAAGCAGGCAGACAGAGCATCCTACGCATTTGCATTCATCATTGTTAGAATGATACACATTTTATACTGTTGACATTGCTGGGTTTTGTCAATGTATAAAGCATACAGCTCTATGAATTAACTAACTCTCCTCCCTCAAAGATTTAACTAAGTAAATCACTTACCATGGCCTTCTTTCTATCTGCTTGATTAGCGTGCAGTGAAAAATTGATTGTTGTCAAATCTCATGGTGATTTATTTTTCTCCGGGGTCTACAGAGTGTACTGCTTCCCTGCAGTCAGAATTTTTCTTTTTGGTGGTATACATTTTATGGAACTGGAAACAAAGAATTTATAATACGTAGTTATCCCAGTGATTTCCTTCTTGCTGAACGTCAGAATACCATTGTCTTATCTGTTACTAACAACAGTGTGCCACTGGATAGTTTATGGCAAAAATTATTTTTGTTTCTCCTTTATTCCAGAGTCACTATCATATGGTGAGTAAGCCCACCAACTCTGGAGCTCAACTTCTGGCACTACTACCTACAGGCTCTGTGACTCTGGGCACGTTATTTAACCTTTCTATGTCTCAGTTTCATCAGTTATAAAATAGGAATAGTGATAGTCCCATTTGATAATGTCATTGTGAGGATTATATGTGAACAAATAAAATGCTTAGTTCAATACCTAGAATAAACACTAATGATGTTCACTTTTATTCTTTAATATTTATTTTTTGTTCCCATGAAAAAATCTGTTAATCATATGTGTTGTACCTCTACTTAACATAGAGTAGAAAAGGAAAAATATTACTTTGGGAATATTAGTATCTGAACCTCATGGTTTTGGGAAAAAGAAAATAAAATATACACACTCTTTGAGGCTCTAGGAAAAACACACACACCTATTTACATTATTACACCCTTTTGACTCTAAAAAATAATAAATACTTGAAGTCAGAGATCATATTTTTTCACCTTTGCATCCTTTGCCTGTAAGTAAGCACTATGTACATAAAAAAATAAATATTAATTAAAAAATAAAATGAATACATGAGTACATGACTTCCCCATTTACTTTTAATATCTTAAATGCCCATTGCAATATTGGATCTCAGTGCCTTCGATGGTACTTTAAAGAAATTTCCAAACTGAGCTTCTCATTATCTTGAGAACTTGATAAATGTACAGATTTCGTGGCCCCACTCAGCAAGGATTTGATTTAGTAAGACTAGCATAGAACTTCTGGGTGCATATATTTTATAAGCTCCCTGGGAGATTGACCACCTGTCAGGTTCAGGAGCCATTCTCCTAAGCTCTCTTCCAACTCTGACATTGTATGGTGCTAGGCTTAGCTGAATCTCACTCAAAATATATGTTAAGGTTTTAGAAACTGAATAACTGGTTGGTTTTTAGAAGCAGGCCCAACTGATTAATATGATAATTGGAAATCTATATTGTCTTCTCTTTTTATAACTTCTTACTGTAATATGTTGTTAGATCAAGGAGGGGTAGTTAACTCTAAAAGTCTCTTAGGCATTCTTTTTAATTTTTTTTTCAGAAAACCTTTTACAGATAAAACTATGTGTTCTACTTAATGAGCTCTATGTAAATTATTATCTGGATAAAAATAGCTCTAAAAATCCTGCAGCTTCATTATAAAAAAGGAAGAAGAGTTTGAGTAGTAAAATGATTATTTAGATGACTCGAGTCACCAATGGTTTATTCTTCTACTAAAAAAACAAATAAGTCCAGAGATTCAGACATTTGCCCAGTTTCAGGGTTTGAAAGGCTGCAACCTACAAAGCATACATTTCCTTTGACACATGATTCATAACAAAGTGTTTTTATGCATCATGGCAATCTGTGATCCAATTGTTGTTTCCCTAACTTTTTAATTATTTACCTTTCTAGGCTAAAATAACTCATCAGATTTGGACAGAGTAGAAGGCAAAGGACTATAAGTTCCACGTTCATTATTAGCAGTAAAACTAAGTCTTTGTAACTGAGTTATAAGATTTTTTCACCTGAAAGAGATCATCCAAGGTCAAACAGCAAGCATGTCAGAATGGAAAGGAAAGGTAAAAACAAATGTATATTATTATCTGCTTTAAACTTAGAGCAATAGTTTCTTAAATCTACATAATTCAGAAATTATGAACGAGCCAATCTAAAATATGCCACTGGTATTCTCTATCACAGTCTCTTGATTTTCTGCATACAATTATTACAGCTTATAACTATTTTATTTATTTTCTTTTGTCTTTTTCTCTCTTACTTAGCCACTAAAAATGAACTTATTTAAGGCAGAGAACACATTTTTGTTTTTCCACTGGCATTGAGAATAGCACTTGATACATGATAGCTATTTAAGAAATATTTGTTGAAATAACACATACAAGCTTTTTTGAATACAGCTATGTTCCTAGTACTATACTAGGCTGACTGAGATAATTTGTTTTTTTAATGACTTTGTGAAATAGGGATTAGCTTTATTTTAGAGGAATGGAAATTACAATTCAGAAGGATCTTGTCTAAAATCTCTTGACTTCCAGTCCAGTGTCCTTCCCACTAAGTACCACTCCTCATAAGAAAAGCTGACATATAATCTTTATCTCAAAATCCCAAAGCACTTTTCTCCAATTCTTGTGAATCCATCATCCATTTTTAACCTAAGAGTCAATGTTTCAAGTCAACACAATACCATAAAACTTTAACTGAAACAGATCCTAACACAGTTTGTTCATTTTTATTGAACCACAAAATAACAATGGAAAGTATGAATATAAAAGCCATAGGAAACCAAAACTCTTTAAGTATTATAAACCTGGTAACTTTTTACATTAGTTCTGAAGCCCTGGCTGAGATTCTGTTGATGGGTGTGGCCCACCATGTCACACCCTGAATGAAGTCCTTTACTCCTTGGCCCTCCAAAGAGTTTTGCAAGTTCCTTGGGCTATATTCACCCTAGTCACCTTCCAATTGGTTGGTGGTTTCCACCTGGAAAGCAAGCATGAGAAACCAATAAACTAAAATTGAATAGAGTTTTTAAAAATCATATTAAACGTTTCTCAGCCACTCCTAACAATTTTCTCTTCTCTACCAGGTCTTCTCTTGTATCTCACCTCCTCTGCTTCCCTATACTCATAAATTCCTATTCATATCTCATTCAGAGTTTATACCTTATATTGGTTGATGTAGTTTGGATGTTTGTTCCCTTCAAATCACCTGTTGAAATGTGATGCCCCAGTGTTAGAGGTGGGGTTTAGTGGGAGGTGTTGGGTTAGGAGGCAGTTCCCTCATGACTGGCTTGATGCCCCTACGTGGTAATGAATGAGTTCTTACTCTAAATTTCACATAAGAACTGGTTGTTTAAAGGCTTGACACTTCCTCCTCTGTTTCTTGCTCCCTCTTTCGCCATGTGACCCACTTCTTCTTCTGCCATGACTAAAAGCTCCTTGAGGCCTCATTAGAAGCCGAGCAGATGCTGGCACCATGCTTCTTATACAGCCTGAAGAACTGTGAGCCAAAAATACTTCTTTTCTTCATAAATTACCCAGTCTCTGGTGTTCCTTTATAGCAATACAAAATTGACTAAGACATGGGTGGTATTGTTTTCTTCTCACTCCTCGTATTCCAGCCTCTAAAAACATCAACAACAATAGAAAACAATAAGAATATCTATTACTCATCCTACATTTATCATGTAAGTGCATAATGCTAACTTACTGGCACTATGCTAACTGATTTAAATGAAGGAATACTCTCAGTTATTGTCCTAGTGGCCTAAGAAGTACATAATATTATTAACTCCATTTGATAAAGGAGGCAACAGACCCAGAAGGTAACTTTGCCAAGTTTCCTAGCAATTTCTCTGCTCTAGTCTTTTATCTCACGTCCTCTGCTTTCCCTCTACTCAAACATTCCTATTCATGTCTCATTTAGAGTTTATACCTTCTACCAGTTGACATAATTTGGATATATATCTCCTTCAAATCACATATTGAAATGTGACCTGCAATTTTGGAGGTGGGGTCTGGTGGGGAGGTGTCAAATAAGCCTCTTAGTTCTAAAGTAGTCTATTCTTAGGAGGAAACCTGATGACAGTCAATGAAAATAGTCATGTCTCATCCCACTGTAACCACTAAATTTTACTCACTACCCTTAACAAGTTTCCAGCCACAGTCCCTGCAAAGGAAAGATAATTGGACTTGCATAATCCAACTCTACCCTACCTGGACAGCCTTAATTTCTCAATGCACACAGATGAAACAGAGAAGGCCCTGGTCTAGAAATCAGAGCACCTGGACTTGGCCCCTTCATATGTAAAATAAAAATTTCCAATATCCTCTTCCTTCTATTCACCTGTATCCTTCAATGCATTGTTTCAGCCACACAAAGCTATTGAACATTTCACAATACACATTTACAATTTACAAAGCTGTAACTGTTCATACTATTTCACCATCCTGGAATGTTTTGTATCACAACTTCTATTAAAAGTTTACCTCACTCCTCAAAATTCAGCTTCTATGCTATCATATTTCCTTCCAAACCTTTCCCAAATCCCTACAGTGCTAACTTATTCTTTTATGTGCAATTATCTACAATGCTATTATTTCATTCTAGCAATATTCATTGTGCAATTTGCTATTTGTTAATATTTATCTGAATCTCTCCAAAGAGATTATAGGCACCCTGTAGATAAGGACAATGCTTTACTCAGTTCTGTTTCCCACATATTACCAAACTCATAATTTGTACATAATTACAGCTTGGAAGCATCTGATTCATAAAGCAAGCCATAAAACAGACAGGGTTAGCCTGAAGCAAAGTCGTGGTCTTCCCAATCTTCACTTCTTGACCTCCAGAAATTCTACCCTTTAGGCTGTTTAAAAATAAAATATTTGGCTCAATCACCTGAATTGCTTCAAGTAAACTGCAATTGCAAGTGATTTTCTAGAAACTCCAAGTTCAGGGCTGGGCCTGTTAATTGAACAAAGAAAAATGCTTTCTGCCAAAGTATGTCACTGACTGTTGATCAGTTCTGAAAAACATCAATTCTTATTTATTTCTGTTCACTTTCCTTCATTCAAAATTCCCTTTCATAAACTTTAGTAGATAAAATGAAAATTAAGGAGTACTTAATTGGAATGACCTTTTGAGAGGGCATAGCTATAGGCAGTTTTTAAATAGCCTTGTTGGCTGGGCGCAGTGGCTCATGCCTGTAATCCCAGCACTTTGGCGGTGGATCACTTGAGGTCAGGAGTTCAAGACCACACTGGCCAACACGGTGAAACCCCATCTGTACTAAGTATACAAAAATTAGCCAGGTGTGGGGGCACATGCCTGTAATCCCAGCTATCAGGAGGCTGAGGCAGGAGAATCACTTGAGCCCGGGAGGTGGAGGTTGCAGTGAGCCAAGATCACACCACTGTACTCCAGTCTGGGGTGACAGAGCAAGACTCTGTCTTAAACAAACAAACAAACAAAACAACAGCCTTGTCCTAAATAGGGCCTCAGGAGTCCACCTAATTAAAGGGATGAACTCTACTACTCTGGCTATGGCAGAGATACTATTCTGAGTTCAACATAATTTTTCTGTTAGCAGCACACAGAAAGACAACACTTCCCAGTCTCCCTTGTGGTTCATCTGGAGATAGGTTACTGTGTTCTGGTCAATGACAGAAGGTGACATAAACCTCTTCCAGGACTGCTCTTTAAATGCATCCCAAGCAAATCTCTACCATTATCCTCCTGCCACTGCAACTTTGGAGGATGCAGACCCAACTGGTGTGGTTGCAACACTGAGGAATTTCACTTGTCCTATGTTGAACTTAGTACAATTGAGAAATAAACTTTTATTGTGTTAAGCCAATGGTATTTTGGACTTAATATTGCAGAATAGCCTAGCCTAATCAGATTAACTGATGAATAATACTCATACCTTCATCCTTGGTGTTGGCCTCTAGAGCAGCCTTGAGTTTAACTATGAAGCAGCCGTAACACAGAGCCTATAAAATCCAAAACCATTGCAAGTGCTCATCTGGTCTCTGATGACCTAATTCTCTGATCTAGGATACTTCTTTGCCTCTCTTTACTGAGATAATTCCTAAGAATCCTGGGAGATTTGGTACAGGTGTTGTGGCTCAGGAAAACTTTCCTTGACCTTCTTTTCTGGATTAGATGCCTCTCTTATGTGTCTCTCCTGCAGTATGTGTTTTCCATCATTACATCACTTACTTTATGCTATTACTATTGTCTATTTATTTGCCCTCCCTCTCCTAGACTTCAAGCTCCTTGAAGATAGGTAATGTAGATTTATTCCTTTTTGTTTTCTAAATGCCTAGCACAATGCAGGTCTCATAAGGTTTAATAAGCCTTTGTGGAAGGAATAAAAGAAGAGAGAAAAATCTGCTTACCCAAAATATCAAAGACAAAGATGCTTTTCCAAGCAGACCCATAGGGGGTGATTCCCTTTTTCCAACTGTGCTTTGAGTTCTTATAACAATACAGTTCACATCACCCCATGCAGGAAAAGAGAAGCTGATCCATTATCTTCCTGTTTCTACCTCTTACATCATTGTCTCAGTATGAGGGTGTGCAGGACTGCAGGGGGATCAGCAGACAGTACACAATGCAGCTCACAGAGACCATCACACCCACACATAGGAAAGAGACACATTCTAGTACCTGTCCACTTCTGTAACAAAAGTAGAGGCAACTGATGATGGATAGATAAGGCACACTTGCAGATTTTAGCATCACTTGGGTTATGCTCCTATTCTTAGGACAATGTCAGTCATGAGTGTAGGACATACGCAATCCCAAAATGTGAAGTGAAATAAACATAGGATTTACAGAGAAAATATATGGACTTTGCTAAGAGGTTCAATCTCTCTGTGTCTCAGTTTCTTTATCTACAAAATTAGGAGAAATAGATCTCTAAATTTCCAAAACCCTGTAATTTTATGAAATCTCATTTTACATGTAAGACATATATGTTTTTATAATAACTAATTTAAAGAACTTGCCACGGCTATGATTGTGATTATGTTTGTGATTTCAGGCTGATCACAAACATGTTTTCATAATTGGTCAAAACATTATTTCTTCTTACTCTAAGCTGTCACTTATCTCATGGTTTAAAAAGGCTAAACAGTTGGGAAAATCCTGTGATTCAGTGACTTCAAATGAGCATTAATTGCTCAAAACTGTGCCTGTGGAACAACCAAGATCAGAGTCATTTGCTGTTTAACTGATTACTTAGGATCTTTATATTGACTTGTGAAAAGAAAGATACAAAGTCAAAAATTCAGCAAGGAGGCTTAATGTCTTGAAAACATGTGAGCAAGCACATCTACAACCACAGACACAGGCAAGATTTAGATAGCTGACTGCTATTGAAAGGAAATTATCATTGAGGGTGAGGGAATAACAATATCAGAACTGAAAAAAGGAGACCTGGAAGTGGCAGATTTTTTTTTTTTTTAAGATTCTGAAAGAAAGAATATGAAGTGATTTAGGATACAGCTCAAAATAGAGACGAAATAGCTCTGAGCTCTAGAGAAATAGCACAGTGTGTGAATTTGTGTGGTAGGTTGGAGAAAGAGCAGAGGAATGAGGTGGTGGGGGGCGGGGTCACTGGTTCAGGAAAGAAGTACCAGAACAATATTTCAGATTCAAGGAAGTGAAATGAAAACAAGCAATGTTTCTAGCATAAAGGAAAGACAATTATTTAAGGCAATGGATATCCCCATTATACTGATTTGATTTTTACAAATTATACGAACGTATTAAATCATCACATGTACCAAAAATTATATACATTTATTATGTATCAATAAAAAATAAAGTTAGAAAAGCAAGGAAGCAATCATCATCAACAACAACAAAATGAAGTATTAAAATGTGTATAGAGCTTAAAGAAGCTATAAAGATAGGAAATAAAAAGGAAAATGAGTAATGACAATGTGGTTGCTTCAAAGGATATGGATGTGAAGATGCAGCTGGCCAGTCTCTGTTGAGGTGTAAAACTGCTCAGAAGGCAATGCGTAGTGAGAGACGGTGGGCTGGCCAGAAACCAAAGTGTCTGATTGACTCTCAAAAATGCAGCCATTCCTGCTTACAGTCTAAGATAAAAGCCTTTGATGGAATATATTGTCAGTTACGCTTCCCTCCCCAATGTAGACTTTAAGAATGAGTATTATTGGTTTGGTATGCTAGAGTTTCTGTGATTTCATTGCAACTGTTAATTGTTCCCTGGAGATTTCAGCCTTGTGTCTGCAATATTACTGATTTGCAAGAAAGGTTTATATTAAATTTCCCAGTTAAGAATGCTATAAGGATGATTTATACTAGCAACTGTCAGTACTCTCCACGTGACAGAGTAATTTTACTTATATAATAGGTCTGATATCTCTTTTCTGATATAGCATTTCCTACAGCTCTCTGTCAGAAAGTTTTAATTTAATGCTAACAAGGAAAATCCATATTTTCTTCTTCTCTAGGTAACTACGGGTAGGTTTCTTTCTCCTTTCTACAGACATTTAAATGGTAGCAGATGACAGGCGGAATGTTTTTCCCTGACTTAAATTGCCATCTTAAAAAATAGTCCCATTGCAGATGTCTCCTCTCTTCATATGTACTCTAAGTTATTCATTTATTCCTTTATCCTTTCCACTTATATTAACTTATTGCTCACACTCCCAGACAGAGACCTAGGCACGAGGAACACTGTGGTCAAGTGAGGGCCAAGACCCCTGGGAGCTGACATTCTGGACAAAAACTTAACAATTAAACAGATAAATAAACATGGTGATGTCAGATAGTGACATGCTAGGAAGGAAATACATGGCAGAGGGGTAATATGCAAGAGAGAAGTGGCCATATTTGACAAAGAGGCAGTGAAGACCTCTCTGAGGTGGTGATTTTGAGCTGAAAACTAAAGGATAAGAAAGAGCCAACCAAAGGAATATATGGGTGAGAGCATTCTAGGCAATTTTGGCCCTCTCTGCATAGTGACAAAATATTTCTTTAAAAAAATTCATCTTATTTTTTCTAGACCATTGAGCACAAGTTGATACAGATTAAATATGCATTTAGATGAATCAAAATATAGAATTATTTGTATACCTCTCCTGTAATTATTAATCCAATAAAATAATGTTGCTATTATTAATTCCTGTGAATAAAATTTATTTTACTTTACATTTATTTTGATAATTATTCAATATATCTTGAGTAAGATAAGATATAATCAAATAATTTAAAAAGCATTAAGAATTGTTGTCCTGAAATAGGACCTTTTTGTGTTTTGGTCATCTTTGCAACCATTTATCAAGGAGTATAAAGTTACAGAAAATTGATTGTTTTTCTAGTAATCCACGGAACTGTAGACTTACTTTAGGACATTGATAGAAGACATACATATCTGACTATACTAAGGATGCTATATTGTTCCATAGCAACAAATTTACCATGGATTATTTTAAGTATAACCTCATACTCATTAGTAATAAGGCTGGATAAAGAAGAAATCAACCTATTCTTTGAAAAGCAATCATAGGATACTTGCAAGGTACATTGGTTTCTGAAGAAAATATGGTCTGCAAATCACCATTCAAAGTTTTCTGCTAAAGACCAACACAGATAATATGCTGAGAACCAAACTTATTTCTTCAACCTTTAAGCATGCTGCACCACCTGCATTTCTTATAGTGGACAAGTTATCACCTTCCATTCAATTACCCAAAGTGTCTTCCATTTAATCTACCATATAAGCAGCCACCAGTTAATGTTAATGCCCATCACTTTTTTCGATGACTTCACTAGTATTCTAAGTGGTATTCTGGTTTGGTTTTGTTTTTGGTGTCTTCATAATGTCTACATAGAAGGTTAGGGTGGAAATCCCTTGGGAAGAGTGGAACTAAGCAAATGTCCTGAAGCTCTATAAGCAGCACAATGGAGTATGCATAGTTTGCTTGGGACTTTTGTTTGCTGGAGGGAGAGGCTAGTGATTACTGCTGGAGAGGGGCTAAATATGCAACCACAGCTTCACTGTCTCCTTTTTCCAATTTGTTTTCTCTAATGACACCAGGTTATTTTTCTGAAACACAAATCTAACCTCAATTCTCACTGTGTAAAAACAGTTAACCTTTTTTTTTTTTTATTTGTTTCCTGGAGAATGGGGGATAGAATCCCCTCAGTAGACCTCAAGTTTTGCAATGGTATTTGCCCCCCACAATACCTGAATATTCCATGCCTTTTCTTATGTAATTTTTTCCTGCATGGTCTGCCTTTGCCCGAAGTACTTTTTACAGCCCTCAGATCTTGTGAACCACTACTGATCTTTCAAGATCCTTTTAATGTCGTTTCATCTGTGAAGCCCCGTCTAACTTTTACAGTCAATCATTCCAAAATCTGCATTCCTATAGCACTAGCATCTATAATTGAATAACACTTCTGATTGTACTATGATTTCTTATCTTTTTCTTGCCCCTTTGACTCTATTCAATAGGATGTTATTAATTTTTTCATTTCCTACCCACTCCTAAATCCTTGTACTTCTTCTGGAAAAAAATAATAAATTAAAATAGAAAGTTTAAATATGAACATCAACCTACTGACATGTTATAAATTGTACTAGTATTTGTGAAGAGGCATCTAACACCAAGTGAATACAATCATCCTTTGGTATCCACGGGAGATTAGTTCCAGGAACTCCTGCAGATACTGAAATCCATGGATGCTCAAGTCCCTGACATAAAATGGTGTAGTATTTGCATATAATCTATGCACATCCCCCTGTATACTTTAAAGCATCCCTGGATTACTCATGATACCTGAAACAATGTAAGTGCTATGTAAATAGGAGTTACACTGTATGGCTTAGGGACTAATAACAAGAAAAAAAAAGTCTGTACATGTTCAGTACAGATGCAATTAAAAATATTTTCTATCACTGTTGTTTGAATCCCTGGATGTGGAGCCCACTGATATAGAGGGCCAACTATACTTATTCACAATGGACACAAAATTAGACAAAGTTTAGCTGGCTACCCATATATGAACCCTCTCATGTGCACAGCCTGAACTCTCTAGCAGGCGCCATGCCATCCCAACAGATGGGCTCTCATAGTGGTGGCCAATGACCAAGCTGTCTATCAATCAATTTTTATAATCTCTTTTCACTTGTGATCTCTTTGTAAGTTCTGTTCATTTTCAACTTTGGTGTCTGGATTTACATAGTTAAATCTGGAGCTGTGATATGACAGCAGTAAGGATGGCTTTGAAAATAACTTTGGAGATACTATAAAATGTATTTTGGAGTCTATTAACTACCGTATTTGGGAGAAAATTAAGAATTAAGGATGTAAATTATGCTTTATAAATGACATGTTCACATAAGTATCATATATTATCTACTTTTAAGGCCATGTTTGTGGCCCATTCCCCTTTTATTTAACGAAAATACAGACTTCAACTTAATAAATAAGGTAAAATGAAACGATAGAGTAGCTATGAGGCCAGGATTCTAAAAATTTGGGTCATGGCCTTGTTTCTGGCTGAGATAAAATAATTTAATTTCTTTGTTTTATTATTTTTATAAGGGATTTTAATGAGAAAATCTTAAAAATTGACTCCTACTTAACAAATAATTAAATACATAGTCCACAAAAGGGTGTGTGTGGATGCATGTCTTACACATTAAAGTACAACGAATATTACCTAAATCTGTCTTAATTAATGCTTCCTGATTTAACATTTTATTATCACTAGACTCTGGGTCCCTTGACACACACAGTATATATCACACAACTCATTTTTGTAAAGTAACTCCTTCATGTAAGTCCAGCCAATAGTGTAAACGCTTTTTAAAGAAATCACTAAGATGGTACCTTAAAACCTGCTTTATAAGAAATATGTGTTTCATTAACAGCAGAACCAATAAAAGCCTCAAAAATGTATTTCTATGCAATGCATTCAAACTACCCCAAGCCCCTCCATTGTCACAGATATGTTCCCGCTCCATCACCTTAGAAAACTTAAACTTCATTTCAGACTTGAGCCCTTCATGCAGACCAATTACTTTGGCTCACTTCAGAGACCTGCCCTCAATAAGTCTCTGCTTAAATTTCATTGCTGCCTGAATGAACTCAGAATATTAAAAAGTCTGATATATAATCACTCAATGTGGTTATCAAATGAAAATGAAGCAAGGCAGTCACCACTCTGTCTCAGGAAGCTTTCTATAAATGTTAGTTAAGTGAACAAACATTTTCAGAAGAAGCTGTTTAATCACCAAATTACAAAACATCTAGTGGACTTATGTGTCCATTTCCAGCTGTTAAGGATTCTACAAGTAATCAGAGGGACAGAAAAAGGCACCTACTTTAATTTTCTAAAAATATTCAAAGCCATACATTATATTAAGAGATTTTAATAAAATGAATGGCCATGTGCCCATAATGTGTCTAAAGAACTAAAATTGTGCATCCACTAAAAATTCCTGTGAAAGCCCTTATTGCACATACTTCCCTACCAGCAAAATGTAAAGATCCAAGGAATAAGCTTGCACAGCCAAAAATCAGAATAAAAGCACACAGGGGAAGCAAGTGCCATCAGCTAGAAACAAAAGAATGAGACCCAAGGTTTTATAAATTATAACTGGCAGGCAAAATATAAAACAAATGCATTTGTGATGTTTAAAGAAAAACAAAAGGAATACAACATAGATGAAGAACAAGATATTGTAAAACTAATCAAATTGATCTGAATAAAAATTAAAGATTAATTTTTATTTAATTAATAAATACTATTAATAAAATTAAAATTAATAAAAATATTATATTAATAAAAAATAATTTTATAATTATTATGTTAATAAGATTAATAAAATTAATACAAATATTAAAGACATCTTTAATAAAAATTAGGATAATCAAATTGATCTGAATAAAAATTAAAGATCATATTTCATAGGAGAAAAGGATAATTAAAAATTTAGCAGAAGAGTAGAAAGCAAATAAGAGACAGATAAGAAAAGTAACACATGAGAAGAATGATCTAAAGTAAGGGTATGATCTACATAACACAAGGAAACAACGAAATGGACAATATGACACAAGCTAAGAGATGTGGAAGATTGATTAAAAAGATTTGGCATGTATCTATTTGAAATTGCAGACAAAGACAAGAAGTGTAGTGGGAAAGGTCAAATCTGGTCCAAGAAGCCTTCTTTTTGTAATATCTAAGATCATGCCAGAATTTCCTTAGGTAAGCAGCTACAAAATTTATGGCACCATTTAAACCTTAGTAAACTTGCTTTAATAAAAGCAGCACATCTGTACAGTAGTTATGTTGATGTTCTTCTAAAAGCTGAAATAGCTGTAGAACTTAGAAAAGCATGAAATCCTCTATTATATTCAGCAGAAAAGCACTGCATTTTATATAAAATAGCATCTACTTGCTAAAAATTATCAGTATAGTAAGAATGTGGTGGTCGCAGATTTGCCATTATAAAGTCTGACTTGTAAACCATATTGGGCCAGAATACACCCCCAAAATGTAAGATAATAACAATATTTAATGTGATTTTATTGGATTTATTCCAATGGGTCAGAAAGTAGCCTAATAAAAATGTATTCCACTTCTCTAGATTTCAGCATGAAACCATTAATCATAGCAAGTCCAGAGAACACTGCTAACTGTGGCTACTAATTCTCTTCCCAAACTCAATGTTTTCTTTCCTGGGATTTGTAGTTCAAAAGATTCCAGAGCTGCATGCTGTCTTAGAGTGAAGAATGCTCAGAGGGCAGGGAAGGAAGTATTAAGCCCAACTCCCAAAGGCAAACATATCCTCCAAATGTACCACACAACTGTGGGGTGCTATAACATTCTCAAATATGGATCGTCTCTGTTCACCAAATCTTTTAAACACTCCTTGTAATTGGAAGACTGCTCACAGATTCTTGCCTGTAGTCGCCCAGCATTTTATCACTCAGGACTGTATTGCCTAGCACAGTAACTGGCCCAATATAGACAGCATAACATGAGGAGTAAACACGAAGCTCTGGAGGGAGGCAGAGCTGGGTTGGAGCCCACACTGTAACTCAGCAAGTTACTAAACATACCCAAGGCTCAGGGGCCTAGTCCATGAAATTACAATCAGTTAGTTTCAACCTCATGCAGTGCTGCGAGAACTTCCCACATAGGCTGCCATTGAGACATGGCATTATCATTTCAAAGATAATCATGTCTTCATAACTGCATATTTACTGAATGGCTGCATTAACTCCACAGTGCCTACTGTCTTTTTGCAATTGAGGTCAGAGTACATTTATTTAACCTTATATAGAGAATCAGTCATCCCTGGAAATAAAAAATATAACCTAAGAAATAACTTTTTGTTTGCTTTTTATACATATAAGATCAAACAAACTTCATAGAGACAGTGGAGCATTTCCATGGAACTGTACATAGCTCTAGGTAGCACTTCATTTGTTGGTTGGATTTTTGTCTGCTTCCTCCGCTACAGTGGCCTATCAGAGAGCAGGTCCCTAGCACGTACATTTTTCTGCTCACACAGCTTTCCCTCTGACAGGAGCACTTTTCTCTATTTCCACTTGGCAGTATCTGCTTGCTCCTCAATCTCAACTCAAATTGCAGATCTTTCCTGACTGTGTCACAGCTTCCCGGGTGAACTAAGTGTCCTTCATCTATGCATCAATGGCATAATATCCATACCGCTGTCACCACTGCTTAGCACATTGTCTTGTAATGGTCTGTTAGCATGTGGTTCAACTAATAATTTCAGAAGTGAAATTGGGTTTTATTCACTCTGTAGAGCCAGCACTGATTATATTGACTATCACATAACAAACACTAAATATTGCACAGAGAGGTAAGTGGAACCTGGTAGACATTCAATTCATATTGGCTGGTTAGATAAATGCAGAGAGGAAAAGATGGACAAAAGGATGGGTGAAAGGATGGAAAGATGGAGAGAGAGGAAAAATACGTTTTGTTTTTCTTCCAACGAGAAATTAAAAAAAAAAAAGAACTATCATGTTACCATCAGACTAGAACCTGATGTAAAGGTCACTTGCAACATGACTTAAGACAAGTTTTACTAATTGTCTTACAGTAATAAAAATAGTTGTTTATCTTGAAGTTGAAAGGATTAATGAGATAGCAGCCCCTCCTCTTGCTAAAGTTAACTCCCTGGTAGTACATTAAAGCATTTAGGGACAGGCACTGGCTTTTCAAATCCTCATTTAGTTCTGCAGCTGGCTGAAGCCAGGTTCTGGCACAATCACTTGCATCTGAGAAGTAAAACCATCTTTTAAATTAGAGGGTGCAGTGAACTGAGCACCATACCCAGAGGACACAAATGGAAATCATTTAGAGTTTTTGATCCTTCCCTTCACTCAAAACCAACACAAAACAAGCTAGTTCAGTAAATTGAAGCTATAAATAATATACAACACTTCATCATTTCAGTTACTTCTTTGTATAGCATCCAAGAGGCCTACAGGCCTAGATAGAGCAGGCTTATTAGAACACCAAGGGGAAGGGGCATCCCTTCCTGGCTAATCACAATACTGTCAAATTGCTATATCAAACGACTATAATTCACTGAATAGGGCAGTTATTAAAATTCCAAGTTCTCTCTATGCTGTGACCAGAATGACAATGGCAGTACAGTCAGCCTTCCTTGCAAACAGTGAAACACATAAGGAAAACTGTAGTCCCACAATCTCCTGTATCTATTCCATGAAAGCTACCCTCCACTAAACAAATAACATGATCAGTTTTGTACCTTCTGTTACGTGACAGCATTTGTGCAGAAGAAAATGTCCCAATTCTACTGAATGTCCTCATGAAAGTTAAGGTCTTAATATTCTATAACTCAAAGCACAGAACTCTGCACTACAACCACATTTCACAATCAAGAAAAGCAACAGCAAATTGGCTAATTAGCATAAGAATGTACAAACACTGTTGTCTCTTAAGTGCCATTATTAAGCATTTTAAATATAGTCATTTCAATTGTAAAATTTACGAATTATTTTCTTTTTTCTTATAATAAATCTTGGCACCCTTGTGACAAATACTATAATCCTCACTAGGCAGAAAAGCCCTAAGCTAACATAAAATGAACTTTTTATGAAACCTATGAATCTAGAAGAGAAGCAATTGAATTAGTCTTGGCACCAGCCTAAAACACACTTAGATTGGAAAATTACCAAATTTAACCCAATGAAACTCAGTTATGGTTTAATGAAAAGCAGTTAAAATAAGTTTTGAATTAATCTTTCTTCCTGATCATGAAAAAAAATACAATTATGGCATACATAAAACATCATAACAATGATTAGAAAATTATTTTGTTCCGAAAGCAAATTAGTTAGTACATTACTAACCAAAATCATAATTTTAAATTAGTTAACAATGATAATCTTCCTTTCTGCATAAGAAGGTAGATTGCAAAAGAAATATAGTGTTGTGTTCATTCTGCACTATTTCAGCTATGGAAAATGGTACTAGTGTGAATTCTTTTTTACTGAAAGCTATTTAAACTAATAAAATTGAATGTCATAAAAGTGGTAGTTGAATTTTCTTTTTTCTAAATTCTTTGAGATAGCTAGCTAGCTAAATAAAACATAAAATGGATATAAAATCATTAACTTTTAGATTCAGAAAGCATCTTTTAATCTATTAGTTGCATAAATTTTCAAACCTGACATGAGCTGGAATTTAAATGTCTCCTAAAGAAAAGAAATTTCTCAAGGTTAGGTCTCAAAATGAAGGTACACAGGAACTCTAGACTTCACCTCTCTCACATTCCTAGACAAAGTGCAACCTACCAAGCAAAAAATAAATCATTATCTGAGGCAATGATTTCCAACCTGTGGGATATAAACCACTAAGGATTCCGTGGTTATTGCAATGGGCTTGAAACTGTTTTGAGTTTCACCTATATAAACTGTATTTTAATTGGTTTACCAGTGGTTTACATGTTTGCATACTAATACATTTTAACTATTATTAATAAAACAGATTCATTTGCAAAGCCAAAGACAATTTATAGGCTCGAAGTTTCAATCCTGCAAAGGTAATAATTTTACTCCAACTAATACATAAACATGATGCATTGCCAACCTAAATCCCGATAGAGTTTGTTTTAGGGGTAGTGAAAAACAAAGATTATCTGAAAGATTCTAAAGTTTGTTGAGAAGAATGATGTCTGAGAATAGCCAAGATAGATTTTTTAAATAAAGGCTAATGTAGAAGAATGTGCCTTGAACGTATGAATACACATTATGAAGACGTAGTAACTTAAGTACGATGGAGGTCTAAAGCTTATGTAGCCACACTCTTTCTGGTTTTGGACTTTAAACCCTGCTTCAGAAGAACTTCCCCATCTCAAGATTTTCTTTTAATTAACCGTGTTTGTTATTTTATTTCTATATTTTTATTTAAATTTTTAATATTTGCTCCATGTAAAATTTATTATTGCCTATAAGGTGAAAAGCAAATATCATTATTTCTTAAAAATAAATATCCAGTAATCCCACTAATGTATAATTATTTGTTTACTCACTGATTTAAAACATTGTCATCTTGTATAAACCCTCATAAATATATAATAACCAATAGAATTGAATATTTCTTATTAAGAAATTGGCTAATAATAATAGTAAATATTAAAATAAACAAAACTCATGATGTTATTATAGGATTTTTTTCCATGCCTAAAATGATCATTTAGATAAATATCTACCAGTGTCCAATATCTCCTTAGTTTATCAAGTAAAAACAAATAAAAATTTTCAGGACAATATATAATATGAATCAAATATTATAAAATATTTTTGTGTTTCTGCTTAAATTGATACCAAAATGGATTTTCACCCGACCTTTTATTTCCCTCTATACTTTTCTGCATTTATTTTAATTTTTACTTTTTTGTTAATAAATGCCTTCCTTTCCTGAGTCTTCACATGATTTGTCCCTATGGATATGTCCGCTTCCAAACTAACATATTAAGAACACGTTCAAATGAAAGTAGGACCCTAACCATTTGGCTGTATAGTGATGGGAGAAGCCTCAGACATCTCTACACATCTATGTGTAGCCAAACAGAAGAACTGAGTCAACGTGAGCCTCAGGAATTCAAAAGTGGTTACTCTCTCTCTTTTTCTTTCTCTCTTCCATGTATCCATCAATCTATCTGAAAAGAAATTTTTAGAAATCTCTGAAGGATAGAATTGGAATTTGACATTTTTATTTTTTGTGTTAAGAAAACTCTATTAAAAGTAAAAATGTCAATGGACATCTGAATTGATAAGAAAAGACTACTAGAAGAGCTGGCTTTGCCTCGTGAAGTTTCTCAACCTTCAACATCAAATCATTGTTAAATAGTGATCTCTTGTTTTGCTTCTAGCCATCACTGATTTATTAGTCTATATCAGTAGATTGTTAAAAACTTTGCAGAATGAGATTTCATTTAGTATGATAGAACAACCATTTGAAAAGAAATAGCAACCACTCTTTCATTTCCATTGGTTGATTTTTTTCTGTATCTGTTCTTTAAAAAAAGTGGTCTCCACTACTTGTTTCCTCCCCTTAGGAGACTAGATTTTGCGGCCCATCACTTCAATCACTCCATTAATGATGTAATTGTCTGTTAATTATTTGTCCTTCTACTGTATTCATTGGCAAAAATCACGATCCTGGAAAATTCAAATGTTCTGATTTCTAAACTGCTATATGAGGGATGCTGAATAAGCCTAGAAAAAAAAAAGGCACAACTTTGAAAATTGGAGTCATTACAAATTTATAGCTTCTAGTTCAAACTGGACCTTTTGTGCATCTTAACATCATTCTGGGACTCTAACGTCCTACAACGTCTCTTCAAACATCAGTTATCCTTGTTCTTTCATACTCCACAGTGGCTATGTGAACCATCTCCATTTTCATTGTTTCCTACTCTGCCACCTCCTGCCGCCTCACAGCCAATAGGCAGTCTCCTGCCCAACAAAGAAACTAGAACCACAGAAAAAGACTCCACCTATTCCCTCTCCCTCCACCTACCCACTTACCTGCATACATATTCATCATGTTTCCATCCCTTTTGCCAAAATTGTTTTCCCATCTAAAGTGAATTTCTCTGTGTCAAAGCTTCTATTTCCCTCTTTATTCTGCTTTTTTCCTTTACAAGGATCTTATTACAATCAATACCACTTCTTTCTCCTGTCTCTACTTTTCTCCATTTAACATTTAAACATGCTTAAGTCTCCTTATTTTGTTTACTCCCTTCCTCAACCCAGTGTGTTCTGGCTCTTTCACCTCTTCTAAACCGAAGTTGTGAAAAGTTTTCCTACACTCAACATTTTCACTTTTTTATCTCCCAATCACCCCTCAAACTCTGTCATCTAGTTTCCTATCAACATTTCACTGAAGCTGCCATAGCAGCACCAATGATCTTGATCCTAAGCCTAATGGACAAGGTTCAATATTTATCTTAGGTTAAAACCTGGCCCCCTTTGGGGCTATGAAACAATACTCCCCAGATTTTATTTTTATTTTTATTTTGAGATGGAGTCTTGCTCTGTTGCCCAGGCTGGAGTGCAGTGGTGTGATCTCGGCTCACTGCAACTTCTGCCTCCTGGGTTCAAGTGATTCTCCTCCTCAGCCTCCTAAATAGCTGGGATTACAGGCACCCACCACCACGCCCAGCTAACTTTTGTATTTTTTTTTTTTTTTAGTAGAGATGGAGTTTCAGCATGTTGGCCATGCTGGTCTCGAACTCCTGACTTCAGGTGATCCTCCTGCCTACTCTTCCTCTCACCTTTTTCATCAGATCCTCTTCTGCTGCTGCTGCTTATTTCTTAAAATATCATTTTTGTCTTCAGGATTGATCTCATCCACTCCAACTCTTCAACTACCACCTGTCTCCTAATAACTCTCTAGTCTATATTTCTACCTCAGATGTTTCTCATTTGTTCCTTTCTTGTATATTTAATTCTACTGAATATCTTCTCTTCTATAGCATAGAAGCACCTTACTCACAACATTCCCAAAGTTGATTTTTCATCTTTTACCACAAATCTGTCCTGTTTCTTAAGTCCTCTGTTTCAGAAATGGCCCCAGCTTTCATTCAGTTGTATAAGCGAGAGATGTGGGTGTCCCATTTGATTTCTCCCTTCCTAAAATCCTATCAACCCTACTTTCTTAATGTTTCTTAGTATCATTTATTCATCTCCATCAGCATAACTTCAGATTAGGCCATCAATTACTGATTCCTGCCCATGAATGAATACTTTTCTAACAGATGCACCTGTCTATAGTCTTGTCCTCCTTTAATATCTCTATTGCAATCAGAGTTATACTTCAAAAATTCAAATCTGATTATGTCACTTATTCTATTAAACCTCTCAGTGTTTAGAGTATTTCCCAGTTTCTTCTTGTGGCTTTGAAAGCCCTCCATGATCTTAGCTGTCTAGTCTTCCTCACTAAACCTCACTCCTGCTCCAGGCATACTAAATTACTGGCTATTCTCTAAATTACATGCTTAATTTTGCTTTAGAGATTCTAATTCTACTGTTTTCTATGTCTAAAATATGCTTCCACTACCCAAGCTTTTAGGTTCCAGGTTTGATGTCAACACCACCATAAGTCATTTCTGAATAATTTACCACCCTCTGTTTACAGAATTAGGTGCCTATAGATGCCATTATAATGCTTAATACAATGAATTTTAATTGCCTGTTAATTTTTCTGTCACCCAAATAAGAGTGTCTTTAAGAGAGATATAAAATCTCTTTATAATTGTGTTTTTAGAGCTTACTGTATGTAGTGCCTGGCTCATGCAGATGCATGTAGATGTGCTATCAAAAACTGTTGGATGATTGATGTTAGTCAGCTGCCCAGAAAGTTGTGAGTTAACAGAAAAAAACTGGAGATACCAGGGTAGCTTATTAGGCAGGTCAGAGGACTTGCATAATAAAATTAAAAATAAATGAAAAAGTGTTATTATCAGAGATATACTGCCCATTTTATGCTGCAATCATCTAGCTGACTGGGGATTTTTAACAGTGCCATAACTCATCATCATGTTGATCCAAAAGCCACTATTCCATGTCAAATGGACAACTTCAATGGCCCTTCACCACCCCCTTCCAACAGTTTTTAAAGCAGGAAAGAAATACCACGTACATATATTTTTTAATTTTTATTAAACTAGCTAATTGAACAGATAGCTTGGACATATTCTGCTTATATTAGGTATTAAAAATACATGCAATAGTGCAAATGGTAATTCTCATTTAGAGTTGTTGGTATGGCACCAATTTTGATTGGTAGAGAGATGCATCAGAATCACCTTCAAACACTGCCTTCATAAGGAGACTTAGATCCCATCCATTATCACTGAAAATAGCTGCCATAGACAGCTGATGTTAGAGGAAGAGTACCAGATAGCCAATATAGATATCCAACTGTGCAGGGTGGATGACAACCACTGATTTAAAGTTACATTTATTTATGGTCATGTAGTATGTAATTAATTTCAGTTCTAGAAATCAAGAATAAATTAGCTGCACTGCTTCTAAAAAGTCAAAGTAATAGCTTCTAATTATTATAAAATTCATATTTTCAAAGAAAATTATCATATATGATACATTCATAGAATTATCAAATTATAGATCTAGAATGAATATTAGAGTTAACTACTGTGTTATGAGGTCACCACTTCTCCTGTTGTCCTTCTCAGTTTCTCCCCAACCTCCCCTTTTCCCTAGTTTATAAGACAGGAGAAAAGGGAGAAAGCAAAAAGTTGGAAAGAAACAGAAGTAAGATAAATAGCTAGACGACTTTGGCGCCACCACCTGACCCTGGTGGCTAAAATAATAATAATATTATTAACCCCTGACCAAAACTACTGGTGTTATCTGTAAGTTCCAGACATTGAATGAGAAAGCACTGTAAAACTTTTTGTTCTGTTAGCTGATGTATGTAGCCCCCAGTCACGTTTCTCATGCTTACTTGATCTATTATGACTTTTTCAGGTAGACCCCTTAGAGTTGTAAGCCCTTAAAAGGGCTAGGAATTTCTTTTTCAGGGAGCTCGGCTCTTAAGACACGAGTCTGCCGATGCTCCCAGCTGAATAAAAAAACCTCTTCCTTCTTTAATCTGGTGTCTGAGGAGTTTTGTCTGCTACTCCTCCTGCTACACTACAATAACAACTAAAGCTAATAAAGTGCTTACTATGGGCCAATCACTGTTCTGTTTTTTTTGTTTTGTTTTTTTTTATATTAACTCATTTTCAGAGTTGTTCTACTTAGCCCCATTTTACATACCGAAAGATTAGTGCACAGAAAACTGTCAGGCCTCTGAGCCCAAGCCAAGCCATCGCATCCCCTGTGACTTGCACATATACGCCCAGATGGCCTGAAGTAACTGAAGAAGCACAAAAGAAGTGAAAAGGCCCTGTCCCGCCTTAACTGATGACATTCCACCATTATGATTTGTTCCTGCCCCACCTTAACTGAGTGATTAACCCTGTGAATTTCCTTCTCCTGGCTCAGAAGCTCCCCCACTGAGCACCTTGTGACCCCTGCCCCTGCCCACCAGAGAACAACCCCCTTTGACTGTAATTTTCCATTACCTTCCCAAATCCTATGAAACGGCCCCATTCCTATCTCCCTTCACTGACTCTCTTTTCGGACTCAGCCCGCCTGCACCGAGGTGAAATAAACAGCCATGTTGCTCACACAAAGCCTGTTTGGTGGTCTCTTCACACGGACTTGAGTGAATTTGGTGCTGTGACTCGGACTGGGGGACCTCCGTTGGGAGATCAATCCCCCGTCCTCCTGCTCTTTACTCCATGAGAAAGATCCACCTATGACCTCAGGTCCTCAGACCAACCAGCCCAAGAAACATCTCACCAATTTCAAATCCAGTAAGTGGCCTCTTTTTACTCTCTTCTCCATCTTCCCTCACTATCCCTCAACCTCTTTCTCCCTTCAATCTTGGGGTCACACTTCAATCTCTCCCTTCTCTTAATTTCAATTCCTTTCATTTTCTGGTAGAGACAAAGGAGACACGTTTTATCCATGGACCCAAAACTCCGGCGCCGGTCACGGACTGGGAAGGCAGACTTCCCTTGGTGTTTAATCATTGCAGGGACACCTCTCTGATTATTCACCCACATTTCAAAGGTGTCAGACCACACAGGGATGCCTGCCTTGGTCCTTCACCCTTCGCGGCAAGTCCTGCTTTTCTGGGGGAGGGGCAAGTACCCCTCAACCCCTTCTCCTTCACCCTTAGCGGCAAGTCCCGCTTTTCTGGAGGAGGGGCAAGTACCCCAACCCCTTCTCTCCGTGTCTCTACCCCTTCTCTGATTTTCTGGGGCAAGGGCAAGAACCCCTCAACCCCTTCTCCTTCCCCTCAGTGGCAAGTCCCGCTTTTCTAGGGGAGGGGCAAGTACCCCAACCCCTTCTCTCCGTGTCTCTACCCCTTCTCTGCTTTTCTGGAGGAGAGGCAAGTACCCCAACCTCATATCTCTGCACCCCGATCCCTTATTTCCACACCCTGACCTCGTATCTCTGCGCCCTGACCCCTTCTCTGCTTTTCTGGAGGACAAGAAACCCCCACCCCTTCTCTGTGTCTCTACTCTTTTCTCTGGGCTTGCCTCCTTCACTATGGGCAAGCTTCCACCTTCCATTCCTCCTTCTCCCTTAGCCTGTGTTCTTAAGAACTTAAAACGTCTTCAACTGTCACCTCACCTAAAATCTAAGTGTCTTATTTTCTTCTGCAATGCCGCTTGACCCCAATACAAACTCGACAGTAGTTCCAAATAGCCGGAAAACAGCACTTTCAATTTTTCCATCCTACAAGATCTAAATAATTCTTGTTGTAAAATGGGCAAATGGTCTGAGGTGGCTGACATCCAGGCATTCTTTCACACATCAGTCCCTTCCTAGTCTCTGTGCCCAGTGCAACTCATCCCAAATCTTCCTTCTTTCCCTCCCGCCTGTCCCCTCAGTCCCAACCCCAAGCGTCGCTGAGTCTTTCTAATCTTCCTTTTCTACAGACCCATCTGACCTCTCCCCTCCTCACCAGGCCAAGCTAGGTCCCGATTCTTCCTCAGCCTCCGCTCCTCCACCCTATAATCTTTTTATCGCCTCCCCTCCTCACACCTGGTCCAGCTTACAATTTCGTTCCATGAGTATCCCTCCCCCACCTGCCCAGCAATTTACTCTTAAAAACGTGGCTGGAGCCAAAGGCATAGTCAAGGTTAATGCTCCTTTTTCTTTATTCCAAATCAGAAGCGTTTAGGCTCTTTTTCATCAAATATAAAAACCCAGCCCAGTTCATGGCTCATTCGGCAGCAACCCTGAGACGCTTTACAGCCCTAGACCCTAAAAGGTCAAAAGGCCATCTTATTCTCAATATATATTTTATTACCCAATCCGCTCCCGACATTAAATAAAACTCCCAAAGTTGGAATCTGGCCCTCAAACCCCACAACAGGACTTAATTAACCTCACCTTCAAGGTGTACAATAATAAAAAAAAAGTTGCAATTCCTTGCCTCTACTGTGAGACAAACCCCAGCCACATCTCCAGCACACAAGAACTTCCAAACGCCTGAACCGCAGCAGCCAGGCGTTCCTCCAGAACCTCCTCCCCCAGGAGCTTGCTACAAGTGCCAGAAATCTGACCACCAGGCCAAGGAATGCCTGCAGCCCAGGATTCCTCCTAAGCCGTGTCCCATCTGTGCGGGACCCCACTGGAAATCGGACTGTTCAACTCACCTGGCAGCCACTCCCAGAGCCCCTGGAACTCTGGCCCAAGGCTCTCTGACTGACTCCTTCTCGGCTTAGCAGCTGAAGACTGACACTGCCCGACCACCTCGAAAGCCCCGTAGACCATCACAGACGCCGAGCTTCAAGTAACTCTCACAGTGCAAGGTAAGTCCGTCCCCTTAATCAATATGGAGGCTACCCACTCCACATTACCTTCTTTTCAAGGTCCTGTTTCCCTTGCCTCCGTAACTGTTGTAGGTATTGACGGCCAGGCTTCTAAACCTCTTAAAACTCCCCAACTCTGGTGCCAACTTAGACAATACTCTTTTAAGCACTCCTTTTAGTTATCCCCACCTGCCCAGTTCCCTTATTAGGCCGAGACACTTTAAATTATCTGCTTCCCTGACTATTCCTGGATTACAGCTGCATCTCATTGCCGCCCTTCTTCCCAATCCAAAGCCTCCTTTGCATCCTCCTCTTGTATTCCCCCACCTTAACCCACAAGTATAAGATACCTCTACTCCCTCCTTGGCGACTGATCATGCACCCCTTACCATCTCCTTAAAACCTAATCACCCTTACCCCACTCAATGCCAATATCCCATCCCACAGCATGCTTTGAAAGGATTAAAGCCTGTTATCACTCGCCTGCTACAGCATGGCCTTTTAAAGCCTATAAACTCTCCTTACAATTCCCCCATTTTACCTGTCCTAAAACCAGACAAGCCTTACAAGTTAGTTCAGGATCTATGCCTTATCAACCAAATTGTTTTGCCTATCCACCCTATGGTGCCAAACCCATATACTCTCCTATCCTCGATACCTCCCTCCACAATCCATTATTCTGTTCTGGATCTCAAAAATGCTTTCTTTACTATTCCTTTGCACCCATCATCCCAGCCTCTCTTTGCTTTCACTTGGACTGACCCTAACACCCATTAGGCTCAGCAAATTACCTGGGCTGTACTGCCCCAAGGCCTCACAGACAGCCCCCATTACTTCAGTCAAGCCCAAATTTCATCCTCATCTGTTACCTATCTCAGCATAATTATTCATAAAAACACAGGTGTTCTCCCTGTTGATTGTGTCCGATTAATCTCCCAAACCTCAATTCCTTACAAAACAACAACTCCTTTCCTTCCTAGGCATGGTTAATGTGGTCAGAATTCTTACACAAGAGCCAGGACCGCACCCTATAGCCTTTCTGTCCAAACAACTTGACCTTACTGTTTTAGCCTAGCCCTCATGTCTGCGTGCAGCGGCTGCCGCTGCTTTAATACTTTTAGAGGCCCTAAAAATCACAAACTATGCTCAACTCACTCTCTACATTTCTCATAACTTCCAAAATCTATTTTCTTCCTCATACCTGATGCATATACTTTCTGCTCCCCGGCTCCTTCAGCTGTACTCACTCTTTGTTAAGTCCCACAATTACCATTGTTCCTGGCCCGGACTTCAATCTGGCCTCCCACATTATTCCTGATACCACACCTGACCCCCATGACTGTATCTCTCTGATCCACCTGACATTCACCGCATTTCCCCGTATTTCCTTCTTTCCTGTTCCTCACCCTGATCACGCTTGATTTATTGATGGCAGTTCCACCAGGCCTAATTGCCACACACCAGCAAAGGCAGGCTATGCTATAGTACAAGCCACTAGCCCACCTCTTAGAACCTCTCATTTCCTTTCCATTGTAGAAATCTATCCTCAAGGAAATAACTTCTCAGTGTTCCATCTGCTATTCTACTACTCCTCAAGGATTATTCAGGCCCCCTCCCTTCCCTACACATCAAGCCCGGGGATTTGCCCCTGCCCAGGACTAGCAAATTTGCTATTCTACTACTCCTCAAGGATTATTCAGGCCCCCTCCCTTCCCTACACATCAAGTTCAAGGATTTGCCCCTGCCCAGGACTGTCATATTAGCTTTACTCAACATGCCCCGAGTCACAAAACCTAAAATACCTCTTAGTCTAAGTAGACGCTTTCACTAGATAGGTAGAGACCTTTCCTACAGGGTCTGAGGCCACCGCAGTCATTTCTTCCCTTCTGTCAGACATAATTCCTCAGTTTAGCCTTCCCACCTCTATACAGTCTGATAACAGACCAGTCTTTATTAGTCAAATCAGCCAAGCAGTTTTTCAGGCTCTTAATATTCAGTGAAACCTTTATATCCCTTATAGTCCTCTGTCTTTAAGAAAAGTAGAACAGACTAAAGGTCTTTTAAAAACACACCTCACCAAGCTCAGCCACCAACTTAAAAAGAACTGGACAATACTTTTACCACTTTCCCTTCTCAGAAGTCAGACCTGTCCTCAGAATGCTACAAGGTACAGCCCATTTAAGTTCCTGTATAGATGCTCCTTTTTATTAGGCCCCAGTCTCATTCCAGACACTGGATCAACTTAGACTGTGCCCCCAAAAAAACTTGTCATCCCTACTATTTTCTGTCTAGTCATACTCCTATTCTCCATTCTCAACTACTCATACATGCCCTGCTCTTGTTTACACTGCCAGTTTACACTGTTTCTCCAAGCCATCACAGCTGATATCTCCTCGTGCTATCCCCAAACCGCCACTCTTAACTCTTGAAGTAAATAAATAATCTTTGCTGGCAGGACTATGCTGAATCTCCTTAGGCACTCTCTAATCAGATGTCCTAGGTCCTCCCAATTCTTGGACCTTTTATACCTGTTTTTCTCCTTCTCTTATTCCATTTAGTTTTTCAATTCATACAAAACTGTATCCAGGCCATCACCAATAATTCGAAATGACAAATGTTTCTTCTAACAACCCCACAATATCACCCCTTTCTACAAAATCTTCCTTCAGCTTAATCTCTCCCACTCTAGGTTCCCACGCTGCCCCAATCCCACTTGAAGCAGCCCTGAGAAACATCGTCCATTCTCTCTCCATACCAACCCCCAAAAATTTTCGCCACCCCAAGACTTCAACACTATTTTATTTTTCTTATTAATATAAGAAGGCAGGAATGTCAGGCCTCTGAGCCCAAGCCAAGCCATCGCATCCCCTGTGACTTGCACATATACACCCAGATGGCCTGAAGTAACTGAAGAATCATAAAAGAAGTGAAAAGGCCCTGCCCCGCCTTAACTGATGATATTCCACCATTGTGATTTGTTCCTGCCCCACCTTAACTGAGTGATTAACCCTGTGAATTTCCTTCTCCTGGCTCAGAAGCTCCCCCACTGAGCACCTTGTGACCCCTGCCCCTGCCCACCAGAGAACAACCCCCTTTGACTGTAATTTTCCATTACCTTCCCAAATCCTATAAAACGGCCCCACCCCTATCTCCCTTCACTTGACTCTTTTCGGACTCAGTCCACCTGCACCGAGGTGAAATAAACAGCCATGTTGCTCACACAAAGCCTGTTTGGTGGTCTCTTCACACGGACTCGAGTGAAAAAAACTTAGCTAAGAATACAACCTAATAAGTGGCAGAACCACTATTTGAACCAGAAAATCTGCTACTAGCATCTGTGTTTTAACCAATATTTTATTTTCCTCATATTCTCCTCTATTTTATAACTGAATTCAAGGAAATTTAAACAAATTGACCCAAAACTTTAATACCTCTGTGTATATATATTTCATATATGTATATCATTGTGTTTATTTTATTGATAAATATTGCTAACTCTAAAAGGAGTTGTTAGTTTCTTTGGGGGCTCCTTAGAGGATGACTAAAATTATGTGCATCTTAGTAAACTTAATAGAACTCATTTAACAGTAAATTGTAATATGGAAAATAACAGTATGGTCTGATATTTTGAGCTCTTTTCTCAATTATGGATAGCAATGGGAAAACTTTTTGGTAATTCAATTTCTTTATTCCGCTAACCAAGCCTGATAGCCTTCCATTTACATTACAAAGGGAAACATTTCACAGAAAATGTTTCACAATTGAATTCCATAAAATCTACCTCTAGTGCTCTATTGCTTACTAGCTAGTCCTCTCTCCTGGATTGAGTAAAATAGGCTACATGGAGAAGTCATTTGATAAAGTGGAAAGGCCACTGGTGTATCAAGAGGCCAAGCCAGTAGTATCAGCTTACTCATTAATGAACTTAAACATGGCTTAAGCTTTTTTATTTTGCTGATTCTTGGTTTCCTTGCTGGTGAAACTGTTACCACCTCACCAGGTTTTTGCCCACTGCCCAGATAGAGCTGAACACTGAGACAGCAGATATTGCACTAAAGAAAGAGTTTAATTATTGCAAGTAAACCGAGCAAGGAGGTTGGGTGGTCGTTCTCAAAGCCTCCTTCCTGAGACTTCAGAGGCTATGGCTTTTGAAGATGATTTGGTGGGCAGAAAGGCTAGAGTATGAGTGGTGCTGACTGGTCTGGGACGAAATCACAGGAGTGTTGAAGCTGTCTTCATGCATTGAATCAGTTCCTGGGGAGTTGGGGAGTTACAAGACCAGTCAAGTCAGTTCCTCGGTTGAGGTCATGGGCTACCTGCTTGGTGGTATTCGTTGGTCCATTTGTAGGCAAAGTCTGAAAAATATCTCAAGGACCAGTCTTAGGTTTTACAATAGTGTTTGTGGCTCCTGGTACTATGGAAAGAAAGCTGAAAACAATGGCAGTTATCATTTAACTATGCCTTTAGCTTAGCAGAAAAGATTGCAGGAGGCAAGATCCCCAGTGATCAAAGCTGCCCACCCACCCCCACCCTCTTGGCCAGTCCAACTTCTGGAAGGCATCAAGAGGGGCTGCATGATCTAATGAACATTATTCTTTAGGAGAAAAACAAGTTCATTAATCCTGCGGGCAGCCTGCCCAGAGGCTAGGACAGGAAGATACTCAATTATTAGTGACTACCATTTATTTAAATGACTATGTGCAAGCATTAATGCATAGAACAGGAAAAAGTCAAGAGAGAAAGGAAAATATCTTACCCAAATTCACTATAATGTTAATGCTGTGCCCTTTTTAACTTTGAGGAAGGTGGTTTCAAAACCTGTGAGGCACGCAAAATAGTATCAGAAGGTTTAATAAACATCTGACACTTCTCCTCCTTAATGAGAGTTTAAGATGAGAACAGCAACAAACTTGCTCATAGGCTTGTATTCCCACATTACATAGACCAGTGGAATTCCATATCAGGTCACAACACATAATTCCAGCTTTCAACACAGAAACTAAAAAAAAAAGCGTAGAGGGAAATAAGTTTAAGGCTTCACAAAGTCTTGAACTAACACATAGGAATATGGCTTTTCTTATAACGAGAGAGAGAGAAAGAGAGAGAGCCAGGATTTGAGAGAGACAGTCCTGAGAAATAAAAGTAAAATCTTAAGAGCCCTAATTGACTGACTGGACCATCTCTTGCCCAAGGGGACACCAGAATAATCTTTAAAACTGAGTTCTCATCCATGACGGGATAAGAAGTAGGACATGCCTCATTATACCCGCTCCCTTGCTAACCACAATTAAGCTTTCTTCTTCCCTAAGGGCTGAACAGAAACCAGGGAGTTATAAAAACTCCACAGCTGATATCAATCAATGGCCTGATACTGCTCCCTCCCTTTTCAGTTTTGGCACAGCAACCAAAGAGCCTTCCTTCCTGATGAGAGACCACCAACCACGGAGTGATTCTGGACAGTCTATGGAGGATGCACAGTGAAGGTTTTCATGTCCTCCGCTTCACCTTCAGATGTTAGAGGGCTGGGAACTCCATCCTCTGATAATGCAAATGCTACCATTTTTGCTCAAGGGGCCCATGAAGGGGCATGAAGCTGAACTGCACATGTGAATGTTTCTCCTTTCATAAATCTTCATGACTTCTCCTATAGCTTACTAAATATGTATATTGGGCTACCTTGCTCAGCAAAAATTCCTGTTCCCTTTGCCCTTCCCTCCAAGTATCTGTTTCAAGCTTCTGGGGGGAAGCTATGCTTCCCAGCCTGTCAGAATGGCCACCCTGCAGGCTGCAATCCTTTATGAGAAATAAAGCTCTCCTTTTTAAATTTATGAACCTCCTAATTCTTCAGTTGACAGTCCAAAGCCCATTTTGTAGAATTCGCTCAAAACCCAGGAAAATTCCTTCCTGAAAAACTCTTTATAGAACCAGACTGCCTCTGTCTGAAGCTCTTTCAGACCCCGGGGCCTGAATTCCTGACTCTGTCCTTCACCTTGTGTTGTGCTCAGCCTAATTTCATCCTAGCAGTGATTTCATTTACCATTATACTTACCACTTGCCCAACCTATGTTCTGTTTACCTTTATCCCCTCGGCCGAGCCTGATCCATATCTAGCTTTGCTTGACTAATTTTAAAGCTTCCTGTTCATTTTCACTCATAGATTACCTGATATATAGAATCGCTGCACCTTTCCCAGAGCCCCTGGCCAGACTGTATTCTATATCCACATAGCAAAGTATTTAAACTCATTCTGGCATTTATTTATGTCACGGGGAAAAGTAAGCGTGGATTAAACATAAAGATATTGTTAATGTGAAGACAGGCAATAATTCATCAGTTCTTTAGGTGTTAAATGTGAAATTTAAATATGCATTAGTATATTTGAGTTATCCTTGTTTTTTATTTTTGAGAGTAATGTGACTCAGCTAGCAATTGTGGTTGTGTGATTGATTGTAACTTGTCTGTGGCTCTCTGGGACCTTCCTGAAAATGAAATCGACCATCTTTGAGTGATAATGTCAGTGGGATAGAATGTGTCACTGGATAATGGTCTCCTGCTGCTGCATAAATGCCAAGGCAAGCCAAAGGTATTTATGGGGAAAAAGTTCACACTAAGCTTTTTATTTCAATGCAAAAGAAACTGAATCTATGGTAGCTACCATTACTATAGCTTATGCTAAATGTAGATTTCATGAATGCAGATAATAGATGTTCAAGGCAGACTACGATAGTCAAGTCATTCATTTTTAAATTCAATGTTCTGATTGGTTTAGAAACTTGAGTTCTAGTGCAGTTAAGCACATTTTAAATGAGATTAATTTCTCAAAAATGAAACACTTTCCTACATATGATTTTTAACACTTATCCAGATTATCTTAGACTATATTAGGCATATTTGAAATGTATGTATGTGTTTTTATAGACTAGAAAAAGTTGAATAAATAATATTCAGACATCTAGAAACAACATTGGCCAGCTTATTCTATAGTAAAAGGTAAAAGATTTTAATATGTCAGACACTGCAACCTCTCAAGCAAAAATTAATTTATGTTACTTGAACTGCATCTTATGAGAAAACATATCTATATAGGAAATATTTAATAAAAACTTGATAATTATAATTAATTGAGAACATGTTCCAAATATGAAATTTACTCAGAAGACATATGTGATATTTTTTGGGTAGTAAAATGGTATTACCCAATTTTCTTTCCCTGAATCTGGCAAAAATTGTCATACTGTTAGTTTTGTACTATACAACCTTCTAAGATTAGATTCACTCTGTAGGGAAAGTGGTAAAATGAAATATAGATCCATAACATATAATATATTGGCCAATGAGAAGTAATATGTAAGTCTAGGTAACACATTTACTTGAACACCCTAGAAGAAATTGCCCTGAAATGTATGAATATAGTAGCCCACTCTGAGCCTTTTGCTGGTGGCAGTCATTAAAGAAGAAATTGATATAATTTGTAACCAAAAATATATGAATATATTTAAAAAACTGTTTTGTGAACTGTCTGAAATAGGTTAGTGGAAGTTAAAAGCAATATTATCCATACACATATACCTACACCTGAAGAGATGTCTGATTTTAAAACCCCAATATTTCCATCCTAGAAATCCAAGATAGCTCAAGTATCAATCTTAATCCTGTGGTTTGAAGGTGATTAGCACTTTCAAAGGAAATGAAAATTTTATTCATTGTTTTGACTTTGTTTTTCTTTGTTTTTTTTTTTTGTTTTTGTGAAGGCCATTCTGTATATGGGTGCGTTGATACTTGAAAAATCACAAAATTCTCATGAAAATAATTTTGTAAATTTTTCTCAACATGTCTGATGCTAAAGATTTAGTTGGCATTTCTGATACAGACATCTGCAATTAATGAGGATGTACAGTGAAAAGAGAAGAAGTTCCAAATAATCAAAAATCATGGTTAAAAATTCTCAAAGATGGAACGAACTGGAATGAATAAAAGCATATTTATTTAAAACAACATACAATTGTTAAGAGTTCATTTACTATTCTATTTATCATTATAGTAAAAAAAGGTATACTCATCTAAAAATACAAAAATTTCTTGCATTTTTTAGGCAAAAAAATTAAAAAGTTGTAAAAACAGTCCATTGCCTATTACTGTGCCTAGCTGAGTTCCCCTTTTACATTACAGGACTTGAGTTGGGTAGAATCCAAAGCTCAGATGACCATTACATTGCTCTTGTGTTGCTTCTTCATCACCCATGCATCCGTAACTCTGAATCTTTTTTCTTTTTTTTTTTTACTTTAAGTTCTGGGATACATGGGCTGAACAAGCAGGTTTGTTACATAGGTATACATGTGCTATGGTGGTTTGCTGCACCTACCAACCCTTCATCTAGGTTTTAAGCCCTGCATGCATTAGGTATTTGTCCTAATGCTCTCTCTCCCCTTTCGCCCCAGCTCCCAACAGGCCCTGGCGTGTTATGTTCCCCTCCCTGTTGTCCGTGTGTTCTCATTGTTCAACTCCCACTTGTGAGTGAGAACATGTGGTATTTGGTTTTCTCTCTCTGTGTTAATTTGCTGCGGATGATATTTTCCAGCTTCAGCCACAAACCCAAAACCATAAAAACCCTAGAAGAAAACCTAGGCAATACCATTCAGGACACAGGCATGGGCAAAGACTTCATAACTAAAACACAAAAAGCAATTGCAACAAAAGCCAAAATTGACAAATGGAAACTAATTAAACTAAAGAGCTTCTGCTCAGCAAAAGAAACTATCATAAGAGTGAACAGGCAACCTACAGAATGGGAGAAAATTTTTGCAATCTATCCATCTGACAAAGGTCTAATATCCAGAATCTACAAGGAACTCAAACAAATTTACAAGAAAAAAACAACCCCATCAAAAACTCTGAATCTTAGAACTCATAGTCCTACATTCTTTGCCATGTGATTGGTTATTATCTTGTTCTCAATAAGAGCTATTGGTATAAGAGAAGGCACACAAAGCCTGGGTCAAAATAGTACATTGAGTACAGGCCTGGAGGGGGAGAGGAGGTGCTTAGTATTGCAATAGACCTAATGTGGATTCTACTGTAACCTCATGGTTCCAACATGAAAATCCCTTATTGGTAGGTAAACATCATGAGATATATCAGCGATCCTAACCTTTTTGGCTTCAGGGACAGGCTTCTTGGAAGACATAGGTGGGAGTGGGGGGATGATTTTGGGATGAAACTGTTCCACCTCAGATCATCAGGCCTTAGTTAGCTTCTCTTAAGGAGCACACAACCTATATCCCTGCATGCGCAATTCACAATATGGTTCGAGCTCTAGGACAATCTGTTGCCATCCCTGATCAGACAGAAGGTGGAGCTCAGGCGGTAATGCTGCCTCACCTGCTGCTACCTCCCTGTGGAGCCCAGTTCCTAACAGGCCATGGAACAGTACCAATCCATGGGGACCTCTGAATATTATTGTGATACTTTTAATATGACTGTGCTAAATGATTAGCTCAGAGTCCAAAGCAGTAAAAATGAAACATTTTATTTATAGTTTAGATCCAAATTCATAGGTTTAAAGGACATTCTCATACCCAGAACTATCCTCCCCACTACTATCCCATCTTATCACTTAACTTTCATCTCTGAAGTGATCATTCATAATCATAAGAGACGAATTCTGTAAGGACTATTGTTTTGTTGCTTAATTTATTATACAGAAATTTTACAATTCTTAAAATTGAATGAGCAATTATTCATTTGAAATAAATTGCCCAAATAAATGTAAATAATAATTATGATTCTTGGACATTAAATTATGAATCAGAATACTTATACTATGTCAAATATATAACTAATAACATAAATCAAATTCAATTAGCTTCTGCACAAAGATGGAGTTTCATTGGCTTAAAGTCTTCTCCAGTTGTAAAATAAGGCCCTGCAAAGAAATACTGACTCTCAAACTAATAGTAGCATTTAAATAATACTCTAGACAAATGAATAGACTTAAAGAATGAAACGTTCCTGACTTACATCACAGTAACAGCATTGATACAAGGGCCATCCTTACCTGCAGGTAAAACAGCTGCCTATTTGATTGGTGTGATTTGAAAATTGTGGGAAGGACATCCATTGACCTGTCACTGATGATAGTGATTAATGAATCACTGCTTTAGATGAAAAATTTTCTTTTTCTCCACATCCACTTTTAAAATGTAAATAAGCATGGGGAGAATAGTATATTAAATTACTAATACTCCACAATCTGTTCGTTTCATTAGCTGTCTTTCTGGTGGACAGGAACTAATGAGGATAACCCAGCAACCTTAACCCCTGTAGGCGGGTGAGGAAATAAATAAGGGAGTGAGCCAACAATACAAATAGGGTGGATAGAGGATGGAAAGGGGCACAGAATAGCCAGGCCATGGGGCCAAAACTTAACCTCATAGTCTCACAGTTTTGCCATTAGTCAGTTCTCTTGGAAACTGCTGATATTCATTTTTAAACATATACTGTTTAACAATAGCATCATGATCATTATGATACCCTTGTCTTACTTCTTCATCAAACATTTAAGAATTCATGCCAGTTTTGCCTTTTCTAGATGTTTTTTAATAAGAAAAGTATGAGAGATAAATATGAAAACAATAATATTATGCAAGACATAATTCCACACATTATAAATGATTAGTTAGCAACTATTTTAAGATTTGGATCTTGTGAAAAAATGGCTTATCAGGATATATCATATAGAAAAGTTTCCAGGGTCTATTAACAGAATACTTAAAGTACAGTAAGGTTTTTTTTTTTTTTTTTTTTTGTCTGAAGGAAAATGTAATTAACAATAAAAACAATAGTAGCTAATGTTTAATAAGTACTTACTTTGTGCTAATTACCATTTTATGTTATCCTTATGTTTTACCTTCCTTAAGGAACATATATTTGAAATTTTCTAATAATTTCATACAAATATTATTTTTTAAAGAATCCTCATGCAGCAAAGTTTCAATCCCTTTGTCGATGTAAACTTGATAGGCCTTTTAAATGATAAAGATTCTCTGTTACTTGTACCTTGTGGATTTCTACACTTAAACTGCATATTCAAACACTTATGCTAAAGTCAAGCTGTTTCCATCTGTTTAGGCTACACATTGCCTCACTTAGTAGTATAAAAAGAGCAGTTTTTCTTACACTCCTGGGACAAAAATCACACAGAATTCATAAGAGATCCAACACATGAAAATTCATTTCCTGACTGGAAGCACTGCAATGCCATGTAGCACAAACTATTACTTTTTCATCGTGTTTATAATAAAGAAGTCAAACAAACCATGCCCTTCAGGGCTGGACACCTCATCACCTCACTTGAACGCAGCCACAGCCCTCAGCCATGGCATGTGGAGTTAATTACTCTGGGCATTGAGACACTGAGCACCACAATGACCCTATTTATGACTCTTTGTACCATGTGCTATGCTGAAGCAAATTCTTTCCCTACCTACACACTCAAGGACACTGAATAAAGCATTGGCTCTGGCATGCTGGAGGACAGTTCAACTGCCATCTCAAAGAGACATTTCTTTTCTCAGGTAGCCATTTGATGGGGACTGACAACAGTCTTCAGTTAGTTACTGCCATTCTTCTAGTTCAGTTGGCTTCAAAACCCAAGGTTATGGCTCCAGTGAGAGTTTTAACATTGTGATAGTTTCCCCAACACCTTGTGGATTTGTCATCTATAAAGCTGGGTCATTCCAAGAGCAATTTCTATAAGAATTGTGCAGCCATGAAAACATGACACCGTGCAGTTCTGTATGCACTGTAATCCTGGTAGCTGTTATCTGCTGAATTGCAGGAGCTCAGGCTTATTAAAATTCCCAGGAATCACTTACTGGCAACAGACTGCATTTAACCCTTTCAAAAGTATTTCTAAAACACAGTATTATGATAAAATAATCTTTATGAAGCAATAAAATGAGCCCCTGGGGAGTCTAGGCAAAATGCAAAGTGAAGGAAAATTTTATTTGTCCCACTCTTAGCTCCTTTTTCTTGTGTCCATCTCATCCCTGTTATAGAACTTTCTGCTATCATCCCTGTGTCCCTGATCTCACAGAAGGAAATAATGAGAGGAATCAACTGACACTCAAATATTAATGACTTAATGTATTGCAATATATTATGAAACTCTTCTTTTACAATTTTTTTTTTTATTTATTTGCTGGTACTCAAAAAGGCTCTACAGTAGCCGATAAATGTTTGTGTGTTTTTTAAATAAGAGAAGGAAGGAGAAAAAGAGAAAGAAAATAAGAAAGAGATGAGAAAAAGAAAAGGAAGAGAGATAGACCATACACTGTGGTAGAATCCAGGCACGGGTAGAGTCTGGATTTGAAATGCTGGCTTTGAATTGTGCTTTGTTTCTTAACTGTGGGCAAGTTATTTAATCTCTAAGACCTCAGTTCATGTTCCCGTACATATAAAGTTAAACACTTCTTTCAAATCCACTTGAAAAGCTCTGTCATATTCATTCATAAAATTCTCAGCCAGAAGTACATTTTATTTAGAGAGTTAAATTTAATTTTCAAATCGGGACTAGAGCTTATTTGTAGATTATTCCAATTATGTTCCAAAAATAGAAAGAATCTTACATCTGCATTAGTATGTGATTTGGAAAATGATACCAATAATTACTTGTAATATTCATCAGAATTTGGAGATAATTAAATTGAAAAACAGTGACATGTTTTTCATTTTTAGTTATGGTAAAAGGGAATAACTACAGGAAAACTAAAAAAGATAAATGTTAATATATAGCTGTAAAAATTAATACCACATAGGAACACAAAATATTTCATATGTTTTATGATTTGGAATAACTAGTTACAATAAGCTACTTAAATCAAAAAAGAAATATAGTTTAATATCAAATAGATTATGCAGGAGAAATGAGCATAGCTTAAGGCAGTTATTAAAGGCATTGATCTAAGGATAAAAAAGAATGCAGAAAGGAGAAATGACAAGAAAAGTGATGAGAAAAGAGGAAAATAGAATCATGTTTAGAATTTTCACCCTCTTTCAATCAAAATTTTGGAATGCTAATTCAGTTATTGTGGCTGACTATATTATAATTCATCCACAATTCAGTCTCACTCTATTGTTGAGGAGTTTCACTGTCTCTTTGACTTTAGGCCAATAAAATGTGTGTGTCATGTTCAAGTCTAGGCATTAACAAGGATGGCATTATTCCATTCTACCCTTTAGGGAAATGACCTTAATTCTCAAATCTTGAGAAAAATTGAAGATTATTCCCATTATGTAGCAAATAATACACCCTCATATCTGTATTTGTATCTATCTGGATTAATATATCAAAATTATGTTGTGATATAATCAGGTCAGTTCCAGGGTCTTAGGAATGGGGAACGATAAAGAAAAATCTAAGTGCAGCACATGGAAGATCCAATGTGCGGAGTGTTTTTTCAAGTTGTAAGGAAAGACAAAAGGGCGTGGGCACAGCATGAGTCATGAAACACATGTATGCTCTGCACTTCACTTAGTAGGACAGATATGTTACAATATGATTTACTGCACCTGAGAGATGAGCTATGTAGTAGCTATCTATTACAGTATGACAGATTACCCCAAATTTAATGACTTGAAACAATAACTTCCAGATAGACTATTTTGTCACACCTTTCAAAACATTTGTCAGGATGGATTTAGTCTGCTCTCCATCCTCCAAATCGCCCCCGGTTGATGCATTCTTCATTGTTGACTCTCATATATAACATGCACACATGTATACACATGTCGATCTCATTGGCATGATCATTGTGAAAAGAATAGCTTTTAAAGGCTGGAGGCAGTGGCTCACACCTGTAATCTCAACACTGTGGGACGCCGAGGTGGGTAGATTGCTTGAGCTCAGGACTTCGAGACCAGCATGGGAAGCATGGCAAAACCCCATCTACCAAAATACAAAAATTAGCCAGGTATGGTGGTGCACATCTGTAGTTCCAGGTACTTGGGAGCCTAGGGTGAGAGGATTGCTTGAGCCCAGGAGGCAGAGGTTGCAGTGAGCCAAGATCACACCATCACATTTCAGCCTGGGTGACAAAGCAAACCCTGTCTCAAAAAAAAAATTTTTTTTTTAAAAAACAGCATTGAAAACTCAGGTATCTTCTTGAATGGTTCACAAACTACTCTCAATATACCACTTAAATAAGGATGAAAATTCAAACCAAAATAAAAAATGAACAAATAAACAATAAGAGGTCAGGGTTTGTTATTTTGAAGATGTCTTTTGGAAGAGTCGTTTCCACGAGGAAAAGCAGAAAATGAGACTCGACCACTCCTACATAATCCACAGATAAGTAACACAAAGATCAGTAATTAAACTTTTACCTGCTAGTGCTCCAAACCAATGCATACTAAACAATTCCTTCACATGTCCTAGGAAAGCAGTAAGCTGAAGGATGTCATATTCTATTGTGTGGCAGATGTGTTCCCACTCATAAAAAGCTCTGTGGAACTTTTTTTCTTCAACTTAGCAATTTTTCTATTTACTTCAATTTAAACTTTGCAATACCTCATGAGATTAGCAAGCTTTTTCTAGAGGGAAGAAAATTAACATGCTTACAGAGCAGGTTTTCCTAAGCTATCAGGGAACTAAAAGGCAGCTGCCAACTCCCCTGAAACACAAGCAGCAGCAACAGAATGAGGGAAAAACACTTCAGAAAATTCTATATTCTGTTAGCACCTTTCCCCTTAAACACAGAAACCTCAAGCATCAGAACAGACAACCATGAAGGTGACACTTCGAGAAAACTAAAGGAAGTGAGATCTCAAACGGTTTTACTTGAATTGTCCGTTAAATGCATATTTGACCCATACTAAAAGGACAATATCAGATTACCCTGACACAATTTCCCAGGTTGCTTGAATTTTCCTCTAAAGGACTTTAAGAAACACACATTCTCTGAAGATGGCACAGTAAATTATTTTGTGCAGGGCTTAGGCATTTAAAAGGCATCTATAGTATTAAATGTTTAATATTTGGCAATAAATATATTATTTCCTACTAATGCCCAGAAAAAAAAAATCTACATGGTTGCAACTAACACCACTTCTATTTTTATGCCTGTTTTCAATCTTCCTACATTAGTTGAGAAAGCTCAATATTCTTGTCATTTATAATCGCATTTCTGTTTGAGCATTGTTTCTGATTCTTTGTTTTCTCAGTTTACAAACCAAAGCACTTGCCATTAATCTCTCTAGACAGAAGACCTGAAGGTTGGCCATTACATCTACTAATATCAGTCACTATTTAAAAGAAGCAAAGTGTATGTTAGAACATTTACGGCAATCCATTTGTCACATGAATAACATAAATGGTACAAAAAATGCTTCTACATTATGGAACAGGATTATAAAGTAAATCATTTTAACTATATTCAAACAAAGATTGAAAACTAACCAATAATCTGTGAAATCCATATTATGTTCAGTTGAAGCGCATGTGAAGTGCACATTACAGTGAATGCTCAAAAATTCTGTGCCCCAGCCTGGCAACATACAGAGACTTAATCTCTACAAAAAAAAAAAAAAATGTTTTTTTAAATAGCCAGGAATGGTGGTGCACACTTACTGTCCTTGCTACTTGAGAGACTGGGTTGGACGGGTCACTTGAGCCCAGGAGTTTGAGGCTGCAGTGAGGTATGATTATGCTTCTGAACTCCAACCTGGGCAACAGAGCAATACTATGACTCTAAAAACAAAAAAATCTGTGCCGTATGCAAAAATGCACTTTAAGGGTATGGACTTTCTTAATCTAGGGTCACTAATTTAATGAAGAAATGAACATGTCCATATTAATATTCTCCTAAAGTATAAAAAATAAAAAAAAAAGTTTGAAAAATTATTCTTACAAAAACTGTCTTTCAAGATTGTATTTTTCTTTACCCATGCACTAGGTAAAATTTATTAGTTTGCTAATAAGCTTAACAAAGGCATGTATTCCTAATATTTGCTTTTGCTTTTTTTTTTTTTTTTTTTTTTGAGATAGAGTCTCACCCTGTTGCCCAGGCTGGAGTGCAGTGGCACAATCTCAGCTCACTTCAACCTCCGCCTCCAGGGTTCAAGCAATTCTCCTGCCTCAGCCTCTTGAGCAGCTGAGACTACAGGCACCCACCACCATGCCAGGCTAATTTTTTGTATTTTTAGTAGAGACGAGGTTTTGCCATATTGGCCAGGCTGATCTCGAACTCCTGGCCTCAAGTGATCTGCCTGCATCCGCCTCCCAAGGTATTAGGATTACAGGCGTGAGCCACCACACCTGGCCAGTATTCTTAATATTGATGTGCATTCCATGTAAAGGCTGTGTCTGAACTCTGAAACTTCTAGAGAATTATTTCAATTTTTCTACATTCAACTATAAATGAACATATTGTTTCTCTTTTATAGGACAGGGTATTTATGTAGATATTTTTTCTGGAATAAAAATAAATACAACTTTCTAATAGTGAAAATTGACTAAATATTACTCTGTAATTACTCTACTTTGAATGCCTTTCAATGTTTTATTCCGAACCCAATATTTGAGGCTGTACATTGTCATCCACACTTTGTATACATGTAGTCATATTCTATATATATCATACATGTTAAAAATATTATAAAGCATTATTAAAATGGAAATATTGTGATTTAGTAGATGCTTAGATGCCAATTTTAAATCTACCACATATTATTTCAATTACAGAGAAGTTAACTCTTATCTAATGTGCCATATTCTAGTCATCTATTGATGCATAACAAACCACCTCCATTTAGTAATAATAATACTAAAGGCATTCATTTTGCTCACAAATCTTCAATTTGGGCGAGGCATATTGGGGAAAATTTAATCTCTGCTTGATGCCATATCAGTTGGTGTAGTTCAAAGGCTAGAATCAATTTACCAACTGAAGCTAGAATTGCTTAATGTTCATGTAGGCAACCTATAGACCATAGGCCAAATCTGGACCACCATCTGTTTTTGAAAATAAAGTTTGATTGGGACACAGCATTTCTCATTGGATTATGTATTGTCCATTAATATTTGTTTATATTTATGGCTATTTTCACAGAGAAGAATTAAGTAGCTGACAGTGACTGCATGGCACCACAATGTAAACATTTGCTCTCTAGCCCCCTTTATTAAAAAAATGCTGTCTTCTCTATAAAGACTCACTCAATCACATGTTTGGAGGTAGATTTTGGTTATTGACTAACACCTCAGCTTTGGCTGTCATAAAAAATTCTATACCAACCTCACCACGTAGCAGTTTGATTTTCTCATGACATGGTGGCTACGTTCCAAAAGTGAGCAATGCAAGAAACAATAAATGGCAACAGCTAGTTTCTTAAGACATAGGCAATAACATAGTCCAGACTACGTTATTGAAGAGAAGGGGCATACATAGTCTCACCTCTTGAAAGAAGGAGTATCAATAAATTTATGTTATGTTTTAAAACCACCATTCACTCATGACCACATTTCAATAATATATTTCAAAATACTTATGTCATAGAAATTACTTAAATATTCTTCAACTATTTACTGAGCCCTTATAATGTAGAGGTATCTATACGTAAAGTAGATATCATCTTTGCTTGAAGGAGCATATATTTGAGCATGAGAAAAATGTGAGTAATAGCCATGTAAATAAAAAATATAAACATGATAACTTTAGATAATAATAAATATTACAACAAAGAGTAACTGGAAGAGTTGGGAGTTTTACTACTTTTGGTCAGGGAGGCCCTTGCTCCACTGATGACATTATCAGTCCTGGAAAGATATGATTGCCAAGCACAGCAGGCATAAAGATAATAAACTCAAACACCATTAAAACAAAAGTGAGCTTGTGATATTCAAACAGGCGAGGGAAGACAAGTGTGACTAGAGCATAATTGGTAAGGAATCAAAAAGAGACACAGTTAGAGAGGCAGAGGCAAGTCAGGCCATGGGGCTCTTACAAATAATGTGGGATTTTCTTCTAAGCTTAACAGGAAATCATTGCAGTGCTATAAGTGAGTGGCAGGCTCTAACTTTATTTTCAAAACTTACTCTGGCTGCTAGGAAGAAAGGATTATGGCCGAGTAGGGCAGGTGAGGAGGGCAATTAATTGAGACAGTGAATATGATAATCAGGTAAACGCAGACAAACTAATTGAAAAACAATTGCTATACTCAAGGCAAGAGATAATGGTGACTTTAGCTTGCGTGCCAGGAGACAAGATGAAAATAAATGGAATAATAAGAATTTTAACAATAGAGCCAGCAAGATTGACTGTAGGAGGAGCGGAGAATAAAGAAAGGTTGTATGGTGAATTACCCCTGAAACTCAGGTTGACTTAACTCTGACCTAATCTGGGACTGCAGGCTACTCATTTAGTAGTTAGAAGCACTTCACCCAAATGTAACTTCTCACTAAAAGGAACTTCCTTTCTTTAGCAGTCCCAATTCAACAAAGCTGAAGTTGACAGTAGCTAGGCTTTCTTTGAAAACTCCTTGGTCAACTGGCATCTGAAACCAGACTACTTGCCCTCTGAACTCTGACTCTAATTTCTTGCAAATAAACCTGTTCTCATGCTTGCCTCAAGGTAAAATAGAAGGACTCAAGGTCTCTTCCCCAGACCAGTGTCCCAAAGGGTGTGCCAGCAGAGTCATAGCACTGTATGTTTCTTAGTGAGATGATGAGAAAACAGGAAATTTTGTTGGCCTTTGTATTTAAAAGTCACTAACACACTGCATGCTTTAGGTCATACCACATGATACTAACCTCACCACAGAAAATGATGCAAAGGGAGCACTCAAGGTGACTCCTTGGGTTTTGTTTTGGACCAAATGTTGCAATTTACTAAAATGGGGGAAGAAAAAGAACAGGTTTGGTGTGTGTCTACGGAGAGAGGAAGTGCAGTGAAAATTAAGAACTCCATTTTGGCCATGCCAAACCTGAATTAGCGATCATGTATTAAAGTTGCTGATGAAAAATGGAGAACTATATGGAATCACTGAAGCTCTCAAGAAGACTAAAGAAGGACCAAAGATAATTTTAATACCCTTGCAAATATACCACCAGTCATCAAATATTTTCCATTGACTGTAAGGGGAATGAGAGTTGTTGGAACAGACAGGTAAATTCAGGCGGCGGAGCTCACTTCTGAACCTGAGTCTCTAATGGCCTCTGTTCTCTGGGAGCTCCCATCTGATAGAGAGAAAGTCATAATTTCTACCATGAGTTTTGAAAAGTGGGCCTTGGGAAAAAATTAAAAATAAAAAATTTGAGATATTGGGAATATTTTGTAACTCCATTCTTCCCCAGAAGCTGGGTTAAAGCAATAAACAATATCCAGAAAGTTTTTACTAACTTTCCACCCAATTGATGACAAGCTGACTAAAAGTGTGGGACTCACCCTAAGGAAAACATATGCAGAATACTCCTCAAAAGCAGATGCCACTTTCTGTCACCTCAATTTTTTTTTCTTTTTTTTGAGATAGGGTCTTGCTCTGTTGCCCAGGCTTGAGTGCAGTGGCGTGATCTCAGCTCAATGTAACATCTGCCTTCTGGGTTCAAGCAATTTTTGTGCCTCAGCCTCCTGAGTAGCTGGGACTACAGGTGTGCACCACCACACTTGGCCAATTTTTGTATTTTCAGTAGAGGTGGAGTTTTGCCATGTTGGCCAGGCTGGTCTCCAACTCCTGGCCTCAAGTGATCTGCCCGCCTTGGCCTCCCAAAGTGCTGGATTACAGGCATGAGCCACCACGACTGGCCTCACCTTAACTTTTTTTCAAGCTTGGGTGGGAAGGCAGAATGAGAAAAAAACACAGAGAGCTACTTATCTCCCTCAGTAATTTCTAGTGTAACAAAAGGCAAGACCAACAAGGGATGAAAATCTTGGGGGCACTAAAAGGTAAGCAGGGGAGATAAGAAAAGATCCTTTGCAGCCCTTGTTGTGGTTCCTCTATCTACTAGGTATTGATAATACTTGGAAAAATCCTTGGGTTCCCCTGCGTTTACCCCTCTTTATTCGGGAAGAAAGTAGGAACAGATATTGCAGAATGGCAAGTGGAGATGGGCATGTAAGTTCAAGTCTAACAGTCTCTGAAATCCTCTGTTAAGAGTGTCCTTTCACCTGAATTAGTAGAACCATACAGAGTCTAGAGATAATCCTCATGGAATAAGACACACCCAGCTATGGCATAAAATCCACATAAAATATTATATATCAAATGATTATATATCTGAGTTAAATAATAATTCATTAAATAATGAATTATCTAATCTTCATTCAAATACATGAATGCATGGCCAAGTGCTTGGGACATTCCCAGGCACACAGTAAATATGCAATAACTATTGGTCAACAATATTATTTCTATTTTAGAACTGCTGATATTCTCTGTAATTGGCTTATATTATACATTCTGCTAAGGTTACTTTTTGACAATGAAGTAGGTTTTTACAAAGTAAAATCTCATGCTCTGGCTTGTGAGGATTTAGCCTCTCCCTTCCACTAGGAAGTCATTTTAGATCTGGTAAACAAACCCTCACATTTGAAAAGAAATGCTTGAAGACAAGAATTTGCACAATAAAAGACAGTTTATACATGTTTGAATTCAGCTTTTCCTCATCTCACTAAAAGTGGACACAACAAGTGCTGAAATAATACATTTGGATGCTTTACCCTGAATGCACTGTGTCAACATTTCAAGCATTTTCAAAAATACTCTTTTTCTGCTTCAAGATATAGCTCCAAATTTTGATGATGAACAGAGATGCCAGTTTGCTTGCTTGGATTTTAGACTTTGCATTTGCTGAAACATAGCTAAATGAGTTTAGGAAGACACAATACAAATAGCCCTGCACAAAAGATTTCAAATCAAATGATGCTGGTTCTATTTCCATCTATCTACATGTGCCATTTTACCTGTCTGCCAACTTCACTCTTCCTTTTCTAAAAAGGAAGTCCAGCTGCCATAATTCATTGTTCCTCAGGCCTCACCCCAGGAATTTCTCTGCTCTGGCCAAAACTGATAATGACTTTAGGGCCCTCTACAAGTAACCTGTAAGTGAGCCAAATATTAACCCTAGAGATATCATCTTCAATATCCCAGGTGCCAATAAGGCTTGCTTTGCATGTAAGTGACACAGATGTTGGCCCATATTATATGATTTCAAAGGAACTAAAAATGGCCTTTTGGGAACTCCTCAAATCTTTTCTATGTATTTTTTTACAGGTTCAAAACTTCATTGTTTTAAAATTGCACATGTCTTTTAAAATGTAATATTGTGTTATATAAATAACCCTTAAATAATTTCTTCTTCATGTTTTATGATCACTGATTTTTTTTAATAAAAACAAACAGAAACTTAGAGTTCACTACTAAAGAATTACGATGGGAAGGCTGGGCATGGTGGCTCACACCTGTAATCCCAGGACTCTAGGAGGCTGAGGGGGACAGATCACTTGAGGCCAGGAGTTTCAGACCAGTATGGCCAACATGGTGAAAACGCATCTCTGGAAAAAATACAAAAGTTAGCCAGGCGTGGTGGCAGGTGCCTGTAATCTCAGCTCCTTGGGAGGCTGAGGGACGAGAACCCCTTGAACCCAGAAGGCGGAGGTTGCGGTAAGCCGAGATCATGCCACTGCACTCCAGCCTGGGTGAGAGAGCAGGATCCCATCTCAAAAAAAAAAAAAAAAAGACGGAGAAAAGAATTATAATGGGAAATATGCATGCACTCAAATTTACATTTTGATCTTTAGATAGAATATATTTTACCCATCATACAGCATCGCATATACTATATGTGTATTTAAGTGTGTGTAAATATGTACAGTACACACCAATACACACCATAAAACAGAGTCTTTCTCTAATAATGTGTATTCTGGAGAACAGGGGAATCACAAGGGTCCCATATCTCTGGGCTGGGGAAAATGTGGAGAGGACAACAGATCCCACACTGGCAGCTAAGAAAAAAAAGGGGGAGAACAAAGAGGGGAGGTAGGATCATGGAAGACAGATTTGGTCTTTTTCTATTCTTGGACTAAAGACAAGGATATTTTAAAATAAAAATTGTGTTAAGTATCAGGCATTTCATATGATACATGCTATCTTATATAATTTCCCAACAATTTTAGGAAATATGTATGCTGGGTTTATTTGAAATGAGACTCAAAGGGATTATTTTTTACTATTAGTAATTATATTTTCTACCATTTATTGGGTGCCTTAATTGTACCAATTCTCATTATAATTCTTAGAAAAGCTCTATGAAGTGTGAATTAGCAATCTCATTTTTCTTATAAGAATACCAAGGCCTAAAATATAAATAATCTGCACAAGACAAAACTACTAAGTAGCAGATTTGGGTTTATGTCCATTGAGTGAACACATTAATTGACTGGGTTTTCCATTGTGAGGGAAACTCATTCATACTCATCATATTTCCACAGAGATGAATGAGTTTCCTTTCCAGTGCCCAAGAAGGAAACGTATAGGCAAGCATTGCTAAGCTTTTTCCACCTCCTCACTCACTCCCTTCGGGAATGAAGGACCGGCTTGTCTGTTTGGTGATCTAAGCTGAGGGGGTACAGCATGCTTAGTTTGACTTCTGTCTGTAATTTCAGAGTCTGCCTGACCATTGTTCACGTGCTTTCTCTTCTCTCCTGGCTTGAAGCTTATAGTGACAGAATCATTGGGGCCTGATGAATGAGATAAAATGTGGAACAAGGTTATGTAGGGTTTTATAAAATAGGACAGAGAAGTGAACAGCCCTTCTGGCACTCATGAATGGTATAATGCCTGAGCAATGTGGGTCTTCGACACTGATATTGTTCCATAATTATGAAAGAGGCTAGAAGAAAAATGTATACATTCTAAATATGCAAAGAAGAAAAAATGGGAAGGTTGTTATTTTATCTGCAGAAGAGAAATAAAAATAGAAGAGAAACAATTGCCCTTAATCAATGAAATAAACTCAGCATCAATTACAGAGGTGAGCATATAGCTAATATGCAATTTTTGTTTATTTAATTGGTTTGGATGTAGGTATCTAGCCACAGGTAGTAAATCACACAATAGGAATAACAACATCTAGAAGTAGGGAGGTGTTAATAGTGTTTTAATATTGTTTATCTGCAAAAAAGAAAGAGATGACATCTTAAAGAAATTTCATGTATTTTTTCTATCTACAGATATTTGCAATCTTTGGATCTGATCTGATATAAAGTGTAATGTCAACACTGATTGACAAGTACTGTAGAACAATCTTCTCCTAAATAATACACAATTGACAAATCCTGTAGAACAACCTTCTCTGTAGCAGCTAGACTCATAGCAACTTGGAAAATTGGAATTTTCAAACACTGGATCAACTGAGGCAATAGCTAAGTAGGAGGTATTAGTGTGTGTGTGTCTGCTTCAGGTAGAGATAAACTAGCTTTACACAACCACCTTTACCACTAACAAAGACAGACCTGTTTTCATTGGGCCCCCTTTCTTAAAAAGAGGCCCTGCCACAAGGAACCGCTATCCAGTAAATTTCCATGAATGGATCTCATGCATTTTCTAGCATATATGTCTTGTCTTTAGCCAACTTCTGCTATTTTTTTCCTCAAATACTTTATTGCCTTGACTCCTGTATAGGTTTCAGCTACTTCCAAAGTGAGATACCAAATAACCAATGCAAAGGAGTGGACCAAAAAGAAAAATCAATTTTACACACATTGCTTTGGTTCCAATATATGTGTTCCTCCAAAATTCATGTGTCGGAACTCAAACCCAAAGTTTAAGTTAAGATGGTATTAAGAGGTGAGGTCTTTGACAGACAATTGGGATTCATCATGAATGGGATTAATGTCCTTATAAAAGTGGCTTCAGAGAGCTGCCTCATCTTTTTCATCCCTTCCATTTCCTCTGCCATGTGAAGACACAGCTTCAGTCTCTTTTTGTTTCCTTCTGCCATATGAGGATGCAGAAAGAGAGTGCCATTTTGGAAGCAGAAAGTAACCTTCAACAAAAACTGATTCTGCTGACACCTTAATCTTGAACTACAGAGCCTCCAGAACTATAATAAATAGATTTCTCTTCTATATAAATTAACCAGCTTGAGGAATTTTCTTATAGCGTAAAGAACAGGCTAAGACACACATTTTATCTGACCACTCACCTCCCACCAATAAAAGAGGTTTGTGAGGCTGGGAGATGAGTTGGAGATCCAAGGCAGACTTCCTTTGGAATGTGTGGGAGCAGAGTCATTTTCATTGTCCACTGTGAGGGAGAGTGATGTTCCATCCTATTTTTTGCCCAATGAAAAGAAAGTCAAGGATATCATTCTGAGAACCTGATGCCATTCTTTAAGTGATATGATATTAGAACTGGCTACTCCAACTTGAGAAATGAAGAGTAGAAGCTTTGCTGAAATGCATCAGAGTAGAGAGTTGAAATTTGAGAATATATTGCATTCCCACCAACAGGACAAATTTACACATATTCTGAGGAAGAGATGAAGAGAGAAAGATAAAACAAATGAACCCACGCTGAGCTTTGATAAAGGGGACTTTACCTAAGATGGTAATGGCACTTCTTCTGAGAAAGTCTGAGTGATGGTGGGCTGCCAAGAAACCACGAGCAGAGAGAGAAGGCAGAATTTGTTCTTTTTTTTTTTTTTTTTTTGGAGATGGAGTTTCACTCTCATCACCCAGGCTGGAGTGCAATGGTGCGATCTTGGCTCACTGCAACCTCCACCTCCCAGGTTCAAGCAATTCTCCTGCCTCAGCCTCCCGAGTAGCTGGGATTACAGGTGCCCACCATCATGCTTGGCTAATTTTCATATTTTTAGTAGAGACAGGGTTTCACCATGTTGGCCAGGATGGTCTCGAACTCATGACCTTAGGTGATTCACCTGCCTCGGCCTTCCAAAGTGTTGGTATTACAGGCATAAGCCACTGCACCTGGCCTAATTTCTTCTTTAAAAATGGCAAGTGAGAAAACCCCACTGACTAGTGTCTCTGAAACCTCCACAGAAGTGCTCATGAGTGAAAGAGTCAGCATTAAAACATCCACTGTGGTTACAAAGGAAAACCTATGGCATTCATGCTGAAACTTTTTAGATCTTAACCTTTACCTCCTTCCTTGTGTTCCCTCCTTTAGGCTCCAGAAATCCAGGTTTGCAAGACAAAAATCGGTAGGAAATGGTAGGAAAGCAAGCATATCCTTTTCCCACCACAGAATTCCTGCTGCTGGTTGCTGGACCAAGTTGGTGGAGGGGTAGAATTTTGATTGAAGTTCAGCATATGGATTACATTGTGCTGGAAATAATAATTATTGAACCAGGGCTAAAATGACTTGAAGACAAGTTAATATTTAAAAGTGACCTCTGGGCCTGTCCTAGATATAATCCAAGGGATTAAACAAGCCCCCAAATAGGGATATTAAGTAGTTGTTGAAAAGAGTAAGCTTGCTCTCTTTTCCATGCTAAGAGTTCAATTTTTCAACATAAAAGTCATAACTAGTTCTGTCTTAGGCTTTGATGCCAATTATTCATTGCCATTCTTTGCCTCATTGCTACTGGCTAATATGGACACTCTTAAGGGTGGACTACACATGAGAGCTCTCTAAGGGAAAAGGGTTTACATGGCTCAGTTTCCAGAGAGAAGAGACGGCATAGGCAGTGGCCCTGTGCATCAACTTGTTGGGGCTGAGTAATATTATACGAAAAAAGAGATGTCCTCTTCCACATAAGCTAAGAGAGACAGAGGGAGAGGAGATGAAAATATTCATTCTAGGGATATCACAGAGAGAATCCACATTCTAACAGAAGTCTAGTTTAAATATCTCATCACATCATACTATTTGAATGAATGAGGACATGACCAAACCACTGTTACCTATTACAGACAGTTACCTGGCTAGAAATGACAAATGGACAGTTTAATGTCAGACAATATTTGCAATAGATCATAGTAGAGTATATGTAATAAACAGGTAGTTTGACATAAAACCCAGTTCCTATGCATCCCTGGGCAGTGCTTCTTGAAGAACAGAAACAGCCCAGGGAATTATTTCTCTTCTCTCAAGTGGTAAAATTAAGAAAGTTTTAGCTCTGGGAAAATATTTCTGACAACTAAACTTATGAGTATGAGTCCATTATGTCTGCTGCAAACCAGATAGGCCAATCTTCAGAAGTCAGCGGGCTTCTGGTCATATATATATATATATTTTTAATTCAACCTGCCAACCATGGACTAGCCTGCTGAGGCTGAAGTCCCATATCCAGTCTTCCTTTTCTGCTCAACTTCTTGTTGATCTTTATTTCTGCCTGGCCCACCAATGTCATCCAGCCTGTATTTCTCAAACTTCTCCTGACCAACCTGCTACTGGCTAATTACAGAAGCCACTCACATGGCAGCATGGTTGGACACACTTAGGCTCTGGCCACAAGAGCCTAAGTGTTCTGTTCTAGCCATGCCTGTGAATAGAAGAACTGCATGCCTATGGCCAGAGGTTCTCTCAAATTTGTACCTGTCTACTCTAAAGACAGAATTGGAAAAGTTCAATCCTATGTGATTTCTAGAGGGGAAAAACCTAATCACATTTTTCCTGAACCAGTGCAGAAATCAGATTCATTGCCAGTAGGCCTAACATTTGCTATCATAAAGTTTTTTGTAGTTGTTGCTCCACATACATCTTAAACGAAAACCTTGATTTTTCTTTGCAGACTCAGATTAATTGATTATGTGGCCTCATCTACTACTGGTGATGCTTTTATATACAATGGCTGATGTGGAACTAATCACTTTCCCTTATAGGTGCTAGTTGAGTGAGGTGGTAAGTTATCCTTTTTAGACCTCTGCATTTCCATTGGCTGAGATGTGATATGTTATGCACTTTACCTAATCATAAACAGCTGTAGAGGCAGTTTGTGGTTTGTATTGATGCTTTCAAATAGCATTGCCTCTTTTCAAGACTTATTCTGAGGGATCAAAAGTTATTTTAATCAGATGAAGATTCATTTTTTCCCTCACTGGCACAAAACACAATTGACATATCTTTAAAATACAAATTGACGATTTTCTTTCATTTCCTCCTGCTCTTGTAAATATGGATACAACCAGATTATCACCATGACAAAATTGAAATTACATTAATCTCCTCACCTAGCAAGGCATTTTCCCTTTACTGGGGAAATCTGACTTGTATCACTCACTTCGCTGTTACCTGCTTCTAACATATAAAGCTTTTACATGAGTAAATTCTTGCCCTCAATGATTTTTTAAGTAAATGTAAATATACACTCTGAATAAAATGCAGTTAGACACAAACATATTTATAAAATTACATTTTGATTTTATAAGAATCATTCCATCTACAAATCTCAAGATACTGTAGGCAATAAATTCTAAATGAATTAAATTGCTGCCAGATGTGTATTTGGATTCTTTGGGCTTTTGTTTTTTTTAACGCAAATCTTCATTAGATTAAGGAATTAAGTAATTTTCCAATAATTTAGGTGACACTTGGTGAATATTTCTGTGGCTCATAGGAAACTTGAAAACAGTACATGTGTTAGATCACAGCAATGATGGTCAGTGGCAAAACAAAATTGACGAGACAGTAGCTTTTCCATCAGTGAGCCATGAGACAGGATGCATGCCGCCTCAGCTGCAGTGCTGGCTGTCTTACGAATACGATGTGTGATCACATAGAGGGTGTGACATAAAAGCCATGAGGAGGTGGCCCTAACCTAAAATGGACGTTTTACCCATCAATCACACTCTGAAGAGTTCATTCTTTTAGATTAATTCATTTAAGTAAATCCCTATTTTTTTTTTTAAAATATCCTCTTTTAAAAATGCAAATTTTTCTGAAAGAGAAAATCTTATATCATTTACACTTTGGGAAAAATCAATTTAACACTCCTCACCATAACATGAGAAACAGGAGGCAGTGTAAGGTCACTAGCTGTCACAGGCGCATAAGTAGATTAAACAATGAAAGGAGGTACAAAGCTGAAGATAAACTTCACTAGCTTCACAATTTTTTTCAAGATGCTCCTATTCGGTGGAATATGTCTCTGAGGAAAGATCACAAACTGTAACCTGTCTCAGCCTATTTTTCTTTCTTACAATCATGTTCTGTCTTAATTTCCAGGCAAGTTTATCCATGATTCTTAAATCCCCGTTGAGTTTTAAATGTAGCCCAGGATTTGGGTCAGAATAAATGGATTTGAATACCAGCTTCGTCACTTAAAGACTGTACGATTTTGAACAAGCTACTCAGCGTTCCTGAACTCCAGTTTCCTCAGGGCTAATACATCTAACCCTCTGGATTGTTGTGAGGATTTGATAGAATGATGCCCATCAAGGGCTTAGCAGAGTACCTGGCTCATAGCAACTGTAATAATTACTGGATTTATCAGGGTCATGGACAGAGTGGAGAGCAGCTCAGTGGTAGAAGTCAGGACAGTCACCTATGAAACAAGGGAAGAGAAAGCAGTAGAAAAGACCCTTGAAAGACAAGCATGACATAAATCAGGCTTGTGTTTATCTTGCCTTAGGTTTTCAGGACTGAAAACAATCTCCCTGTCTTCCCATATCCAAAAACATCCCTGGAAGCTAATAACAATAGACAGTATTAAAGACGCTGCCCCTGACATGGCATGCAAGCTAATGAACCAACTAGAAGTGATTCTGTTACTGAGATATCTGTAGATACTGAGATAAGGCATTTTTCTCCCACTGTCTTCTCTTCACCATGCAGACAATTATTCCAGAACAATAGATGCTCATCTCCTGTTCTTCACATCACCACCACAAATACCATTCTAAATATCATTTTAAATTACTTTTTAATGTAATTTTTAAAAAACCATAAGGACTAAAATAATTAGAAGACAAATAAGAATACCATATCAAAATAAAGGCCTTACTAATTGAATCAATAAGAAAATTAATTTACTCAAATTATAGGAATCCAGACAACGGATTCATGAATAATTTATATTTGCATGGATTTGAAATCTATAGACCAATTGGTCTTAAATAAACATAATTATTTTTATCAGACTAAAAATCCTAGTTAAGCTGCAGCATGATGGCTTTGAATCATATTATTCTTTTATATCTGTTTTGTTTATGTGAATACAAACAAAAAGTATTTAATAATTTTCACCAAGAGATGCATTTAATAAGGGAGACCATCTGGAAATCAATGTCCTATGAATAATTTTGAAATAGAAATTATATAAGCAGGAAACTATGACAAAGGCATGAAAATGATGATATCTGGTTTTGGAGACAATGATATGTAATACCGAAGAATAGCTCTCTGTCCGAAGGTGAAGAGCAGTTAAAGGCTCAGGAAGTATCTATTTCCCAGGAATATTGATATCATGATCACGTATAAATTGACATTAATTGAGGTTATTGTTACGTTTTTGTCTTGGATTTGTAACATAAATGCAACTCATTTTATTGTCTTTCACATTATTGTATTTCACAGCTATTTCATTTTTTACAAAATGAAGGTTTGTGGCAACCTTGCATCTAGCCATAACAACATGTGCTCATTTCCTATCTAATTTTGGTAATTTTTGCAATATTTCAAACTTTGCATTATTATATCTGTTGTGGTGATATGTGATCAGTGATCTTTGCTTGATGTTATTATTGCAATTGTTTTGGGGTGCCACAACAACATTTATATAAGATAGAAAACTCAGTTTATAAATGTTGTATGTATTCTGACTGCTTCACTAACCAACTGTTCCACTCTCTGTCCCTCTCCTTGAGCCTCCTTATTTCCTCACACAGAACAATGTTGAAATGAGGCCAACTATAAGCATATAATGGCCTCTAAATGTTCAAGTGAAAAGAAGAGTCATAAATCACTCACTTTAGATAAACTAGAAATGATTAAGCTTAGTGAGGAAGGCATGTCAAAAGCCAAGACAGGTGGAAAGCTAGGTCTCTTGGGTCAAACATTTAGCCAAATTGTGAATGCAAAGTAAAAGTTCTTGAAGGAAATTAAAAGTGCTACACCAGTGAACACACAGATGATAAGAAAGCAAAACAGCCTCATTGCTGATATGGAGAAAATGTTAGTGGTCTGGATAGGAGATCAAACCAGCCACAACATCTTTTAAACCAAAACCTAATCCAAAGAAAAGACCTAAGTGTCCTCAATTTTGTGAAGGCTGAGAGAGGTGAAAAAGCTGCAGAGGAAAAGTCTGAAGCCAGCAAGGTTGGTTCATGAGTTTTAAAGAAAGAAGCCATCTCCATAACATAATAATGCAAAATGAGGCAGCAGATGCTGATTTAGAAGCTGCAGCAAGTTATCGAGATTTAGCTAAGCGGCTACACTAAACAACAGATTTTCCATGTGGATGAAACAGCCTTCCACTGGATGAAGATGCTATGCAGGACTTCCATAGCTAGAGAGAAGTCAATGCCTGGCTTCAAAGCTTCAAAGACTGGCTGACTCTCTTATTAGGGGCTAAGGCAGCTCGTGGCTTTAAGTTGAAGCTGGCACTCATTTACCATTCAAAAAATCCTAAAGCATTTAAGAATTATGCTAAGCCTATTCTTCCTGTGCTCTGTAAGTTAAAGAACAAAGCCTAGATGACAGCACATGTGTTTACAGCATGGTTTACTGAATATTTTAAGCTAAGGATTTGAGACCTACTGCTCAGGAAAAAAGATTCCTTTTGAAATATTATATTGACAATGTACCTAGTCACCCAAGAGCCCTGTAGACATGTACAAGAAGGCTAATGCCAAATTCATTGACAATGCACCTAGTCACCCAAGAGCCCTATAGAGATATACAAGAAGGCTAATGTTTTCATGCCTGCTAATACAACATCCAGTCTGCAGGCAGTGGCTCAAAGGGTAATTTTGATTTTCAAGTCTTATTATTTAAGAAATATAGTTTGTAAGGCTATAGCTACCAAAGATAGTGATTTCCCTGTTGAAATTAGTACATTGAAAACCTACCGGAAAGGATTTATCATTCTAGATGCCATTAAGATTTTATGGTTTGGATGTTTGTCCCTTGCAAATCTCATGTTGAAATATGATTCCCAATGTTAAAGGAGGGAACTGGTGGAAGGTGGTCAGATCATGGGGGCAGATCTCTCATGAGTGGTTTAGTACCATCCCTTTGGTAATAAGTGAGTTCACATTCAGTTAGGTCAAATGAAATCTGGTTGTTTAAAAGTGTCTAGGACCTCCCCCTTCTTTCTCTCTTGCTCTGGCTCTCACCATGTAACATGCTTGCTTCCACTTCATCTTCTGCCATGATTGTAAGCTTCCTGAGGCCCTCACCAGAAGCTGAGCAGATGTTGGTGTCATGCTTGTATCGCCTGCAGAAGTATGAGCCAATTAAACCTCTTTTTAAATAAATTACCTAGTCTCAGGTATTATTTTATCGTAATGCAAAAGCAGACTAACACAGAAAATCATTAATAATTCATGAGAGAAGGTAAAAATATCAACGTTAACAGGAGTTTGGATAAAGTTGGTTCCAACACTCATGGATGACTTTGAGGGGCTCAAGACTTCAGAGAATTATGTAACTGCAGACATGGTGAAAATAGCAAAAGAACTAGAATTGGAAGTGGGGCTTGAAGATGTGACTGAATTGCTGTCTCATGATAAAATGTGAACAGCTGAGGAGTTGCTTCTCGTGGGTGAGCAAAGATAATAATTTTTTGCAATTGATTCTATTGTTGGTGAAGATGCTGTGAACATTCTTGAAATCACAACAAAGACATTAGAATATTACATAAACTTACTTGATAAAGCAGAAGCAGTTCTTCTATATGAATAATGACTACAAAAAGAAGTATTTGTGAAGTCTATTAACATCTGTTTATATCACAAGTTTCATCTTGAGAACTCTTAGTTATTCCACAAATATTTTTTGAATGTCTACCACATACTATGACTAGCACAGTCAAGAAAGAAACAACAAATAAGTAAACAAATAATTTTAAATTATAAGTGCTATGAAGGATATTATCATTCAAAGAGAGACTAAGAGAGGCTGTACAGGAGAGAATAACCTTTCAGTTTACTCGCCATCCTATACTAAACGTGTTCTACTTATAAACTGGAGGATTAGGAAAAATGGTAAGTGAAGCTATAATCGATTCAGTGATTTGTCGAAAGTTATACCATTTTGGCCATTCATCCTAATTTCTGGCATCATTTTTAGAGCCAATTTAATTTCAGTTAGACCATGTTTGAACCTGTATAATTTCAGAAAATTTGTAAATGCTTTAAAAATATAGTTTTGTTGTATGTCCCTCAATAAGGTATCTTAACAGTACCATATTAAGATACTCTTCCCTTCATACAAGTTGATAGCTTTATTTTAAAAGTTTTGTTTTGATAAGATGTATTAAAATCATATGCATACACTCATATATGCATATATAATTTAAACATAAATATATATTAAAATTTAATAGTGAATTTAAAACAACATTATGTAACAACAACATTTCTTGGACTGCTGTTTAGCATCCTTTGTTCATCCTTGTGAAAAACTTCTTTCAAGGGTGTGTGATAATTCATTTTCAAGTAACCTGCTCTCAATGCATGTGAGTTCCTGAGAAAATTCTTTAGAGAACCAGATTCACAATGTATTTTTACACATTTGCTGAAATAAATTATAAGAGATAAATCACAGCAAAGACAGTACAATGTGAAATAAATAATATTCTATGTGTGATTGATTTACTTTTTATCTCTAGAGGCATTATTTTTTCTTTATCTGCTGTGAAGCTTTAGTCAAATGGCCAGTAATATAAAATGTTTATGGTTTTTTGGATTGGAATTACAGTTTCCTGACCTATCTGATTCAGGCTAGATCCTTGTCACAGTTTTTCATTTTAATGAATAGAGAAAACTTGTGAGAATGCTTAGATGCTGCTTTCTTTTTTACACTGGAACCTCAGAGAGTTTGAAAAAAAATTTCTTTTCCAAACACAAATACAATTCACACAGATTGTATTTATTTCCATAAAAGATAGAATATATTTCAAAGTAGCACTCTGATTTTCAATGGAATAAAATAATGACTTATTTTCAGGATATGTCCAATTTTAATATCATAAACTTTAACTTCTTACCCAGACTTCCAAAATAATATGTAGAGAATTGAATATGCAAACAACTTCACATGCTCTTTTCTTTTTCCTACAAGAATCTCTTCCCTGTTTAAAAATTCTGTGCAGTCATGCACTGCATAACATCGTTTCAGTCCACAACAGACTGCATATACAGTGGTGGCCTCATCAGAAGATAATGTGACTGAAAAATTCTTATCACCTACTGACGCTGTAGCCATCATAACATCATAGTGTATATTTCTGAAAAGAGTGACATCTCCTCAACAAGATCCTCAGGCAAGTCCATCAGGAGGCATTCCAGAAGAAGGCATCACTATCATAGAATATGACAGCTCCATGCATGTTCTTGCCCCTGAAGCCTTTCCAGTGGGACAAGTTGTAGTGGTGAAAGATAGCGATATTGATGATCCTGACCCTGTATAGGCCCTGTATTGGCCCTAGGCTTATGTGTGTGTTTGTGTCTTAGTTTTTTTAACAAAAAGATTTAAAAAATTAACAAAAATAAAACATTTTTAAAATAGAAGAAAGCTTATAAAAGTGGATATTTAAAAACTTATTTTTTAAAATTATACTTTAAGTTCTGAGGTACGTGTGCAGAACATACAGGTTTGTTACATAGGTACACATGTGCCATGGTGGTTTGTTGCACCCATCAACCTGTCATCTACATTAGGTGTTTCTCCTAATACCATTCCTCTCATAGCCCACCATCCCCTGACAGGCCCCAGTGTGTGATGTTCCTCTCCCTGTGTCCATGTGTTCTCATTGTTCAGCTCCCACTTATGAGTGAGAACATTCAGTGTTTGGTTTTCCGTTCCTGTGTTAGTTTGCTGAGAATGATAGTTTCCAGCTTCATCCATGTCCCTGCAAAGGACATGAACTCATCCTCTTTTATGGCTGCATAGTATTTCGTGTTGTATATGTGCCACATTTTCTTTATCCAGTCTATCATTGATGAGTATTTCGGTTGGTTCCAAGTCTTTGTTATTGTGAATAGTGCTGCAATAAACATACGTGTGCATGTGTTTTTATACTAGAATGATTTATAATCCTTTGTGTACATGCAGAGTAATGGGATTGCTAGGTCAAATGGTATTTCTGGTTCTAGATCCTTTAGGAATTACCACACTGTCTTCCACAATGGTTGAACTAATTTACACTCCCACGAACAGTGTAAAAGTATTCCTATTTCTTCACATCCTCTCCAGCATCTGTTGTTTCCTGACTTTTTAATGATCGCCATTCTAACTGGTGTGAGAATGGTGTCTCATTGTGGTTTTGATTTGCATTTCTCTAATGACCAGTGATGATGAGCTTTTTTTCATATGTTTGTTGGCCACATAAATGTCTTCTTTTGAGAAGTGTCTGTTCATATCCTTTACCCACTTTTTGATGGGATTTTTTTTTTCTTGTAAAATTGTTAAGTTCCTTGTAGATTCCGGATATTAGCCCTTTGTCAGATGGACAGATTGCAAAAATTTTCTCCCATTTTGTAGGTTGCCTGTTCACTCTGATGATAGTTTCTTTTGCTGTGCAGAAGCTCTTTAGTTTAATTAGATCCCATTTGTCAATTTTGGCTTTTGTTGCCATTGCCTTTGGTGTTTTAATCATGAAGTCTTTGCCCATGCCTATGTCCTGAATGGTATTGCCTAGGCTTTCTTCTTGGATTTTTATGGTTTTAGGCCTTACATTTAAGTCTTTAATACATCTTGAGTTAATTTTTATATACGAGTCCAATTTCAGTTTTCTGCATACGGCTAGCCAGTTTTCCCAACACCATTGTATTAAATAGGGAATCCTTTCCCCATTGCTTGTTTTTGTCAGGTTTGTCAAAGATCAGATGGTGATATGTGTTGTTATTTCTGAGGTCTCTGTTCTGTTCCATTGGTCTATATATCTGTTTTGGTACCAGTACCATGCTGTTTTGGTTACTGCAGCCTTGTAGCCTAGTTTGAAGTCAGGAAGCATGATGTCTCCAGCTTTGTTCTTTGGGTTAGGATTGTCTTGGCTATATTGGGCTCTTTTTTGGTTCCATATGAAATTTAAAGTTTTTTTTTTTCTAATTCTGTGAAGAAAGTCAATGGTAGCTTGATGGGGATAGCATTGAATCTATAAATTATTTTGGGCAGTATGGCCATTTTCACAATATTGATTCCTCTTATCCACAAGCATGGAATGTTTTTCCATTTGTTTGCGTCCTCTCATCTTTCCTGGAGAAGTGGTTTGTAGTTCTCCTTGAAGAGGTCCTTCACATCCCTTGTAAGTTGTATTCCTAGGTATTTTATTCTCTTTGTAGCACTTGTGAATGGGAGTTCATTTATGATTTGGCTCTCTGTTTGTCTACTATTGGTGTATAGCAATGCTTGTGACTTTTAACATTGATTTTGTATCCTGAGACTTTGCTGAAGTTGCTTATCAGCTTAAGGAGATTTTGGGCTGAGATGATGGTGTTTTCTAAACATACAATCATGTCATCTGCAAAGAGGGACAATTTGACTTCCTCTCGTCTGATTTGAATACCCTTTATTTCTTTCTCTTGCCTGATTGCCCTGGCCAGAACTTCCAACACTATGTTGAATAGGAGTGGTGAGAGAGGGCATCCTTGTCTTGTGCCAGTTTTCAAAGGGAATGCTTCCAGTTTTTGCCCATTCAGTATAATATTGGCTGTGGGTTTATCCTAAATAGCTCTTATTATTTGGAGACACATTCCATCAATACCTAGTTTGAGAGTTTTTAGCAGGAAAGGGTGTTGAATTTTATCAAAAGCAGTGGATGTAATCTTAGTCTCTGATGAAACAGACTTTAAACCAACAAAGATCAAAAAAGACAAAGAAGGGCATTACATAATGGTAAAGGGATAAACACAACAAGAAGAGCTAACTAACCTAAATATATTTGCACCCAATACAGGAGCACCCAGGTTCATAAAGCAAGTTCTTAGAGATCTACAAAGAGACTTAGACTCCCACACAATAATAATGGGAGACTTTAACGCCCCTCCGTCAATATTAGACAGATCAACGAGACAAAAAAATTAACAAGGATATTCAGGACTTGAACTCAGCTCTGGACCAAGCGGACCTAATAGCATTAACACAACTCTCCACCCCAAATCAACAGAATATACATTCTTCTCCGCACCACATCGCACTTATTCTAAAATTGACCACATAATTGAAAGTAAAACACTCCTCAACAAACGCAAAAGAACAGAAATCATAACAAACAGTCTCTCAGACCACACTTTTAAATATGAAAAGTTTATAGGGTAAAAAGTTACGGTAAGCTAAAGTTAATTTATTATTGCAGAATAAAAAATATTTCTGGTAAATTTAATGAAGCCTAAGTGTACAGTGTTTATAAAGTCTACATGAATGTACTGCTTTGTCTTGGACCTTCATATTCACTCAGTACTCATTCACTGACCCACCCAGAGCAACTTCCAGTCCTGCAATCTCCGTTCATGGTAAATTCTCTATACAGGTATGTCACATTTATCTTTTAAATCATATTTTATTGTGCCTTTTCTATGTTTGGATATGTTTAGATACACAAATATCATAGTATTAATATTGCCTAGAGTTTTCAGTACAGTGACATGCTGTACAGGTTTGTAGCCTAGGAGCAATAGGCTATACCATATAGCCTAGGTGTGTAGTAGGCTATACCATCCAGGTCTGTGTAGTTACACTCTATGATGCTCACACAATGACAAAAATCACCTAAAGATGCATTTCTCAGAGTGTATTCCTGTCATTATGTGACATATGACTGTAATCAAAACATTATGTCAGATTTCTTTGCTTTTACTATCTTTGTTGTTTTTATCTTAATGAGTTCTTAAAATAATTAATTGCACTTTGCTATTTTGTTTAATGTTTCAATACCCTCCAGTATGAATTGTATATTTCACAAAATGACAGATAAAAAATTGGATGAAACATTTTACCAAGTCTTAGGCAAAAAAAACAGCTTTAATTCTCAGGACATTTTGCCTTTTCTACCCCCAAATATCACTGTTTTAGATATGTTCTTAATTAGGACAAAAAGAATCATTAATGGTGGAAGATGGAAGGGAGTCATAAATTTCAATTAAATATCATATTTTTACTCTTAGTACCTTAAACTGAATTACTTCATTTAAATTCTTATTAATCAGACTGAAAAATATGTATTATATATGTATAATATATAGAATTTGCATAATACATATTATACTGAGAGCAGAAACGTATCAAAAACTAAGTAGTTACGAACAGTTTGAAATTCCTCAATCAGATAAAACACCTGTAAGCTTTTCCTAAGAGGAAATTGCGAGTCATTATATATAAAGCCCTTCAAAAAGAAGGGAGCACTGTCTTATTATATATAATCTCTATAATTTTAGAACCAAAGCCAAGTTTGAACTGGGGATTATCACACATACTACTTGTTTTGTTTTGTTTTGTTTTCTCCATTCACTGAACTATGATTCTTACTGATGGAGTTCAAAAACATTTCATTAACTGCCCAGTATTTGTGACATATAAATAAAATGCATATTTTGAAATAAAGTATTGGAAGCCTTTTTAACTCTTTCAATATCTACATTAAAAGATAAATGCCAGGTTACAGATGCTTGTCTGGTCTACACTGAACATTATTATCCAGTGTGTTCTTTCCTTACACTCATATATTATTTAGATCTCTCTTTTCAACTTCTGGACATACATTTCTGTTGGGATCTGAATCAGCTGAAGCAGCAATTTTTGCATTTGGTCACCTGTATGGACAAGGGAAATTCTGGATGATGACTGTAGCAGCCTAGATCACTACGAATAAATGCTTACTCCACCCACACACCCTTATCTCTCCATACTATCAGGCTTCTTGACTTCAGGCTGGGTCATATGACTTGTTTTTGCTGACAGGATATTAACAAGATTGAAATGAGCTTGCATGATTCATCTTACTCTCTTACACTTCCATAATTGCTATGGAAAGAATATATTCCTGATAGCTGGCTGGTCCCAGAATATTGAAAGACATTTGGAACAGACCTGAATTCATTCTATAGCCCCAAGCCAAACCCAGTCCAGCTCAGCTTAGTTCTACAAAACCACAGCCAATTTGCAGACAAATGACTGAGAAATAAATGCTTTATTTTTACACCACTGAGTTTTTGTGGTTATTTATTATTCAGGGATAGCTATTTAAAACCAGAACATTTGAGAAAAGGTGACTGAATCATACATTTCGAAGGAGAAGAAAACAGACAAACCTTATTATCACTGATTTTCTAGGATCAGAAATTTTCTTTCAAGTTACTCTTATGAATGTTTTCTTTTTCATTCTTTCTTTTCTCTTTTTCTGTTTTGTTTTTGTTTTTGTTTTTGTTTTTGTTTTTGTTTTTGCGACAGAGTCTCGCTCTGTTACCCAGGCTAGAGTGCAGTGGCGTGATCTCGGCTCACGGCAGCCTCTGCCTCCCGGGTTCAAGCGATTCTCCTGCCTCAGCCTCCCGAGTAGCTGGGACTACAGGGGTGTGCCACCATGCCTGGCTAATTTTTGTATTTTAGGTAGAGATGAGGTTTCACAATGCTGGCCAGGCTGGTTTCGAACTCCTGACCTCGTGATCCACCCGCCTCGTGGGATGGCACGAATTCCATTTTATAGAGGAAGAAACTGTCTTGGAAAAGTTAAATGAATTGCCCTTGTCCACACAGGTAACCCAACACAGAATGGCTGCCTCAACTAATTCAGATCCCAACGGAAAGGTATGTTAAGAAGCTGAAAAGGGAAATCTAAGTAGTATATGAAAAGGAGGAAAGAAAAACACAGTGGATAATATGACAAGCATCTGTAATCTGACACTTATCGTTTAATCAAGGATGACAAGTGAGAATATTTATTTAAATAACTTCAATGTTCATCATGCAAACATTACTCATAATATTCTCTAGATGATATTTGGTTTTAGAGAAATGAGAATCACACAGGGTACGATAAGAAGAATGACATTAATGCGAAGATACATAAGTGGCAGAAAGCAAAAGCACATAAGGCAGTTCTTGTATCCATTGTTCTCACCAACTCTTTCTCTCTAATTGTGTATCTACTTCTGTCCGAAGTTTTGTTGCTTGTTTCAAACTTGCCAGTCCATTTTGGATTCTGTAGTCTAAATTAAGAAGGGATATATTCTATTTGGTTTAGCAAATTGCTGCTGTTTTACAGGTAAGAATTATTGTACTAAGGTGTTTTACAAATGGAATTCCACTGAGCCAAATCAAGTCCAATTAATGGCAATCCTAGTCCACCTGTCTGAACAGGACGCTATGGCCAATGCAACCAGGAAGGCCTACTAGACATCACAGATATTGATCACTGTATTTAGTGTGGCCAGTTTCAGCTGTACTAAAGAACAGATCATCCTGATGAGGAATAGGAGATATTTATTTCCGTGAACCTAAGTGAGTTCAGGTCTAAGTAGAGTCCTCTAGCTTTTGGTACATTCCTTTTTTCTAAATACTGAATATCCTGGAGAAAACTGGAAAATTAATGTCTTACTCCAATTAATCATAAAGAGCATATGCCATGTATAAATCTTAGATCTTATAAATTATGATTTGAATGCAAAACAATTGTTGCTCCCTCAAGATTTTCAACAGCTTCCAAAGATGAACATTTTCTCCAGAATCAGGCTATTATCCACTACTCTACCAAAAAGAGCACACTGATGGGCAGAATCACCAATTTATGAGGGAAAAGACTTTGTATAACAGTGTAATCTGTGATTCTGCCTGTTCCTTTAGGCCTTCTTCTGATGCTGGAAGATTAATTTGCCTTCAGAGCAACTGACAAGCATTCATTTACCGAATAATGATTTTCTAAATTCATAATTTATCTTGTTATATGATGTCACTAATTACGTAAAGCTATAATTTACAAGGTTGAAAATTCTTTTCAGCTAGTCACTGTCATTGGTTTGATGTAGTTGTATGCGAAATGAATACTTCCCTACACAGTACCTCCTCGGGTTTAGAGACTGGACAAAAAAGAAAGCCAGGGTCCCTTATGTCCTTTTCATCATAATATAAACTGCATTATAAAGGACTTATCTATAAATATGAGGCCACAAGGAATATTAAGGAAAATATAAATGTGACCCCTCTAGGTATTTGGAGAGAGTACATAAACGTTTTGAAATATGCTCTAGGAAGGCAAGATATATAAGAACAAAAATAATAAAACAAAGAATGTTGTGAAAAGCCAATTCAGAAAAGAAATTGGAGTGGTATTTTATCTAAAAGAGTTTTAATATGTCCATAGCCCATGGTTCATCATATTCATAGTGTGTCTTTTAAAACCAGAGAGAAAATGCAGTATGCTAAGAAATCTAATAACCAATGTTATAAAAGTAAATCTCAATCCAGAATAAGGATGGCCTTTGCATAGTGAAAACATTCTCAGTTTTAGAAAGTTTTTCTTAAATGTACTAGTTTTCTGAGAATAAAATCAAAAGATGCCACCTCCAAAGAGTATACATTGAGCTTATGTTCCAGTCATCATAGGAAGAAAAAAGTCATACCAGTCTTGATGCTGGCTTTCTGATAAAACAATAAGGCAATACTAAAAGATGTCTGACAGCATCTTAAAGACCAAGTAAAAGAGTATTATTGATAAATTAACACAAGAGTATTATTGATAAATTAACATTTATTTTATTTACATATACCAGTTCCTATTTAAGGGGAAAAAGTCACTATATGTTTTCTCCAAACTGCTGGAAAATATATTATTTTTTAAGCTGTTAAGATTTATGTCTGTGGACATTTCCTGAAATAAACTCCAAATCTATGACATTTATTTATCTAAGTATATAGGCCAGGAAAAAAATGGGAATATTATCAAATTAATTTGATTTGTTAGGACCAGATTCCTTATATTTTTGGTGGCATGATTCTGTGAAATGGCTGGTAATTTTTTAATTAGTCCTCTTTTATGTGACCTTAATATCTTACCAAGTGTATTTGAGCTTTATATTGCTATTTCTTACTGTTTTATAGCCATGGCCACTTTCTTTTTCCTTTTTTTTTTTTTAATTATACTTCAAGTTCTGGGTTACATGTGCAGATTGTGCAGTTTTGTTACATAGGTATACACGTACCACGGTGATTTGCTGCACCCATCAACCCTTCACCTACATTAGGTATTTCTCCTAATGTTACCCCTCCCCTACCTCCCCAGTCCCCACAAGCCCTGGTGTGTGATGTTCCCTTTCCTGTGTCCATGTGTTCTCATTGTTCAACTCCCACTTATGAGTGAGAACATGCCGTGTTTGGTTTTCTGATCTTGTGATAGTTAGCTGAGAATGATGGTTTCCAGCTTCATCCATGTCCCTGCAAAGGACATGAACTCATCTTTTTATGGCTGCATAGTATTCCATGGTGTATAGGTGACACATTTTCTTAAACCAGTCTATCACTGATGGACATTTGGGTTGGTTCCAAGTCTTTGCTATTGTGAGTAGTGCCACAATAAACATACATGTGCATGCGTCTTTATCGTAGAATGATTGATAATCCTTTGGGTATATGCCCAGTAATGAGATTGTTGGGTCAAATGGTATTTCTGGTTCTACATCCTTGAGGAATCGCCACACTGTCTTCCACAATGGTTGAACTAATTTACACTCCCACCAACAGTGTAAAAGCGTTCCTATTTTTTCACAACTTTTCCAACATCTGTTTCCTTACTTTTTAATGATCACTATTCTAACTGGCATGAGATGGTATCTCATTGTGGTTTGGATTTGCATTTATCTAATGACCAGTGATGATGAGCATTTTTTCATATGTCTGTTGGCTGCATAAATGTCTTCTTTTGAGAAGTGTCCATTCATATCCTTTGCCCATTTTTTGATGGAGTTGTTTGCTTTTTTCTTGTAAATTTGTTTAAGTTCTTTGTAGTTCTAGATATTAGCCCTTTGTCAGATGAATAGATTGCAAAAAGTTTGTCCCATTCTGTAGGTTGCCTACTCACTTTAATGATAGTTTCTTTTGCTGCACGGAAGCTCTTTAGCTTAATTAGATCCCATTTGTCAATTTTGACTTTTGTTGCCATTGCTTTTGGTGTTTTAGACATCAAGTCTTTGCTCATGCCTATGTCCTGAATGGTATTGGCCAGCCTTTCTTCTCAGATCTTCATGGTCCTAGGTTTATGTTTATTTAAGTCTTTGATCCATCTTGAGTCGATTTTTGTATAAGGGGTAAGGAAGGGGTCCAGTTTCAGTTTTCTGCATATGGCTAGCCAGTTTTCCCAACACCATTTATTAAATGGGGAATCAATTAATTTGATTCATTAGGACCAGATTCCTTATATTTTTGGTGGCATTATACTGTGAAATGGTTGGTAATTTTTTAATTAGTCCTGTTTTATGGGACCTTAATATCCTGCCAAGTGTACTTGAGCTTTATATTGCTATTTCTTACTCTTTTATAGCCATGGCTACTTTCTTTTTCTTTTCTTTTTTTTTTTTACACTCCAATGCCAATTTATTTTCAAAAAGGGCTCTGTGTTATCCTATAGTTTGCCTTTTTTTGTATAATTGTACAAACTTTGAAAGTTACATAAGTTGTAATGATCTAATATTATTAATAGCTATCCAAAAAACACTTTCCCTCCCACTCAACAACCATCCAGGGGGAAGTAAAAGTCCTGAAAAGAGACCAGTTCAACATGGCCTCTACCCTGGCAGAAACAAAAAGTGAGAAGAGAAGAAAACAGAAATTAACTAAGAGGTGTTGCCAGTGTCTCTCAGGAGTGGGGCCCTGGCTGTCGCCAGGGGTCATGAAAGGCAGAGCCTGCAGCATGTAGTAGGGCAGCCAGGAGACCTTGCAGCCTTATCTTCCTCACCCCCGCACATCCACATCCCAACTTAGGTGTCATGGAAATCCTTCAGCAGGGTTCTCCTCCACTGCTCGGCTACATGCATCTGGTTCTCCAAGTCCCCTCTGTCATAGCTGTCTGCATGTTCCACTTTCCATGAGAGGTTTTCAATTTCAGCCTCCTGCTCAGCCTGCTGGTATTCAAACAGCTCATTCCTGGGTCCAGACTCCATGTAATATGTATATGGGTTGATGTACTGCAGGGTGTATCAACACCTGGCCAAGAGCTTGGCTGCACTCTGTAGGTACTGCCAGTCAATCCATGTCCCCAGATTGTTCATGACCCTCTCCTGAATCTTCTCATGAATCTGCTGGTATGTCTGTGCCTCTAGCTGCAAGCTTTTGTTGTGGTTTTCCCACCTCTCAAAGTAGAATAAGTACTTTTTGAGGGCTTCCCTCGCCTGGGCTTGTTGGCGCTGGTTCACAATGTCAGGATTCTCCTTGTAAGTACTGCACTCATATTATTCACTGCCATGTGCCTTCCAATCTCCTAGATATGTCCAGCAGAAGTCGTGTTTACATTTGGAGCATTGCATGTGATTGCAGCCTCCATTCTTCTCAATGCAGATGTTGTATTCGGGACAGTCTTTAGTGTGAGCACTACTGTAGTCGGCTGTTTCAGAGTTGTCTGCACACTTCTTGAGCCATTTTCGGATGGTGATGCGGTCTGTGGGTGCGTGATATATTTGATGACACTTGAAACAGAAGACCTCGTTGCACCGATTGCACTATACTCGGTGAGCTCTAGGCTCCTGTACCCGAACAACCATGAGGCAGTCTGCACCAGGGCACAGCTGGAGCTAGTAATGACTCTTCACATAGTCCCTGAAGAGGTAGCACCTGTATTTCTCTCTCAATTCTTCATTGGGAAGCAATGGAAACACAAAGTCCTCTGGTGTATGGAGTGGGACAGTCCTGAGCCATGCAAGCGACTCCCACACCCACACCATCCTTAACGAGAACTGAGCAGTGCTGCTCCAAGCAGCTACGGCAAAACTGGTGCTGACAGACCAGGGAGAGTAGGTTTTTCTTTCGCGCAAACTGCATACACACTGCACAGAGGTGAGGGGGATGAGATGCGGGAACATGTTTTGATGGATTAGGCTGAACTCGAGCCTCAACGAGCAGTTGAGCAGAATTGGACTTGTATCTGTCCAATCTCTCTGAAACTTGCCAATGGAAATTAACTAATATAAGTTTAGCAACTGAATGAGATACCTTTAGGACAGAGGCTAAGCTGGTCATGTGCTCGTTCAGGGCACCCTCAGATTTCTTGTAGGTCAAGTAAGTGAACTAGTACTCCTCAGGATCAAAGGCATCAGCCCCCTGCTGCTCCACATTGCTGGCTACTCCCAGGTAATAGTCCTCTATGTCCCCAGGGTCTTCATCCTCTTCTTGTTCCTCTTCCTCACAATTTGAGTCATAGTGCTTTTCATTGCTGTCAGACCCCTGGCTATTCATGTCCACGGACATCTTAGCATCCAGCCAAGTTGCAGAAAAGCAGTTGCTTTTTCCGCCTCCCCACAAAACTACCGCTTTCTCAAGTGCATTAGTATTTTTGTTTTCTGTAATTCTTGGAGATCTCTCAGGCAGATGTCACCCAAATATTCTATGTAATATGATTTCCATCGGGAGCTGTGGCTTCATGGCCGCTGAGCCCGGGTTAGCCAGACCAAGTCAGGCCGGGCCAGAGGGATCTGACTGGGGCCCAGCTGCAGCAGAGGTGGAGGCGACGGGCCGACGCTGGTCCAGCCATGGCCACTTTCAATACGTTTAGAAGATAGTGCACACATATTGAGAACTATGTTACACATAAACGTGTCAAAACATGTGTTTACCTTTTATATTCCCTAATTAGTATTTGGAAGGGAAAATGTTCCCAAACATATATTATACTAATAAATTGCATAAGCTGCACATATCACTAATACTCTGAGATTCTGTTTTCTCCACTAAGAAGTTTTAACTTCACAGTTGAAATTCACTGCTTGAAGCTATGTACAATGTGAAAGCTCCATTTAACTAAGATCATTTATGCATATCACTTCTAGATTCTTGGGCATTTTTAAAGTCAAATTATATAGCACTCGTCAATCAATTAACCACAAACTGTTTCTGGATGCATACATTGTGATAAGTCTATGTAGAAAACAAAACAATACAGGGAAGTGAGTCATGCACTAAATCTGGTGAGGAAAATACGCCTAAATAGATAATTATAGTATAACATAATACATCTTACAGAAAAGGTAGATACCAGGTATTTTAAAGTTCAAAGTTTGAAGCTTTTAACCTGCTGAAGTGGAAGGAGAGATTCTTGGGAAAGCTTTACAGAAAAAGAAGACATTTTAGCTGAGTTAAAAAGAGTAACTGTAGTTTATTTGACAGCAAAGAGGTGAGAAAGAAGAAATTCTGGGCAGAAGGATAGCCTATGGAACAGCAAAAAGGCATAGAGGATAAAGACATAGCTGTGGAGGAGAAAGATGTGAATTTTATTCTAGCGTTGTCTGTTTATTCTTCTTGCCACATTGGGCAGCTTATGTAGCCTCTCAAATGCCCTATTTTTTCTTTTTAAAATGAGGATAATGATTATACCTCCCTCTTAAAGTTGAGCAAAAAATAAATGAGATAAAAATGTAAAATATTTGATACATTCTCTCTTATAATTCTAGTGTGAAAATACTCCTTTCATTTCTCATGGAGGCACTGGACCATGTAATGTAAGTGGAAAAACTACAGGGTAGTTGAGTATAGCATGGGTCGTGTGAGAAATGAGTGCAAGAATGGTAACATTCGTTTGGATGTTTGTGGTAATGGATAGGAATACCTGTGAAAGACTTCAAGCAGGGAAGAGATGTGATCAGATTTTTGTTCTAGCTATCTAACATTGCTGGCAGTGTGAAAAAAGAATAAATGAGGCTGGTAAGTAAGGGCAAGGACACTATTGAAATAATGAGGAAAACTAATAAAGGAGGTACACATCAGAGTAGAGTGCGGTAGAATCTTCGAGGAACTTAACGAATGATTGCCCCGGGAAAGAGAAAAGAGGGGCAGGAAGAAGTCAGAGGGAGTTAGTCTAGAAGAACTTCCAAAAGTCGGGCTCTAAAAACTCGGTGAAATAAGAACAGATAATATTACAAGAAAAAAAATACAGTAAACTGCAGACTGTTTTGTTGTTCTAACTACCAGGGCTATAGGAACGCGAGCTGAAAGTGGTTTGTGAAAACTAGAAGCAGAGGGATGACCTCACAGGAGAAGGTGGTCCTGAGTTGAGCTTTACATATAAATAAGGTGCACACTGGAAATAGACAAACACAGTTATTAGATGAATTTACAATATGAACGCACTAAGCTGGATCGACAAAACTTTGTAGTACCATATGTCATCGGGTGCTTTATGTATTTGTTTATATATTTACTTACGTTGCATCAGATTCCATAGAGCAAGGGTCCCCAGCCCTCAGGCGGGAACGGGTACCATGGCCTGTTAAGAACCTGGCCGCAGAGCCAGAGGTGAGTGGCGGGTGAGCCAGCATTACCACCTGAGCTCCACCTCCTATCAGATCAGTGGTGGCATTAGATTGGCATAGGATCGCAAACCCTATTGTGAACTGCACATGCAAGGGATCTGGGTTGTGTGCTCCTTACTAGAATCTAACTAATTAACGCCTGATGACCTGAAGTGGAACAGTTTCATCCTGAAACCATCCCCCCGCCTCAGTCCATGGAAAAATTGTCTTCCATGAAGCCGGTCCCCGGTGCCAAATGAGTTGGGGACGACTGCCATAGAGAACTGAAGACAGCTAGTGGCTTCTATATACCCGATCAATGTTGGAAAGAGTGAAGGTTAACATAAATTATTTTGAGGAAAGGATGCATTAAAATACAATTTCAAATAATACAACACAGCAGTATAAAATTTACCAAAAGTTGGAAAATTACTTGTTTTCTGCAAGTCATTTCGAGCAAAGACACTTGGCACCCGGGAGGTAACAAAGCAGGCCTTTAAACAGATAGGTCTTAGAATAATAATTTTACTTCGTTAATGAGTTCTATCATATTTAAATTAGAATGGTAGATCTATTATTTCAAACAGAATCATCTATAGACACATGATTTTCTGAAGTGTTTTCTGCAGCATGACAGTGGTCATTGAATCACTTTTTACAAGGAGAGTCCTTTTTACTGTTTTTGCTAGTCTTTCGGGTTAAATCTTATTATATTTTTACTAATAGACATCCTACATGGAATATAATACTTAAATGTTGGCTGGGAGTGGTGGCTCATGCCTGTAATCCCAGCACTTTGGGAGGCCAAGGTGGGTGGATTACCTGAGGTCAGGGGTTCAAGACCAGCCTGACCAACATGATGAAACTCTGTCTCTATTAAAATTACAGAAATTAGCCAGGAATGGTGGAAGATGCCTGTAATCCCAGCTACTTGGGAGGCTGAGGCAGGAGAATAGCTTGAACCTGGGAGGCGGAGGTTGCAGCGAGCAGAGATAGCGACATTAAACTCCAGCCTGAGTGACAGAGCAAGACTCTGTCTCAAAAAAAAAAAAGAAGGTAAATGTTAATTGATGAAGTAAACATGCAAGTCAATCAGCAACAATAAAACCAATATGACTTTAGCCTACATTATGAAAAGTGGAAGAATGAGAAGTTCAAATATAATATGATCTATGGTGAAGCAACTAGAGATACTGCACCCAGGCAGAAAAGATTTATAAGGGGACATGATAGTTGTACTCACATATTTAAAATGACTTCATCAGAAATTGGAATTAAATGCTTTATATGACCCCGAAGAATAAAACAAGTTTGTGCTTGAGAGTTATAGATTGGTTTCAGTAAAATATGTGTAAGAACTTTGAACAAATATGAATGAAATGATTTTCATCATGTGATATTCATGTCTATATTTCTGAAAGCTCGAAAAAAGTTGAATGATCGCTTTTCTGGGTTTTGTAGAGGTAACACACTCCAACTTGTTCCAAGGGGCTCCATCACTCACCAGGAAACACCTGACATATGTTACATCCCTTTGGAGCTTCTTATTCATTGTAAAGCTGAAATAATATTACATATCCTGCAGGGGCATTGTGAAGAATATAAATGTTTGGCAAATCAGAAAATGACTAACACTAAATGGGCATTTAACACAGGCTAGTTGAACGTGAATATGAAAGATTCAACTGGGTTTATGAAAAGCACCACAGTTAAAAAATAGCTCAAAGAATAAAGCCGTCAGGTTTAAAAATACCTATTAAAACACTGGGATATAGAGAAATCCATATATGCCTTATTTTATGAAAATCCTTTATGTCTTTCATGAAGCTTTATAGTTATATATACACCGAAAGACACCAGTCTTTCCTCACCACAATAGAAATCTGGAGCAGAAGGAGTATAATATCAATAAACATTAAGTTCACCTGCATACAGGAACAACAATAAAATAAATTAGTTAAATAAGGTAGTAGTTTATTTCTCTCTTAGATAAGAAGAAACTCTGAGAAGATAGTCCAGTTCTGGTGTGGCAGCTCCATATTCTTCAGGGTCCCAGCTTCCTCCCCTCTTGCTGTTCTAACCATCTTTATTGTCCTGCCCCATGCTGCAAAATAAGTGTTCATTTTCCAGTCATAATTTTATGCATTTTGGTCACTGGGAAGGAAAAGGAGGGAATCCAAGAAGCAGATTCAATCATCCATTCCTTAACAGTAGAGACGAGTTTTGAGAAATGCATCTTTAAGTGATTTGGATGTTGTGTGAACATCAGAGAGTGTACTTACACAAACCTAGATGGTATCCATATCTATATCTGTATCTATATCTATATTTAGATCTATACATAGAAATAAGATGCCCCAGCACCATTATTTTCCCTACTTGATCTGCAATGCCAATATCAATGCCATAAATCAGGTTTCTGTATATGCGCATTATAATCTTACTAGCCCACCAGCATATATGTGTTCCCTAGTTGACTGAAACATCCTTATGCAGCACATGGCTGCAGTGTAGACGCAAAATGCTTTCAATGACATCTTATTGGCCAAAACATAGTCATTGATTAGGTCTCTGTGCAAGTGATGCTGGGAAATAAAGATTTTCAGCTGGATGGCAAAATGTCCACTGAAAAATTGAAGTTCTTATTGGAACGAATGGCCAAAGAATATTGGATTGGCACCTCTGCCACAGGTGGATGTACTCAAATATAGAATTTTCTTTAGGAAGTAATTTTATACCTGAACAAATGTAGGCTTTAATTCCCAGAGATTCATATGAGTATAGCCAAAATTATTTTCCCCTGAAAAACATTTTTAAAAAAGTGACCACCAATCCAAGAACATGCTAGAAAATGTCAAAAGACATTTTCTCAGTTTATCTGATACTCAGAAATATGATTTCCCACCATACCCACTAAGATTAACTAACTTTAAATATCACACTCTAACCTTGAAAACAAAATTTATTAACTTGTGGAATTATTAGTTACACATCATTTGGAAACTTAGAAACTAAGTATTAATTTTAATTTTCCTAGTTTTAGAATAGTAAGGTTTTTTATAGCAGTATTAAATAAATAAGATAAAATATTTTTATGTAGTTCATTCCCTACTTTAAAGAAAATAATGCTATCACCCTACAGAAGGTATTTATTCTTACATATTTGGTTAGAGGATAATTCACTTCAAAATAATTCCAATAGAAGTGTTTGTAACAAGAAAGATGATCCAAGATACAGGATCATTTCACAGGGATCAAGATAGCTATCCTATATATACGGGTGACGTTTCTTCTTACTGTGACTCTTTTATTAAGTGTTTAAGTTACAATGAAGCCATATTTATGCTTATAAATAAAAAATTAAGTTTTGGCTGTATACTCAAAAAGTAACGGTTATGAAACAAAAGAAAATATTTTACTTTGTTTTAAAAATTTCAAATAATTCAGTTAAAGAGATTTTTTAAAATAATTAATAAGTATAGAAGATATCACTCACCTAAAATTTATTAATTATGAAGCTGGCAAGTATTGATTTTTTCTTTATGTAATACTTCATGAATTAATTTTACAAACAGATTTATGATATACTATTATTTCTCCTAATACATTTCAAGAAATATTTATAATATAAAAAAATTTTATTTAAAATTATAAACATTTTTAACCTCATTCAAACTACCAAGGTAAACTAATGAGGTAACCATCAACATTGATGCATAAATAATTTTTTAATTATCTGTCCAGTTCTCTCCTTTATTACACATTTATTTCAATTTATTTGAAATAGAAATTTTCATAGTATAAAAAGGCACTGGAAACATATCCATTACCTGAGATATGAAAATATCTAAGAATAAAAGTATATTTTAAAAGAAGCTTTAGAAACATGCTTAACATAATATAACTGGATGTTAAATCTGCATTGAATTCAATCATTAGAAAATGATGAAGTTCTAAAATTACCTATATTGTCATTTGCTTAAAAATGTTGGAGAATTCTAGCACTCAAAGCTTCTATTCTTTGACTTTAATGTAATAATACAGTGAGAACTTCATTATAATGTAGTGTTCAAAACATATCACCAATTTTTAAAATAAATTCATTTGCTATTAAGCTAACATAACAGTTTATAAACAATTTCAGATGGGAGTTCTTGAAGTTTTTAATGGTAACCATCTTTAACACAGCTCTTTTTGATTTCATTAAAAGTGAATTATGTTTCAGAATCTAAATTCACTAATTGAAATATTTACAATGAACATAAATACACTTTCTTAATTAGAAGCTCGTCATCTCTCAAGACTTCAATAACAGCTCTTAATGTATCTCCCATTCCCTAATCCCCTTCAACCCACAACAAAAAGTGTGATTAATATTGGGAAACAAATTTGGAACATTCTAAAGCAATTTTTATTTGTCAGTGCCAAATTAGCCAAAACAATTTTAACTTATGTAAAATAAGTCCTTTATTCCTATAGGCATCATTATTCTTTCATTGAAATTCTAAACAGAGAAAATAACAATTGCCATGATGTATTGAGCACATACTAGATTTCACTTTCTGTATTACCCACTTTGTTCATATTATTTCACCTTATCATCATAACACCAGTATAAGAAAGCCACTGCTCTTTTGAAACAAAACCTTGGAATGTTATTAAATTGGCTTAAGCTTTTACTACAGATAATTAGTGGCAGAACTGTGATTCAAGACCAAATCTATGATTTTAAATGCTGTTCTCTTGACTATTATTCTCCACTGATTTGCAAATATTTTTGACAAACACAAACAGTAAAAATCAATCATTTAAATGTATTTGCATATTCTGATTTGTAACAAATTTTTTGTTTTATTTTTAATTTTATATTTAATATCTCTGACCATTAGAGACATGTAAGGTATAGGTAAAATAGAAGTAAATATGAACCTGTTTCTCTGGAACTGATTACATTCTACATGGTTAAGACATACTCAATGCTTTCACAAAATATGAAGCACTTAGAAAACATATTACACAAACTAAGAAATATAAATATTCTGTTAATTATTCGAATTGTTCTCATCACAACGTGGCTTCTTTTGACAGATATATCTTGCAGAAACTATACTGTTAGGGGGTTGACTTGTTAACATATCAAGCAGCTGAGAGCTCTAAAAGACAAGAATTGGGTTCCTGGTATGTTAAAAGCAGCATTGCTACCTTCCTTTCCTCATATTGTCTCAGTGTGAACTCTTTGATGTTTGTTGGTATTTGGTAAGTTCTGCTGATATTTGCTAAGGAACCTAGTCATGGCCAAAACTACCCTCCCATCTGCATATTCCCTCATTTGAATTCTTGAGAGAGTGGCACAAGCAAGGAGCAGTGATCATTTGGGAAACATAAGCACAAAGTTATCAACAGTCAAGTGCACAAAATGCTCACTTTACAGCTCTGTAATAAATCTAGATATAACACACAACCTGGACTCAAATGAGGAACATTAAAGCACAATGTATTGAAACTTACCAATAAAATTAACAACTGCTCAGTTTCCTCTTGTTCTCTGTCCTTCTCTCTCACCCTTTTCCTTTCTCCCTCCCTTCTTTCCTTCCTTCTTCTTTCTTCCTTTCTTTTCTTCCATCTTTCTTCCCGCCTTTCCTCTCTTCTTACCTTCCCTCCTTTTTTCTTTCCTCCCTTCCTCCCTCCCCTCCTTCCTTCTTTTCTTCCTTTCTCATTTCTTTCCTTTTTTCTTCTTTTTCCCAGGTGTTAGTAAGTAAAGCAGATATTTCAATATTAACTTTTCTGTTTCTTAATGTTATTCTGCCCTTGGTCTGCTGTTTTCTAGGCATATTTCCTTGAAGATTTCTTTCATTTCCTTTATGTGAATAAATTCCATATCTGTTTTTCTGGTCTTTAAGTCTTTCCTGATGCGTGGTCTAGCATTTCCCCTGCCTTCTTGACACAGCTTATTGACACAGATTATTGTACCCTAAATTCCATATGTTGAAGACTGAAATTGTAACTGTCCACCAAAAATAACTTATCCAATTAACAATACAAAAGATAAATGAAACACAAAGCTGGTCTTGGAAAAAATAAACATAATTGGTAGACCATTAGCTTGATTAATCAAGAAAAGAAGAGGTGATTCGAATCAACTGAATTAGAAATGAAACTGGAGTCATTACAAGCAACACCACAGAAATATAAAAGAACATTTGAGACTGCTATGAACACCTCTAGCACATAAACAAGAAAATACAGAGGAAATGTATAAGTTCCAGGAAACATATAACCCTCCTAGATTAAATTAGGAAGAAATAGAAACACTGAACAGAACAATAACAGGCCATGAGATTAAACCAGTAATTTTAAAATTGCCAACAACAAAAAAAAGTCCAGGGCCAGATGGGCAACGATTCAAAGAAGAATGGGTGCCAATTTTAATGAAACTATTCCGAAAGATTGAGAAGAAGGAAATCCTCCCTAATTCATGAAGCCAGTATCACCCTGATACCAAAATCAGTATAAGGCATAACAAAAAAGGACAACTACAGACCAATATCCCCAATGAACACGGATGTAAAAATTCTCAACAAAATACTATCTAACTGAATCCAATAGCATATCAAAAAGATAATACATTATGATCAAGTGGGCTTCATCCCAGAAATTCAGGAATGGTTTAACACATGCAAGTCAATAAATGTGAAACATCACATTAACAGAATTTTTAAAAAGACGTGATCATTTTGATAGATGCAGAAATAGCATTTAATAAAATCTAGCATTCCTTCAGGATAAAAACAGTCAACAAACTAGGCATAGAAGAGACTTACCTCAAAATAATAAATGCCACATATGACAGACCCACAGCCAACATCATACTGAATGGGAAAAAGTTGAAAGCATTTCTGCTGAGAACTAGAACAAGACAAGGATGCCCATATTTACCACTTCTATTCAACACAGTACTAGAAGTCCTAACCAGAGTAATCATGCAAGAGAAAGAAATGAAAGGCATCAAATTGGAAAAGAGGAAGTCAAACTATTGGTGTTCGCTGATGGTATGACAATATACCTCGAAAACCCTAAAAACTCCTCCAAAAGACTGCCAGATTTGATAAACAAATTCAGTAAAGTCTCAGGTTACAAAATCAATGTACACAAATTAGTAGCCCTGCCATACACCAACAATGACCAAGCTGAGGATAAATTAAGAACTCAACCCCTTTTATAACTGCTGAGAAAACAAAACAAAACAACAACAAAACCCCAGGAATATACTTATCAAGGAGGTGAAAGACCTAGACAAGGAAAACTACAAAACGCGGCTGAAACTTTCTCATTTCTACTGATGTCACCTTTATAGTCACTCATCTGGGTTCAAAACATGAGAGTAATTTCCAATTCATTCTCTTCTCTTCCCTTTTTGAGTCCCACTGATCCCATCCTTATTCAGGTTTACTTTATTTCTTTCCTTGACTAAGAGCATTCCTCTTGGCTGACTTCCCTCCTTTCTGCCCCTCTCTTTCTCAATTCAACTTCCATATTGTCATATTAATCTTTCTAAAATTTAGGTCAAACTACACCATTGAAGAGACTCAAAGAAATTTACTTTTATCTTGTGTTAGTCCTTCTAATATTCCCTGAATTCAGATATAAGAAAATAGTTAATGCTTTCCAAGCTTCCATAATCCAAGCTTTACCTTTTCTGGTCATGCTGTTTCTTCCCTTCTGCATCTCTTCCTTTAAGACCTAACTCAAACCTCACTTCTGCATGATTTTTTTTGTCTGAAACTATAATCTCTATGCTATCTGAACCCCTATATGCATTTATTAAATATGTACCTTATGATGCTTATCATACTCCATTCTATAATTTAGTTATTAAAACGTTTGTCTCATTTTTCTCTTCTCTCTTTCTAAAAACTCTAGGTCTTCATATTTTTTTCTCCATAATGCTTAGTAAAATGGTCGGCAATTAACACATATTTATTAAATTTTATAGAATTATGTACTACATGTATTTTATAGTATTAAAACAGAGTGTAAATAATAGTCTAAATATTAATTTTATTTTTAAGCATGAGAAAAAATTGTATTTATATGATTTAAAAACTAGAGGATACCTTATAGATCAACTATGCAACACTAGCATTCATTATTAAAGAATTTAAGATCCGAAAGTTTGGCTCTCTACCTCAAGACGTGTAACCAACCAGTGGCAGAGTAACTGGAATCCAAGCTTGTTTTCTCCCAAGATAATTATTAATTGGTAAGTAAAACTGCTGATTTGAAACAACTAAAATGCAGAATGGAATGTTAGATGTGTCTACAACTTTCTTTCTCCCTTTTTGTTTATCAAGTGCAATATAAATTTTTCCTATTAAATCATATTCAAGTATTAACAGAGTTTTTGGTAAAAGTGGTAAAATATTGCCAGTTAAAAAAATCTTCTTCATCCAATTTCTACTCAATTTAATAAAAACAGATAGTCAAAGGCACTTTAAATTTAATAAAAAAGAAAGCACAGCCTCTTGTCATAAGCTCCAAAACTTGAGGGCCGCAATAAACACAGTGTTTGGCGAGGCCCCAGGGCACCCAAAATCCATTCCGACCTCTGCATTGGAAGTGGTACATTTATAAAATCCTAGTAAAGTTTATAATACTATAATACTTGAACAAGAACGAGTGGCATGGATATTGTCTTCTTACTTGGAGGAAGTGAAAATCATTTCCAACAGAAAGGCGTTAAATAGCAGAGGCAAATAATTAGGATATGCTTTCTCTGATACTAAAAAAAAAATAGGCTTTAGGGATTATTCCCGAGTTGAGGGGATGACATTAAGTTGCAAGGGTATTCCCCATGGGAACAAGAAGTACTTCCCAGTAGGTGGAGTAAATCCTGGTACAGAATATTTTGCTCATTTTACAAAGTACCACAGACTAGTAGTTCCAAGTGGGTTCTATCCCAGCTCAGCCTTCTTACCATAGGATGGACTACAGCAAAGTCAGTAAAACACAATCACACTCCTTGAACTCTGAGTCAGAGGAGATGACAACTATGCCTCAATAATGATAAAAGGTAAGTAAAACAGAAGTCACTTATATGAAATTGAATTCTTATTTCAAAAGTCTGAAAAAACTTTCAAGTCTGAGCAAGAATTTAAAAAATAAGCATACCAGAGAAATAAACAGAAGCAAAAATGAGAAGGATAAATGAACACATCTGAAAAAAACAAGAAAAAAATACAATCTGGAAAAAAATACAATACAGGGAACAGAAATTGCATTTCTACAACAACTGCACTATAGAAGAACTTAATGAAAACTTACTTTTGATAAAACAAGAGATAAAAAAACAGAACAATAAAAATAAAACCAGAACAATAAAAATAAAACCAGAATAATAAAATGAAAATTTAAATTACAGAGTTAAGAAAACATTAAAATCAAAACAATACTAATACGTACAGTTTTGGGATGCCCCCTAAAATAAGCAACTTCCTGATTAATCACACATAGAGTGAGTTCCACCTCTCACACTCCAGATCTTCCAGTTAATACATAAGTTCACTCTTACATATAAACAGACAGGTGAAGATTTACAGATACTTGAGAAAAATTTTCAACATGAAATGTAGAGACCAACAAAAACAGAATTAAAAAGTCAAGTGAAAGAAACAATGCAGAAAGACAAAGGCATTGAATAGTCATTTCTCCAAAGATGGTAAACAAATACCAAATGAGCATAGGAAAAGATGCTCAACATCACTAATTATTATGGAAATGAAAGTCAAAATCACAATGAGATATCGCCTTGACCCCACTAGGATGGCCATTATCAAAGCAAAACAACAACAACAACAAAAAAACAAAACTCCTGAAAATAACAAGTGTCAGTGAAGATGTGGAGAAATTGGAACTCATTCACTGTCGGTAAAAAATGTGAATGGTTCAGGTGCTATAGAAAACAGTACAGTGGTTCCTAAATAAAATTAAAAATAGAATTACCCCATGGTTCAGCAATTCCACTTCTGGTTATATATCCAAAAGGACTGAATGCAGAGTCTTAAGTAGAGAATTGTATATGCAATGTACACAGCAACATTATTCACAATAGCCAAAATATAAAACAGCCTAGACGTCCATGAGTGGATGAACTGATAAACAAAATGTGGCATATGCAGGCAATGGAATATTATTCAGCCATAAACAGGAAGAAATTCGTGCTACAAGATAGATAGACCATGAGGACATTATGCAAAGTGAAATAAGCCAATCACAAAAAGACAAGTACTGTGTAATGCTACTGCAGTATATAGGGTAGTCAAATTCATAGAACCAGATGGTAGAATGGTGGTTTCTGGAGGCTTGGGGAAGAGAGAAATGGGGGCTTGCTGTTTAATGGGTATAGAGTTTCAGTTTTACAATAATAAAAAGTTCTGGAGATTAGTTGTACAGCAATGTAAATATACTTAACACTACTGAACTGCGCACTTAAAAATGATTAGGACAGTAAATTTTATGTTACTGGTATTTTATCACAAAAAAGACGGATTCGAGAAAATATATTTCCTCAATGAGCCAGAACTCAAATCTAGAAAAAAGGAATGTTTGGAAAGCAAGAAAGAGATTTTGAAAATCAAATGTTTGATGGCAAAAATAATAATTCAACAAAAGGATGGGAAAATAAAATTGAGGAAATCTCCAGGGAGAACAAAAAAGACAAGATTAAAAATGTTAAAAATTTAAAAAAAAATCAGCCTAGTATTCAGATTTTCAGAAAACGTGAGTTACGGAAAGAGAAAACAGAAAGGAGCAAACTGTCAGAGAAATAGTTCATTAAATCTTATCAAACCAAAGAATACGAAATTTCAGAATGAAAATCTCCATAAAGTAGACAACAAACTGAGAGGAAAAAGACTCACAATTAGGCGCCTGTAGTCCCAGCTACTCGGGAGGCTGAGGCAGGAGAATGGCGTGAACCCGCCAGGCGGAGCTTGCAGTTCGCGCCACTGCACTCCAGCCGGGGCGACGGAGCGAGACTCCGCCTCAAACAAAAAAAAAAAAAAAAAAAAAAAAGACTCACAATTAGGTGAAAGTTTTACAAAACTTTAGAACCCTTGGGATAAAGGGAAGATTTTAATTGCTTTAAGAAAGTGAAGAGGAGAAAAACAAGTAACCAAGAAAAAAAATCAGGATATGGAAATTTAATGGACTTTTTGTCAGAATCACTGCAGTCTATAGCAACGAAGTAGTGCCTTTAAAATTGTGAGAAAACATGGTCTTCACCTAGAATTTTCCATACAGAGTGTCAACCAAGTGTGAAGGATGGATAATGAAATTATCAGATAGGTCAGGTGTCAAAAAATTTCCCTTGATATACTACCAGGAAAAAGCAACTGGAAGATGAGTGCATTTAATATAATTTATTTACTGGAGTTACAATAATTATACTAAAGAAGAAGGAGACACATAATGCAGATAATACAGAATCCAACTGAGTGGATGCACAAACAGACCGAAAGGAACATGGTGAGGGAAAACCTAAGATAATAATTGTGAAGCAAGCCTAGAGAACAATCAGTCCAAATAGAAGCGGAAGAGTGTTGGCCTCCAGGGGGCATGTTGCCAAGAAGATAATGATTATAATAGAGTAACTGATGTATTTCTGTGGACTTTCTAGATCATCAGTAATGTCAATGAACTTAGTGATTAATGAATTATGCAGGAAATGGAGCAAATAAAAGAAAATCAAGGCAGTCATTAATTCCAGGACAAATGAAACATTGCACAAGTAAAGGCTTTGTAATTGTAGTTCAATACCTCTCTTAGCTGTAAATAATATTTACAATGTAATGAAGTGATGACTACTAAAAATGCACTCAACCCAAAAGAATGATACATAAACAACATTAGGAACATCAGAAGAGGATAAGCCCTGACCCTCCCCCCCAAAAAATATATGAGTGTATTTCATGATAGAAAGCTATGAAGTCATATCTAAAACAGAAAGACCAAGAGATGATATAGGAATGCTATTTATAAATATAGAGGCAATTAGCAGAAAAAACTGTTCAATGGGTTTAGAGTAAGGCCTCAATAGATTAGAAATCAGTAAAGGGGGCAATAGGAAGCTCAATGCTTTCATCGTAGGCTTTTATAGTACAACTATTTGACTTTTAAAATTATATACGTGGAAAATTTTATTTAAGTAAACAAAAAAAATTTAAAGATTTTTCATGTCTCTAGAAAAAAAACAAGTCGCACTGATGGGCAGAAGAAAGGCTAAAGTCTGCAAAGGATTAAGGAATAAAATCGTGGCTTAAGACCAGTGTACAACCAAGTCATGAATCCATTTAAGTAAACAATCAGGCATTTTTAAATACTCTAACCTATGGGCAATTCACCATCTATGGGAGTTTTCTTTTGAAATACATAAATGTAGTAAAACCATTCGAACATAAAATTTAGCCAAAGAAAAGATACATGTAAAAAGAGAAAAAAATGTAGATATTATATTTATGAAACAGAATACAAATGTAAAATTTGACAATTAAAATAAAATCCAACTTTAAAAAATTGAAATTATTGGAGTGAAGGTGGGAGAATTTGTAAGAGGTGTATTAAATATTTTACAAAACCTATCTAAAATTAAAATATGTGCTCCAAAAAATAGAGCACAGTGATTCCGATCTTTTGGTCTTTCTTTCATAGTTTTTCCATAAATTTAGAGGGAACTATAGTAAATATTTATCAAAATATTTACTATTTATTCAGATGCTTTGTTATTTTTATAATCAAGTCAAAATAAGTTGAACAATCTTATTGGATTGGCATTCATAGTACAATCCTGTTTTATAACATTTTATCTCCCTATCAAACAATATTTTTATCTGTACACCCTTCTCTGCATTTGTGCAGCAGAGAAAGACATCTGAATGTTGTTATCTTAGTGTTAACATGGTTATTTTGAAGGTGCTGTTTATTTTCTTCTTTATAGTCTAGTTAGTTGTTTGAGTTCTCTAAAATGAGGCTGAATCATATAACTGTTTCTTTAAAAAAAGATGAAGAAAATTGTAAAATATCTAGTAACCAAAAAATTCTGTCAAAGGAAAAGAGGAAACACAAATACCCATTAACGTCAATGAGGAGATCCCAGTCCAAGTTTTCCATTACACTGATTGGCAGAAGTTTTCCAGAAGATCTGGAATCCATGACTATCTAACGAAGCTTTCCCACCCCAGGTGTTTATTTTCAGTTTTACCACCATGTCCTTCCTCTACATGACAGCAAACTTTGTAAGTCTGACAGAACATCATGTCTCTCTCTGTGCACTTTGAATCCCATTTTCTCAAGATGGTTTAACCTCATTTTCCCCTTAATCAGTTTCTAGGTTTTTCTTATAAGGCTAAATCTGACTAGAATGTGCCAGATGCTTTAAATGTGTCCATGACAATTTATTTATTTATTCAGACAAGCTCATTTTGCCCTTTACACTTCACTGTATATTTGTCCTATTCTTTCCTGGCGTAAATTAAAGATAAAATCTTAAGATCCTCACTGATTGAACAGATTTCCTCTTGGCCAAGGGGATCCCAGGAAAATCTTAAAAACTGAATTTCTAGACACAACAAGATGGAAGATCAGACATGCCTCATTATATCCCCCTCCCTTTTGCTGTTTAGACACAACAACTGTATTAATGTTAAAATGGAGATCATAAGACTGACAGAATGGACTGTTTGTGACAATAAAGTACTAAATTATAACCAGGACCTAAGCCATTCCAAGCAATGATTTAAGTCATGCCCAACTATGCTTAAAAAATATGCTATGTTCTAACTGCCACAATGTTCCTTTTTCTCTAGGAGCTAAACAAGCACAGGCCTTTAGATTACCAATTGAAGCAATTGCAGGTCACCAACCATCAGACACTGACTAATTGAGTCTCCCACCCCTATCTCCTTGACAACCACCTCACTCCTCACTCCTGTTCCACCAACCATAGCTACAGCTTTGATTAGACAAGAGACTGGTTTCTGTAACTTTCTCCTGATAAGACCACCAGTGATGGGCTAGTTCTGGCCAGTTTACAGAGGCTGTGCAATGAGTGCCTTGGTATCCTGAAAAGACCTTTTGACTTACAGAACCTAAATATAATGAATTTAAATGTTAAGTTTCCACCCCAAGGTGAACATAAGTCATATGTTACATACATATTTGTTCACTACGCATGTGTCAGGACCACCTTCATGAATATTCATAACTCCTCCTTAACTCATTGAATATATATGTTTAGCCAACCTTTTCAGCAGAAAGCTCCTACCTAAATCCCTTCACTTTCCAAGTGCCTGGTAATGGTTTCAGCCTGAAGCACACTTCCCAGCCTGTCAGAATGGCCACCTTGCAGGCTGTAATACTTAATGAGAAAAATGTCTCCTTTTCCAAATTTATAAAGACCTTGTGATTTTTAAGTTAACACTGGATTGCTGTCTCCCAGCCCACACCCTACTCTTGTCATATTGGCCACACTTCACTGCTGATTGTGCCCTAAAAATCCCCGTGCTCTGATGAGCAGGTTGATCTGCTTCTCAGCATGTACCACAGACTTGGTTCTGGCATGTATCCTGTTTCTATGCACTGGAGAAGCTGAACAGCTCCACGTCCCTCCTCACTATGCCCCCTCTGGTGTAAGGCAATGTGGCGATTTTTGAGAGGTCTGTGTGGCAGTTACACATCAAATAAAATGTTATTCAAAAGACTGTCTGTAGAATTAATAATCAAAGACAAAAGCAGTAGCTAAGAAAAAAAAGTAAAGCAGGCACCCAGATGTAAAGACGGTGAACCATCAGAGTGAAAACTCATAAATAGAAGATAAGTGGATAAGTCTCTCTCCTAATGAGGGAGATGGGAAAAAAATAGAATGACAAATGATTTCTAAAGTGGTTAAGATCCAGGTGGTTAAGAATCTAAATTGGGGGATTGTTTTAAGCAGGCCAATGCTAAAAGGAGTTAAATCTGTACTTGTAGGAGTGCAGATTATTTCATGCATTTAGGGCTGTGTGAACCAGCTTTAGGTACACTCCGGGTATTGCTGAAGTTTCTGGGATCCTTATCTAGAACCAGCTCTGATATCTGGTGTAAATGCTAAAATGCACAAGATATCTGTTATAGATATACATGTTGCAATAATCTAATGCTTAACCTTCACTCTCCATCCCGATAGATAGGATCTCAGAGCCCTGTGCCATCCAAGATGGGGCAGCTAAAGGTTAAATTCCAACTCCTGTATTTGGCTTATTCTTTTAGGACACGTAATGTACCCATTTAGAAAATTCTAGAGAAGAACAATACTCTTCTCAACCCTGTTCTCTAGCTGGACCCAACTACAAGTATGGCTGCTATAAGGACCAGAATATGTACCTTTCACAGACTTTGGTTCTGTTCCCAGTTGGTTTTTGACACTGAAAGTGGCACATCAGAGCTCCTTCTCTAAAAAGGGGCTTTAGTCAATGTCTATGGCATGCAGTTTCAAGAAAGTTATCTCTTGTGTGTGCTGCTTAGGCTCTGTCCTGCTGTCCCAGAATGTTTGCTTTTTGCCTGGGAGACGAGTGAGAGCTGTATTAGCTTGGCAATCCTGCCATTATTTAGCTTAGTGGTTAAGAGTATAAGCTCCAAAATCAAGCTCAGAAATTAGATGGACTCTACTACTCACTGCCTGTGTGAACATGGGTAAATTTCTTAAATTCTCTGTGCCTGTTTTCTTGTCTGTAAAATGGAGCTAATTATACTACCAATTTTTATATATGAAAGTACGTTAAATTAGAAAGTTGCACAGAGACAAATGGAGTTGCAATCAAAAAGATTCAGCAGGAGGATCACAGAAAATCCACAAGTACCCTATGAAAGAGTCAGCTTTAAATATCAGTCAGTCTCAAAGATCATGAAGACAATACTGGGGAAGTAAGAATTGTCATAAACTCCTTACCTCTCCTCCTTACCCTCTACCCAATCCAACCAAGGAGGGATCCAAAAACATACTAAGGAGAAATGGAGATAAAGGAGAATCAGAGGAAAATCCAATTATATTTCTCTCCCCTTAGTTAAGAGAGGAGGGGCCTTAACTTGCATTGAGTAATGAAGTGTTTATTAATATATCAAAATGCCATTCTAATAGAGACTAGTATCTTGAAGCAAAAAATAACTATATGATGTTATTACCTAAAATCCATCAGAAAAATTGTGTGACTTCCTAAGTTTGCATTCAGTGACTGGAGTGACACCACCTCCATAGAAGATGTAAATGGACTGTGAGGTTGAAAATACAGGTGGGTTCTGGTTTCTCCCCATGGGTCATGCTTATTCTATACATGGAAGATTGTTGTGAAGATTAAATTAATTGACACATATGAGTTGTTTAGGATAGCACCGGGCACCTGTGGGAGCTCAGAAAGCTGACCAATAAAGTCATCATCATCATCATCATCATCAATAGCAGCTAAAATTTATCATAACAGATCATGTCTATTTTATGCATTACAAAGCTTAGTTTAAAAAGTCCCTTACAACTTTGCTCCTCATCAAAGTCCCTCTGGGCAAAGTCAACCAAACAAACAAAAAACATTAGTATAAATTTTCCTACTTTCCATTAAATTCAAAGATGTCTTTCTCTCTTTTCCTTTTAGTTCATATTCATGATTGAATCTTGGTTCTGCCACCTCTGAGTTAAGAGAGATTTTAATTGGGTCATTTTACCTCTCAGAACCTCAGATTTCTTTTCTGTAAAATGAATCTGTTAACACCTACCTTTACAGGGGATGTGGGAATATTTGAGCTACTGTATTTTAAGTGTATGCTGCCTACTAAAATACTGGTGTTCTAATGCGCTAAAAGGACCCAGGGAGACATGGCCCTTCTGAACCTATCTCCCATGCTCCTTCTGCCCTAGCCACAGAGAAAGTTGAATCATGTCAATCTTCTGCTCAACACTTTCTGATGTTTTTTTGTTTTACTCTAAGTAAAGGCCACAGTTTTTATAGTGATCTATGAGATCCCATAGGATATGCCTTTGGATCACATGATCTCCCATTATAATTACTCCATATATGGAAGTTCAATTCCCTTGTCCCCTCTCTTCATGGCACTAGCCAAGTAAACTTCAACCCTAGGGAAACCAGCTTTCAATTTATTCCTTGACAGTACCTGAACAGTTAAACATGACTGAAGAAAAACACTCTGATGCTGACTGGAGCACAAACCTCAAATGGCTATTCCCAGCATTCTTTATAGAGGTCCTCTAGTCAATTTTCTTTCCCTTTCTCTAAATATCTCTTCCACATTTCTCATCTCTCCTCAAACCATCAACATCTGACTCCTCATCACTCTCAGACGGCAAAAATGAAGCTCCTTACACTTCTCACCATCAAATCTAACAGCCTGTATGTATGTATTGATGAACATTGACAGGTTTTTTCATTATAACAGATGAATCGCTCATGTTCTAAAACCCACCATTCTATGGGCTTCCATCCACTCTCACTTTCTCAAGGACTTTGCCCCAGTAATTATCCTCAATTTCCTCTGCATCACCTACATCAGTGCAAATGCATACTGCAATTTCTCTGATATTAAACAAAAAGTCTCTGATACCATATCTCTATGTAGCTCTGAAATAGATCTGCATTGCTCCACAGAAAAAAAAAATTCCTCACAAGAACTGTTTGTACAGTTTCCAAATTCTCATCTCCCATTCTTCCATGATTTTAATCTAATCAGGCTTTTGTCTCCAAAACCCCACAGAAAACACTTTCTTCAAGGTCACTAATACCTTCATATTTGAAAATGCAATAGTCAATGTTTTAAGGTGGTTTAATTTTTTTTTCTTTTTCTTTTTTTTGAGTCAGGGTCTTGTGGTGTCACCTAGGCTGGAGTGCAGTGACATCAACACAGCTCACTGGAGGGTTACTTGTACATGAAATTCAATGTGAATGTTTACGACACAGTGACCTTGGCATAATTTTATAGAAATTAATTTTAGGGTCAATATTATTCTATGTTTCATCTATTCTGTGTTTCATTCAATATCATTCTGCTGTTACCTGTAACTAGGTATGATTCATTTATTTCACTACTAAACAATATTTTTCCACGTGAATATATCTGTTTTTTTAATTGACTGCATTTTTCTTGTTTTTCTCTTAAAGATATGTCTAAATCTCTACTAACCTTCCTTGTATGTGATTCCCAGTGTATAGGTACAATATTTTCTCCTGGGTGTATATAAGGAGTTTGAATCTGTGACTATTTGACGTGTGAATATTTACCCACACAAAGGAATGTTAAAATATTTTAAAGTGTTTACCTACAACAATTTATAAGAATCTTTTTAAATCCACATTTTCTCCAACATTTCATAGCATCACACTTACCAATGTTTGCAAATAGAATGGGTATGAAATGGTGCCTATGCACAGTCCAAATTTATGTTTCTCTAATCTCAAATAAGGTAGAACATCTCTCCACATGATTACTGGCCTGTATTAGTTTGTTTTCACACTGCTATAAAGATACTACCTGAGACTGCGTAATTTATAAACAAAAGAGGTTTAATGGACTCAAAGTTCCACATGGTGGAGGGTGGAGGGGAAGCAGGCACCTTCTTCACAAGATGGCAGGAGAGAGAGAGCACAAGTGAAAACTGCCACTTTTAAAACCATCAGATCTCCTGAGAACTCCCTCACTATCATGAGAACAGCATGGGGAAAGCCACTCCATGATCCAGTCACCTCTCATCAGGTACCTCTTTAAAACATGGGGATTACAATTCCAGATAAGATTCGAGTGGGAATGCAGAGCCAAACAATATCATGGCCAAATGCTATTTACTTTCTGTAAAACTCATGTTCACGTCTTTTGCCCATTTTTCTTTTTTTTTTTTATTTTTCTTTTCTTTTCATTTTTTATTATACTTTAACTTCTAGGGTACATGTGCACAACTTGCAGGTTTGTTACATAGGTATATAAGTGCCATGTTGGTTTGCTGCACCCATTAACTCATCATTTACATTAGGTATATCTCCTAATGCTATCCCTCCCCCTGCCCCCCACCCCATGACATGCCCTGGTGTGTGGTGTTCCCAGCCCTGTGTCCAAGTGTTCTCATTGTTCAGTTCCCACCTATGAGTGAGAACATGCAGTGTTTGGTTTTCTGTCATTGTGATAGTTTGCTCAGAATGATGGTTTCCAGCTTCATCCATGTCCCTGCAAAGGACATGAAGTCATTCCTTTTTATGGTTGCATAGTATTCCATGGTGTATATGTGCCACATTTTCTTAATCCAGTCTATCATTGATGGACATTTGGATTGGTTCCAAGTCTTTGCTACTGTGAATAGTGCCACAATAAACATATGTGTGCATGTGTCTTTATAGTAGCATGATTTATAATCCTTTGGGTATATACCCAGTAATGGGATCGTTGGGTCAAATGGTATTTCTAGTTCTAGATCCTTGAGGAATCATCACACTGTCTTCCACAATGGTTGAACTAGTTTATACTCCCACCAACAGTGTAAAAGCATTTCTGTTTCTCCACATCCTCTCCAGCATCTGTTGCTTTTGCCCATTTTTCTGGTGAGCTGTTTTTTTAATTGACTTAAAGACTATATATTCTTCACTTAATGTTTTGTCAGTGATATAAATTGCACATCTATTACCCAGTTTGTAAATTATCTTTTAAGTAAAAAAGATAATCCTTAATATATTACGGTAAATTATTCAAAATTTAAAAAAATAGACAAAAATATAGGCAACATAACCTTTCAATACTATTCAAGTGGAAGATCACCCAATGATTATCTCAGAAAATATACGTAGTTAAATCCACTGTTTACCACACTATTTAAAACTCATAGATTTTGAGAAATTTCATGTTAATTTGTAGATGTTGGTCTTTCAGAGATAAAAATAATTTCAACCTGGTGAAAGTAATAATTACAAAGGTTATAGTTTATTGCCCTGTTGGACATTAACCAGTTATGTACCTAAATATTCAATCGGAGAAGAAGAGCCAGTAGGAGATTATAAATATCTATTTTAATATACTATATATTACAAATTTATAGTTTTATAAGCACATATATATTTGTTTATAAGGAATTGTCTTATACAATTCTAGAGAATAGCTAAGGAAGCCTAAAGTCTGTAAGACAGCACACAGGAAAAAATCGTAAGTAGGAATTAACTCCAAAGTGTTGGGCTGAAGAAAGTTCGTTGTCCACAGGTGGCAGCTAGAATGGAAGAACCCCGGGAAAGGGAGAGTAATTTCAGATCCAGGTGCCCTTTGATCTTAGGGAAGGTCTCCATCCTCTTCCAAAGTTCTTCAAACTGATTGCTGTCCCCAGTCAAGATAATTTTTCTCTTAATTAACTTAATGTCAGTTGACATAAAGGGCCTTAATTACATTTGCAAAATTTCTTTACAAAAATACCTAGATTAGTGTTTGGTTGAATAACTGGGAGAAATGTTTGCTATAAAACACTCACTGCCTCCTTCTGTCTTTCAACTCCCTCAAGGGAATATCCCTAGGGACCCACATTAACAAGACACATACTATAAAAGGAATCCTGGGGACTGGAGTTTAGCCTACTCAAACTGACACTTCAAAAAACCATCATATAGATGATACAGATATAGATAGATATGTAGATATAATAAACACAAACATGCATGCACACGTGTGACACCTAGACATATATATATATCTAGATATATATACAAATATTTGGCTAGTTTCTTAAATGTTCTTTTGATTGCTTTTAACTTTAAAATGCTTTTCTCATTATTTAATAAGTTAAATAAAACGTTCAAATTGTACTTATTTTATATTTGCATAAAAGTCATGATTTGGCCCTGTCAAAACCGATTCTTCACTGATTTTTGGAGCTCTCACTGAGACGTCCATGTAGATTCACCTGAGACAGCCAAGTAAACGCTCTTGCCAAAGAAACGCATATATGCTATGACCTGCTAGGCATTTTTTTACTTCCCATATTTCACCCCAACCAGTAAAAGAACTTTAACTTTGTCTCTCTAGTTTTGTTTTTATTTTAACTGTGATTTTGTGTTTTATTTACATTCTGGATTCACACAGGCTATACGTTATTTCCCATTTGTAGCAATAATTAAGGATTTGGTTTTACAGAAGACCATTTGGTGATATCTGTTAGATAGATTATTGAAATCCTATTCCTTAGAGGGAGCAATGACAGCGAATCTAGTTAGTCATTTTGTTTATTTGTACATCAATTTATGATCTCAAATCCATTAAAAATTTATGTTCACTAGGAACAACAGTCTTTGAGACATAGACTGAAGAATTTTTGTGAGTCTATGTTTACTTCTGATTTAAGGCCAAAATTATAGAACTTAAGATATAAAGTATTTTCTGTAATTTAAAAAAGGCTTTCTATCTCGTGTGAATATAAAATCTTTTTCTATATCTAGAGGGTATTAATAAATGGATTATTTATAATACCTCTTAAATTAAAGGAGATCTTTTGAAATTGCCTTGTACAGTTAAATAAGTACTTATATATCTGTATATAAATTGAATATAGTCAAAATTCATAGAAAATATAGCAACTTGTCTATTACTTTAAGTGTTGTATTAGGTTCTCAAGAAAAACAGAACCAATAGGATATACATAGAGAGATATATAAGAGGAAATTTATTATGGGAATTGACTCACATGATTATGGAGAAAAGGAAGCTCTACCATCTGCCATCTGCAAGCTGAAGATAGAAGAAGCTGGTGGTGTAATTCAGACTAATTTTGAAGTCTTGAAAGCTAGGGGAGCCAATGATGCAATTACCAGTCCAAGACCAAAGGCCTGAGAACCAGGTGGGAAATACTGCTGTATGTCCTGGAGTCTCAAGTCCTGAAAACCAGGAGCTCTGGAGTTTGAGGGCAGAAGAAGATGAATGGTCCAACTTCAGAAGAAAGAAACAGGATTCACCCTCCCTCTCAGTTTTTGTTCTATTTGGGCCCTCAATTGATTAGATAATGCAGGCTCGCATTGGTAAAGGTGGATATTCTTTATTCAGTTTACCAATGCAAGTGCTAATCTCTTCCAGAAACACCCTCACAGACACACTCAAAAATGTTTTACTAGATATCTGGGTATCCCTTAACCCAGTCAAGTTGACAAATACAATTAACACAAGTGTGCTAGATTTTGAAAAAAAAATATTTCTTATAGAAAATCCTAACGCAGAAACATTTAAACATTCAAGTCCACACAATTAAGACAAGTCTTTGAACAAATCAGGCACCTTTAATAATTACAGGCTAAGAAACTAAAAAAAGACCTATATGTTTTTTGTCTGATTTATCAGCATTAAGTATAATACAACATTATATTTTACTTTTATACAATTATGAGCTTGTTTTCTCATGAAGAAACTAGTTAATCTAAACTTTCTAAATTCCTTTATGTATTAAAGAAAATAATATGACTTCTACATAATGTTCAAGATTATAGAAATGTGACTTTAGATTCAACTAAATTGAATCATATTTTAAAAAAATGTTTTTATAAGGGTAATTATGTTTTGTGTCAATGTAGACATGATTTCTAAAATCCTTAACTTAAAAACTTGAATTAATATCAAGTCAAGTTAAATAATGAATAAGCTTTAGATAACTGGATAATTTCTAAGTAACACAGAGCAGTGAAACCATGCTGACTAAGCATAATTCCAATTTGTATAATACATCTTTGTTTATTCTGCTTGCATGTTATAGAGTAGTTGTGTCTTTGGCTTACATTAAGAAAAAAAAATTCTTTTTGCTATTTTAAGAGGGTATAAAATATGGTTACCCATAGGAAATTGTGGTATAAGTATCATGAGTTTTGCTAACTGCAAAAATGCTTGTCTATGAGACTGTTTTCTCATCTCCTAGTTTTCTCTACCAAACAGAAAGTATTATTTTGGTTAAAAGTTACAATTAATGTAGGTGATTATGACTATACTAGGAACCACAGTGAGAAGAAATACAACTCTGTATACAAGGTGATGCGATGAGGTTTTGTTTTTCAAGGAAAAAAGAGAGTAGTAATAATGTTGGACTAAACTGTCAGTCTGTTTCACAATATGAAAGAACATACTGAAAGACAAAACTTTAGAAATATTTAGAAACTTCAGGAGACTTTACAAACTTTAGAAAGTTTGATAAAATGGGACACTATGGGCCTTAGTTTATATTCGCTGAGTCTGAAAAAATGCTATAAAAGATATTAAAAATTCAGCAAAATCTTTCCATATTAAGGGCTTATTTGTAAGATAATTTTTCAGGGGAACTCATAAACCTGAAATGTCAAATAATATAATCATGTAAAACTAGAATTTGACTTTCTCTTTGTTAAAAGAATAAATTGGTTTTGCAGGCTTTAATGAGGGATAGTAAAAGGTTATTTTTATTTTTTAACTTTCTCTGTAATCAGGTCGGAGAGCAGAGATTTCATATTTCACCAGAATAAACTTCACTGCTTTTTTGTTGACTTTCTCATGGTTAATTGAAAATAAACAGTTCCTTACTTACATAAGAGCTAAAATTCTGTACAATTGAGTTTTCTTCTTCTGTGTTTAGTTTTAAAATGTACTGAAGTGTAATATTATTACTCTGGCATTTGTAAACTTGACCTAATGAAGTGATGAAGTCCACTCTGACAACTCTTCATAGTTTGCCTTTCCAGGGTTGGATCGAAGGAAAACGAAACTTTAGGATAGCTTTCACACCTCAAACCATTTTTGAGATTTACCACAGCAGTCACAGCAAAGAATCACAATGATTTGCTATAAAAAGAGTGATGCTAGGAATATTAGAATTCTTTCTCATGTTTCTTGATTAGCTTCAAACTATTGTATAAACTGCATAGGAAAATTTTAAAACAAAAGACACACTCAGACTTGCCTAGGTTAAGTTTCTACACTCCATAGAAAAGCCTTGGAGACTTGTAGTGATTTGTTAAACTCTTGTTATCCATAGAAATGTCCTTACCCTCAGGAGATATATTGATCAAACTACTATGAAATAGTTATATACTGTACCCACATAGAAATTTTACTCTCTTCAATTATCCTGTGACTGACAACAGTAATAAATTAACTATATTTCAGTTTCATTATAAAATATATAAAATACATCTGCTTTCATCTGATGTTTGTCTGAAGGATCTGCTAAAAGCTATTGGCTAGAATTGTGTCTCAAGGCTTATGAAAAGGATCAAACTAGGTACTATGAATTATTGATTATTCAAAAAATAGACTCTTTGGTAAAAGCTTAGAAGCTGACAACCTTAAATAACTTTCAGACAAAAATGAGTAATTGATTAAAAGTTTTCTGGATTCTTTTTAGTCTATAGCAGATCAAAATCATGAATGCATATTGTTGATTCAAAATACAGCAGAACAAAAATTAATTGCATATGGCTAAATAAATGGATACGAAAAGTTTTATTGTGGGTATTTATTTTGAATAGCGTCAATTTTTGTATTTTTTATGAACAGCTTTATGGAAGATATAGTTCACATATAATAAACTATGTATGTTTAAGGTGCACAATTTAATAAGTTTTGACATATACACCCTGTATAAGTATGTCATCACAATCAAGATTACGAACACATCCATAACCTCTGAACGTTTCCCTATAGACCTTTATAATTCCCCCTCCTGCCCATCTCTAACCTGCTCCTGTCCCGAGGCGACCACCGATCTGCTTTTTGTCAATAAAATTAGGTTGCATTTTCTAGAATTTCATAAAATTAAAATCAAACTTTCTGTACTCTTTTTTCATCTGACTTCTTTCACTTGGCATAATTTTTTGAGATCCATCCATACTATTGTGTGTATCAATAATGAGTTTCTTATTATTGCGGAGCAGCATTCTATTTCAGGGTTATACCACATTTTCTTTCTCCATTCAGCTGTTGATAGACATTTGGATTGTTTACAATTTTTGGCTATTACAAATAAAGCTAATACAAACATTTATGTACTAGTCATTGTATGAACCTATGCCTTTATTATTTTGGGTGAATACCTACGGGTGGAATGACTAGATCATACAGTAGGTATATATCGAATTTTTTAAGAAACTTCAAAAACATTTTCTGAAGTGGTCATGCCATTTTATATTCCCACCAGCTGTACAGGAGAGGTACAGTTGTGCTATATCCTTGATAAAACATGGCATTGTCAATCATTTAGATTATAGATATTTTAATAGGTATTAGTGGGATCTCATTGTGGTTTTAATTTGCATTTCCCTAATGACTTATTAACGATGGGGGCAAGTTTTTATGTACTTACTTGCTATCGTTATGTCTTCTTTGAATTGTTTATTCAAATCTTTTGTCCATTTTTTATTCGGATTTTTTCTTATTATTGGGTCTTGAAATTCCTATACATATTATGGATACAAGTTATTTATTAGATATATGCTTTGCAAATACTTTCTTCAAATCTGGAGCTTGTCTTGTCTTTCTCTTAACATTGATTTCAAAAATAAAGTGTTTCATTTAAAAGTTAAATTTCTTTTTTTATCTTTTACACATTATGCAATTAGTATCACATATAAGAAATTTTTGTCTAACCCAAAGTCACAAAAATTTTCTACTGTTTTCTTTTAGACTCTAAGGTTTTACATTCAGGTCTGTGATTAATTTTGAACAAATTTTTATATTGTGCACGATGAATCAAATGTTATTTTTTGCACATGGATATTTAATTGTTCTAGCACCATGTATTAAAGACTGACCTTTTCCATTGAACTGTCTTTGCATTTTTATATACAATATTTTGTCCATATATTTTTAACAAATATGGGCTCTATTTCTGAACTGTCTGTTCCATTATACTGACATCTGCCTTCATGCCAAATACTATACTGTCATGATTACCTTATAATAAATATTGAATCAGGTATTGTATGTTCTTCCACTTCGTTTATCGTTTCAAAGTTGTGGTTATTCTAGGTTCTTTGCCTTCCCATATGAAGTTTAGAATCAGCTAGTCAGTTTGTACAAAAACCAAACCAAAACAAAACAAAGAAGCTCCCAGGATTTAGATTGGGACTTCTTTGAGTCTGTGGATCCTTTTGGGAAGAACTGACCCTTTAACTACATTGAGCCTTCAAATGCATAACAATCACTAATACCGCCATTTATTTAAGTCCTCTTTAATGTCCCCCATTGATGTTTGATAGTACAGGACGTGGATGTGTACAGTGTACAGGACATGCTTGTCTTTTGTCAGATTTATCCCAATTTTATATTGTTCAATGCTTTGAAAAATTGTCTTGTTTTTTTAAAAATTTCTGCTTTCAGTAGTTCATTGCTAGAAATGCAATGCATAAAATGGAGAAATACAATTGCTTATTTTAGCATGGTGCATTTTAAACTTACTTATTAGATTTGGTAGCTTTCCTGTAGATTCCATTAGCTTTTCTACATAAGTGATTATTCATCTGTGAATAAATAGTTTAACTTCTTCCTTTCAAATCTAGATGCCTTTTATTTCTGTCACACTTTATTCTACTTGTTCCAAAATAATGTCGAGTAAAAGTGGTGAGAGTAGACTTCGTTTGCTTCATGATCTCAAGGGTAAAATATTCATTCTTTCACTGTTAAATAGGATATTAGCTGCAGGTTTTCCACAAACCTCTTTTTTCAGGTTTAGGATATTGTATTTACTTAGACAGTTCTATCAGTCTTATACATAAGTCATATCTGACATTAATGGGCAGCATATGGGCGTGGAACGTCCAGCTCTCAACTCTTTTGTTTCCTAGTTTACTGACAGTTTTTTTAATGAGTCTTTATCATATTGGACTTAATCCGGTGTTTTTCTTTATCTATTCAAACAATCATTTTTTCATCTTCTTTAAACTTTATTGGCGAATTACATTGCTTGTTAAAAATGTTAACCAATTTGGCCGGGCACGGTGGCTTACGCCTGTAATCCCAGCACTTTGAGAGTCCGAGGCGGGTGGATCATGAGGTCAGGAAATCGAAACCATCCCGGCTAACACGGTGAAACCCCGTCTCTACTAAAAATACAAAAAAAAAAAAAAAAAATAGCCGGGCGTGGCGGCGGGCGCGGTGGCGGGCGCCTGTAATCCCAGCTACTCAGGAGGCTGAGGCAGGAGAATGGCGTGAACCCGGGAGGCGGAGCTTGCAGTGAGCCGAGATTGCGCCACTGCACTCCAGCCTGGGCGACAGAGCAAGACTCCGTCTCAAAACAAACAAACAAAAATGTTAACTAATTTCGAGTTCTTAGGATCAACCTCACTTGGTTATGATGTTTTATCTCTCTTATTCAATTTTGCATTTGAGTTGCAGTTTGTTTATAATTTAGCGTAAGTATGGGGATATTGACCTGCAGATTTATGTTTCTGTCTGATTTTGTATCAGGATAATGTTGGCCTCATAAAATGAGTTAGAAAGTATTCTCTTTTCCATTTTACGGAGGTTGTTTTGTAGAATAGGTATTACTTCTTCCTTAAGTAGTTTACAGAATTCATTTAGGACAGTTTCAATTATAAACTCAATTTCCTTAATAGATAACAGAGTTATTCAAGTTATATATTTCTCCTGGAAAGGGATTTGTTAATTTTATCATTCTTGAAATTTGTTCATGTTTTCAGATTTATTGTTATAAAATTATTAATAATTTGCCTTTTTTTATTCACCAACTGTTTTATTACAAAAACCAAACCACATTTCAAGAGCTGAAATAAGAAACTTACTATTTATATGTTAAAATGACCAACAAGCATGCTTAAAGGAAAAAAATTTTTAGAAATTGGATTTAAAAATGTTTCCTTCTTTGAAAGCAGTACAGTAAATCCTCACTTAACATCATGGATAGGTTCCTAGCAACTGCAACTCTAAGTGAAACGATGTATAATTAAACCACTTTTTGGTTCTCATCAACAACAAAATGAGATTGAAGGAAGCAGCATTATTTGACGACCTGCTATAGGTCATTTTGCTTGAAGTCACAGTTTCCAAGAACCTGTTGACGATGTTAAGTAAGGACTTACTGTTCTTATATCTTAACACAGTTATTTATGCATGCACGTGTAATATGTAATTCTTATATATTCAATACTTGTTATATAAGAAATTAAAAGAATAAAGTTATATAAGAAATTAAATGCTAGGTCTATTCTCAGCCAACATCCCCCTCAATTCCACTCCACAAGCATATGTCCCAATATTGGGAATATCTTGCCATGTGGAAGATAAATCTAACATTTAAAAATACCCAATTTTGGCCGGGCGCCTGTAATCCCAGCACTTTGGGAGGCCGAGGCGAGCGAATCATGAGGTGGGGAGACAGAGACCATCCTGGCTAACATGGTGAAACCCTTCTCTACTAAAAAAAATACAAAAAATTAGCCGGGCGTGGTGGCAGGCACCTGTAGTCCCAGCAACTCGGGAGGCTGAGGCAGGAGAATGGCGTGAACCCGGGAGGCGGAGCTTGCAGTGAGCCGAGATCGCGCCACTGCACTCCAGCCTGGGTGACACAGCGAGACTCCATCTCAAAAAAAAAAAAAAAAAAAATACCCAATTTTATAAAGCATGGCCCCTACATACCACACAACTTCTTCTTTTGTTGCTCAACTAATGAATCAGTAATTGATTCTCCAGCAGAATCTAAGTTGCAGTTGCAGTTGCAATCCAATTGCAGTTGCAATCTAGTGGCAGTTTCTAAGAACTTATCCATGATGCTACCGAGAACTTACTATACTCCTAGAGTCACCTAACCCTCTTGAGGGTTCTTTTAACAGTCCTGTTGGAGAATCAATTACTGATTCATTAGCTAAGTGGTGACTCAGACTGGTCACCTTTATTTTTCTGAGATCCTGTGGACATCACTGACAAGGTTCCTATACAAGCTTCCTTCCTAGCATTACCCAAGTGTCCCCATGCTCCCACAGAGCCACTTAAAGATAATTGTTTAGTCTCTTCAGACTGTGCTTTTTGCCTTTAAGTATGCCTTATAATTATTCTGTTGAAAGGCAGAAAGGATGTACTAGATAAAAGGAGCTATAGTAAGTAGGCCTCTAGTGACGTAGTGGTAAGATGTGGGTAGGCAAGCATTCTATATCCCTACGGTTAGGTCTCAGTCTTTTGGTAAGCCTGCACCCCTGGACTGTGAATTTTGCAAGTATTTCTCAGCATTCCCCTCCTCATTAGGTAGGATAGAATGGCTGGAAGGGGCTGAAGTTGTGAGTTTTCCTTTCCCCAGGTAAATTAGGCTCTGATATAGCCCCAGTAGGTTAGGCTCTGGTAAAACAGTTTCTCCTAGGGCAGGCCTTGTTAAGAACAGAATGCTTTAATATATTTCAGAATGGTTTCTTTCTTTTTTTAATTTTTTTGTTTGTTTTTTTCTGTCCACTGGAAGTATAAGGGGATATTTTCTGATATTCACTCTCAGACCTAGTAGAGCTCCTGGGGACACAATTCACAAAATTATTGGGATGACTGAGCGCTTATTTCAGCTCTCAGTATAACTGGGCCCCCCTGGACATTTTAAATCACAGAGTTGTTCACACTGAGACTCCAGCAATTTGTCACTTAAAGTTCGGGTCTTCCTACTCCTGCACTGACTCCCTCAGAGTCTTGTGCTTGTGGGTTTCTGCTTTCGTAACTTCAGATTGTCTGTATCTTTCTTTCCAATATGGGAGGCAATGGTTTGTCATGTGACCTCACATCTCTGACAAATCTAAGCAGAGTTATTCATTTTTCAGTTTGTTTAGCTTTTTACTTGTTTTGGGGATGGAATGACAACTTCCAAGCTTCTCATTTGCTAAACCAAAACCTGGAAGCCTTTATTATAATTTTAATATCTGTATTATCTGTATTATCTATAGTGATGTCACCTCTCTTATTTTTGTTACTGATAAGTTTGGTCTTACCTCTTTTCTTCCTAATCAGACTGACTAGAATTTATCAATTTTTAAAATTTTCTTAAAGAATAAGCTTTTGCTTTTATTTTCTCTACTTTTCATGTTTCATTGATTTCTACTCTGAAATTTATGATCTCCATTTGTCTGATTACTCTGGGTTTAGTTTGCTCTTTTCTTCTAAGCTTTTAAAGCAGGTCCTATTTTCACAGAACACCACTTAGTCAAATGCTCATTCTATATTTGTGTAAGTCTGATCCAATAGCTCTATGTCCATGTTAGTGTTCTTTAGTTTATTAACCAACTCAGAAGTAACATGAATGCAAAACAATTCCCAAGTGAAGGCCATGTTTTCTCAATTTGGAAAGTAAATATTGCCCTTCTATGAGTACAGCTAAACCTTAGACAAATTTCTTCCTAATTGAAGTGAAGGTGAAACAAGTTATTACACCTTTTCTAATAGTAATTTTCTATCTCTTCTGCTCTAAAAGTACTGACTAATGAAAAATTTATTCTTCTATTGACATTTTGTTATAAGTTCTTAACTGAATACTCACTTCAGCCAACCTGAATCTTTGGTTTTCTTAATAGGCTTATATTAATAAACTAGAAATTTGGAAAATAATTTCAAAATTACCCACTTAATTTCATGCAACAAAGCAAAAATGATTACATAATTCTATAGAACCAAAAAGCCTGAAATCATAGAACTTTTAACCATAAAAACTAAAAAAATATATCTTTTTCTCAAAAAGTTATACAACAATGAATAGGTTAAGACCAAAAAGTGAATTCCTCTATGGTCCAAGAAGACTGTCTGTGGAGAACAGGTACTCTAGAGCACAGTGTCCCTGCTCCGGGGTCACAGACCAGCACCTGTCTCTGGCCTGTTAGGAGCCAGGCTGCACAGGAGGAGGTAAGTGGCAGCCAGAGAGCAAAGCTGAGCTCTGCCTCCTGTTAGATCAGCAGTGGCATTAGATTCTCATAGGAGCTCAAACCCTATTGTGAACAGCAAATGCAAGAGATCTAGGTTACGCACTCCTTATGAGAATCTAATGATAAATGTAATGCACTGGAATCATCCTGAAACCATCTGTGCCCCCTGCCCCATGTCTGTAGAATAATTGTTTTCCACGAAACCAGTCCTTGATGCCAGAAAGGTTGGGGACAGCTGCTCTAGAGAACTATTTTCTTCCACACATATTTGTATTTATTTCAATATTCTATCCAGATGATTTTGTTCCATCACACAGGCCACTAGGTTCTAAAATTATTAGAGAGTTTACAACTTATTACTTGTGTATTTCTTTTGCCTACCCATTCCTTCTTCCTTTCTCCAAGAGCTCCAGAAATGTAGACTGTAGTGCTTAGTTTCCAGTGACAGCTTCCAAGAATTCTTCTCCATCCTGTTTGTGCACGCCACTCTTGACGTCAAGTAGTACAGTTTGTTTCTCCTTTCTTTGACTCCGGTCTGCCTTAAAACTTGCTTTGGCAAGTTGAATACAGTGAAACGATGTTTTGGGACTTTCAAATCTAAGCCTTAAGATAGCTGAAAGTTCCCATTTTCCACTTTTTGGAACCCAACTGACAACTGCAAGTAGCCCAAGTCACAGGGTAATGCCAAGAGGAGGAGAACAGAAGTGCTCCTGTTGAAAGATTCCACTGAGCACCCAGCCAACTGCAAGCCAAGTGAGGAGCCATCTTGAAGCTTGTAACTCATTTGCTTCCCCAGATGACTTGAAGTAGAAGAACCATCCAGCAGAGTTCAGTCAACCCACAGACTTGGAAGAAATAAGAAAGTGGTTGTTGTTTTAAGTCATTTGAATGATTAGAATTATTATACAACAGTAGAAAGCTAAAGTATAGGGTGACAGAATATATGGTTTTAAATTTTCTTATTATTAGGGGGGCTTGAAATAAACATTCTAAAAATTCTGCTTCATCCCTCACAAATAAGTTAAGAAAAAAAACTATATTGATATTTTTGAGAGGTCAAACATAGGAGATTCTTTATGAAGAAGTTAATATTTTCCATGACTATCTGTACATTGCCAGGATTGTAGGACATAGCGTGAAAGAAAAGATAGAAGGAAAAGGCCATAAAGTTAAGATTAAAACATTTGGCTTCTATGAAGGTAGTTTTGTTGCCTAGGAAAGTACATAATATATTTACACATATATAGTAACAAAATACATTTAGGGCTTTTATTGTCTTTTCTAATATAATCAGCACACTTATTAGTAGGATGAATCAAAAGTAATATGACAAAATTCAGAACTATTTTATTTACTTTAGTCAAGGAATAATGAGAAGGGGGAAAAACCCTAAAATATTAGAATGACCTGACTTTTTGCAAGAAAATTTACATTCAAAAAATGTCTTCTTCATAACTGATTACAATAGCTACTTATAATTTGCTAAATTATTGGAAGAATATGAGAAAGAAGTGATGCTATGCAGAATATAGAATATTTTGGAAAACACCAGGAAATAATAAAATAGCCCAACATAAACTAATTAGAACTGAAAACATCCATCTAATCATGATATACTGTGCATGACAATATAAAATGAAATGACTTAAAATTTCAGTGTGACTTTTATGAGACTGAGAGATCAATATTAAGCTAATAAGAGGTCCACAGAAAGGAAACAGGGTAAGACTTCTAACGAATCATTTCCTTTAGACTTGCTGTGTACATTGTACTTACTTTAGTAAATAATTTGTCAGTCTCATATGTAAGTTATTTCTGACATAGACTAGCAGCATGTGGGCACGAAACATCCAATTCTAAAATCTTTTGGCTTACAGTTCTGGTGGAGAGGTAAGTGAAGTTTACCAAAGCAGTGAATTGTCATTAAGCTAGAGGAGATGTGAATCTGAACAAGGAAAGCAGACTCACAGTAATCATAGTGGAGTGTTTTATGGCATGGATAAGACATAAGGGAAAAAACAAACAGCCTGCCCATCCATTTGGACACTACTACCTTTAGAAAAAATTATCAGAGAGCTTGTGAGAAAAATTGGCAGGGCTGTGAAACGTGGTTTGGAGAAACCACTGTTCAGCATAAATCTAAAGTATCTAAAATAAAAAAAGTGTCTGTGTTTAGCTCTGCTAACCAAAACTTTGTAAATGTACATGCATTTTGGCCTACATATCCTATTTCAAAGATTTAACCCAAGGGTATACAGGCAAAATCTTTTCAGAATGTCTGCATAAAGATATTTATTGCAACACTTTTTGTAATAATATTTTTAAAAGACATAAAGTGGTGTCCATCAGTAAGGAGCCTTAAAAATAAATTATAGTATATACTTAAAATGGAATAAAATTAGTCATAAAAATAATAAGATTGGGTTGTATGTACCTATGTGGAAATATATCCAAGACCTTAATTTTAGGAGCAAAAGCAAAATCCTGGAACATAGAGTATAATCTTTTGTGGGGAGGGGGAATGTGAGAGAATATATAAATAGATGCATCTGTTTGGGCACACACATTGATTTTCTAAGTGGAAACTGAATAATAAATTTCTAATGGTGTTTACCTTTGGGAAGTAGGACTAGGTGGAGTAGAGAAGGCATCACTTTCATGTTATACTTGCATATATTGGTTCAATATTTTGAACTTTAACTTGTATTAATTTTTTAATTAATAAAAGCTGATACTAACCAGGTTCACTGTGCCCATATGAAGAAAGCGATCACTGTGATGCTTGGTTTTGCAAAAAAGAAAAGGGTTAGTCACAAGCAAGGAGGAGGAAGAACAGCTCTCAAACCTGCCTCCCTGAAGATAGGGCTTAAGGATATTTATGGGTTAGAGAAGTGGGGTGGTCTAAGGTGTGGAGAAAGGTGTTTGGCAGTAGGAAAAAGCAATCAGTGGTCTATGCAAGCCTAATCGGGATTTTAGCTCTTAACAAGACATATGTTCAGAAAATGGCGGCCTTATCATGATCTGAGGATGAAGTTTTTGGCCCTCCGATATTGAAAGGTCAACTCCTGGGCATTTCTGCAGGCCCAATTGAAAGGTCAGTGGTCTCAACTGGATTAAGCTGAACAGGAGCGGCCCCAAGTTCCTCAGAAACAACATAAGTGACAATCTCCATGGTGATGGTAATAATACCATATATTATTAATATATTACCTTCACCATAGTATAATATTTATACAAATGAATGTTATCTATAAGAAATCCAGGGAAGGTTAAGTTACAGCAGTCATTGGTGGTGCTTTCAGCTACATGGGTAAAAAAATATTTTAAAAATAAAATAAAAAGCAGATGACCAAAAGCAAGGGAAGGTTAAATTTGGCAGACCTAATGAGATTAGCCCCTGGGTTTCAAAGCTATCTGGTAGGGAACAGGGACAATATCTCTTCTTTGAATTAACTATATTTAAAAAGACTGTGTTAAATTAAATATACAAATAATGCTTCACATTTTTAAAGACTTTTCAAAATATCTTCCTGGCTTTAATTCAGATTTTTCCTACAAAAATACCATATATTTAACTTAAGCTGGCCTCAGAATATTTGACATGACTCCTTAGAAAGAAGTTGAAGAAGGCTTCAATAAAACATCTCTTTCATCTTTTGAAACACTTATTATACATTCTACTATGTATAAAGCACTATGTAACCATTGAATGTAACATTTGATCTGGGTTTTCAAGACTACAAATGCATTTTCTAGGAGGTAAATATGAGAAAGATCATTTTAGATAAAACAAGGTCCATGAAAGGATATTCTAGGTTCAAGAAGCAGCGCATTCAGTATAATTATACAGGGTGCAGTCATGAGTGAGGAAACCAAGAAGGTAACTTATGGTTACACTTTCAAGTGTCAGCAATACAATTTTAAAAACGTTTAGACATCTTCATTTAGTTACTGATTCATTCATTCAATAAATACGTATTGTACGCTTATCCTCAGTTTTGGTTTCAGAAAAAAAAACAGATTTTGAGACAAGAATGTATGAAAGTAGTTCATTTAGGACATGATTTTAGGACACATTGCAAAGGAATAAGGAGATGTAAAAGAGAAGAAGGGAGAGCCAGTAAAGCCTGTGGCAATCTTTGGTGACAGTTGAAACAACTAGGGTTCAATTTTCCTCAAGAACCCTCAGACAGATGGTGTGGAAAACACTTCACGATTGTTTCACCAGGGGTCTAGAATGCTCTGAAACTTAAATAAATATTTGTGTATCATTTAAAAAAGAATATATAAATGGATATAGTGAATTATAAGCAAAAAGTAAATGCATGGGAATGATCAGTGAGAGAAAGAAGAATTTAAAATAAGAGAACCAAAAATAAAATCTCATGGAGTCCTAAAATTTAATGTGTATACTGAGAAGATAATGCCAGTGAAAAAAGATAAAGATAATCCTAAACCTAAAGAATATGGCAAAAGTAGTGTTATGGAAATCTGCAGAAACCTCAAGGAGAATGTGATCAATAACAATCACCATTAATGTACTAAATATCTGTTAAATGGCCACTAGGTGTTAGATGTTGTTAGAGCAATTAAGGATACAATTAAAAACAAGTCATGCTTGCCTCCTCGTAGGTTTTTCTGGAAGGATGCACCCAGAAATACAGTTCTATCAAGGAACATAGATCTTTAAGTAGAACAGCTCAGGAGACCAAACAGAATCCAGACAATGTAGGGAAAGTTAATGCCCAATAAGGAGCCAATAGACTGAAGAAAATGAAGGGATCATAGTGCTGAATGTCTTATGAGATCAAACAGCGTTGGATATTGAGTATTGAGATACGTGGAAGATTGCAAGCAGTAGCCAAATTTATCCCCTCATATATAGTCTTGAAATATGTGAAGCAAAAATGTAACAGAACCAAGAAAATTATAAACATACAGGACCAAAAGCATAATTTTCAGGGTGTAGGGCAAAATGAAAATGTGGGGCACCTACGTTAAAAATCTTCTAAGAATTTCAAGATGGCTATTGCAGAATATTAAAGCAATCATGGGTCCTGCTAAGTATGGGGTCCTGTGTGACTGTACAAATTGTATGCCCATGAAGACGGTCATGTGGTTATTCACATAGTCTTGATATATATAAAGGAAAAATTTGACAGAACCAAATGGAGGAATTGACAATTTAAGTCTCACAGATATTAACATGTAGCTCTCAAAGTCACTGAACCAGCCCATGGTTCTAAAGAACGTGGAAAATTTTAAAAGGTTGGTCTGAAGATATTTATATAAAACCTACACTCAACAATAATAGAATACACATTCCTCTCAAGCAAACATTATGTATTACAAAACTTGGCCATATTTTAAGAAATCCAAATTCTAAAGGTTTGTTATCATATCAATCATATTCTCTGACTAAAATGCAATTGACTTAAGCCTAAACAATGAAACTATCACTTAAAAACCATAAAGTTAGAAGTGTAGAAACTCATTTAACAACTCCTGGAATAGTAAAACAATCCATAATTGAATAAACATAATTAGAACTAACTGAGTATTAATACACTTCATATGTAATATTATAAAAAGTAGGAATTGTATAGCCTTACAGGAAACATGTAGTCATACGAGCTTATATTATGGAAGAAGAAAGGCTGTAAATCAATGAGACAAGCATCCCACTTAAGATATAAGAAAATAATATAATAAAACCAAAGAAAATAGTTTAAAAAATAAATTAAATATAAACAAAAAATATAAAAGAGAAGACTAACAGAACTGTAAGTCAGCACTTGGGGAAAAAATGAATAAAATAGGAAAATTTGAGAAGATTGACCAAAAATAAGAGAGTAGGCAAAACATATAGAAAAGCCAAAGAAGAGGACATGGAGATACAACAAATTAAAGACACATTAAAACTGATAAAATGTTATGAACATTTAATCTCTATAAGTTAAAGCCCTATATAAAGTGAATAATTACTTAGAAAAATATATTTCAAAGAATTATTCATTGTCCTAAACCCACTTAAGGAATTGAATTGATACTTCATAATCTGTGTCTACTGGTCCCATTTTTAACACTTTATTTAGGTATATTTACATTCACATATAAAATTCAACCATATGAAGTGTATAATGTAAGGGTGTTTATTATATTCACAAAGTGAACTAATGACATTGAAGATATTTTCATGTGTTTGTTAGTCGTTTCTGTATCTTTTTTCTTGATGGGGGAGACTTTTAGTCAATGATCCATGTTGAATAAATATTTTGAGTATATAATGAGGAAGAGTTGTAACATCATTCTTTTGCACAGGGATATCCATTAGTCTCAGCACCATTTTTTGAAGACTATCCTTTCCTCATAAGTTTTTGTCACCTTTTAAATCATCAATTAGTCCATAAGTATAAGAGGAAAATTCTATACCTTTTCTATTTCATTGACCTATATGGCTATACTTATGCCACTATCACACATCTTGATTACCGTAGCTTTGTCATAAGTTTTGAAATTGAGAATGGTGAGTTCTCCAAATGTGCTCTTCTTTTTTCAAGATTATTTTGACTAATCTGGGTCTCTTGCATTTTTACACGAAATTTAGAATCAATTTCTCAAAAAACTCTGGCTGGAATTTTGATAGAAATTTATTGAATCTATAGAATCTATAGCTCAAGTTAGGAAGTATTGCCATCTTCTGATACATGCACAAAGGATGCTTTTCAATTTATTTAGATTTTCTTTAATTTCTTTTAGCACTGTTTTGTAATTTTCATTGTAAGTGTCATACATTTCTTTTGGTAGGCTTATTCTTAAGTATTTTATTATTTTTGATGCTATTTTAAATGGAATTGTCATACTTATTTTTTAATTTCCTTTTCAAATTGCTCACTGTTAATATTAGTCATATTAATTATAGAAATACAGTTGATTTTTATATCTTAATCATGTAACTTGAAAACTTGCTAAAATTGTGCATCAGTTCTTAGAAAGTTTTAGTGGATTTTTTTCTATATACATGTTTTTGTCATCTGCTTCTTCCCTTCCTATTTATTTTATTTCATTTTCTTACCTAATTTTCCTGGCTAAATCTTCCAACAAAGTTGGATTGAAGTGGTGGGAGTGGCCATCCTTGTTCTGTCCCTGCCCTTAGGTGAAAACCTTTTAGTCTTTCACTATTAACTATGATGTTGGCTGTCAATTTTTCTTAGTTGTTCTTTGTTAGGCTGAGGAAATTCTCTTTTGTTCTTATTATAGTTTGTTGAGAGATTTACTGTGAAAGAGTATTGGATTTTATCAAATGCTTTTTCTGCATCAATTCTTATGGGCATGTAATTTTTTTCTTCTATTCTATTAATATGACCTATCTATTGTTTTTGAATATTAAAACAGCTTTGTATTACTGAGATAAATCCCACTTGATTATGCTGATAATACTTTTCATATCATTTTGAATTTGGCTTGCTAGTATTTTGTTGACAATGTTTGTGTTTATATACACATTTATTTGCTTTTACAGGTTAAACCTCCCAAACATCCTAAGAGAATATCGTTTAACTCATTCACATTATTTTATAGAATCAGCATATATTCTTCTAGTAATTTTATGAGGCTGGGATAACCCTGTTGTAAAAATCAAGTAAGGATATAAATAGAAAAATAACAAGGCAATCTTAATTATCAAGACAGTTATAAAAATCCTACATAAAGTTAGCAAATAAAATCTAGCAGTGTAAAAATTATTGATATAGCATGATTATATTAGGATTATTTAAAGCACACAAAAAAGGTTTTGATTTAATAAATAAATCTGACTGTTGGTGCTGGCCAAGATGGAAGAGGCCCATTCCTCTCAGGTCTTCATTCTTACAACTAAAATATTTTGGAAATAAATGGGATCCAACTTTTACAATGCAATGCACAATGCACAAAATGCCCAGGATACAATGGCAGGTCAATTATTACACCAAGAACCAGGAAAATAACTGCCGTGATCAAAGAAAATCAATAGATACCAACAATGAGATAATTCAGATGTTGGAATTATCTGACAAGGATTTTATAGCAGCCATCATAAAAATTTTCCAACAAGCAATTTAAAACACATTGAAAGAAATGAAAAATAACAGAAAGGCTCAGCAAAAAACAGAATTTCTTTAAAGACTAAGACAAATTTATAGAACTGAAAACTATAATAACTAAATTTTTTAAAAAACATTAATAGATGGACATAATAGCAGCAAAAATATGGTAGATAAAAGAATCAGTGAACTTAAAGATAGAATGACAGAGATTATCCAAACTTAATAATAGAGAAATAGAGTAAAAAATGAACAAACTCTCAGTTACCCGTGGGACAATAACAAAAGATCTAACATGCATATCATTGAAGTACAGAAGGAAAGGAGAAAGAGTTTGAGACTGAAAAAAATATTTGAATAAATAATGACTAAAAATTTTCCAGATTTAATGAAAAGTATAAACCTGTAGATTCAGATGCTAAGTAAAACCCAAAAAGGATAAATACAAAGACTCTGTGTCAAGACACATCATATTTAAAGTTTTGAACACTAAAGACAGAAAATATCTTAAAATATGTTAGAAAGAAACAATGTACCAATTTCCATGGGAGATTAGTTCCAGGACCCATGGATGCTCACGTCCCTTATAAAAATGGCATGGTATTGTGTATAACCTATGCACATCCTCTCGTATATTTTAAATCCTCTCTAGATTGCTTGTAATATCTAATACAATGTAAATGCTGTGCAAATTGCTGTCATACTGTTATTTTAAAATTTGTATTATTGTATTATTTTTATTGTATTTTTTTCAAATATTTTTAATCTGCAGTTTGTTGAATCCCTAGGTATGGAACCCGCGGATACAGAGGGACTATATTAGTACTTACAGGAGGACTCCAATTTGAACGACAGTAGATTGCTCATCTGAAATAGAGACCCCAAAGCAGCACAAGATATTTCAAGTGCTGAAAGAATACAAAAAACTAAAACTATCAAATGCAGAGTCTATACCTAGTGAAACTATCTTTCCAGAATGAAGGGAAAATTAGATATATTCTCAAATAAAGATAAGCTAAGATAATTTGTCCATAATAAAATCTATCATTAAAGTAAGGCAAAAGGAAGTTCTTCAAGAAAAGGATAACAGAACTGAAACTTCAGAAAAGAAAAAAAAAATTGGTAAAATTGGGATAAATATATTAAACAATTCTCATGAATTTATTAAATAATATTTGATTGTTGAAGCAAAAATTATCTGATGTAACATTTAATGTATATAGAGGAATACTTGAAACAATTATATTTTAAAAGTGGAGCAGATAAAGAGACCTAAACAGAAGTAAGGTTTTCATATTTCATATGAAGTGGTAAAATATTGAGTTTAGTAAATTGTGATAAGTTTCGTTTGTAAATTATAACACTTAGAGCAACCACTAATAAAACCATACAAAATCCTATGCTCCAAATCACAGTTAATTAAATCAAAATCCAATTTTAAAAATAATTAAACAAGCACATGAAATAAGAAAAGAGAAACAGGAAAAACAGAAAACCAATAATAACGGGGCCTTACTATTAGACCCTATTTAATATTATTAAATAAATAATAATATTTAAGCCCTAATGTACTAACAATTACTTTGATTGCAGTGGTCTCAACACATCAATGAAAAATCAGAAATTGGTAAAGTAGATTTTTAAAAAATGATCTAACATTCTACCTGCAAGAAACTGATTCAATATAACATGAACGGCTTGAAAGCATAATGTTGCACGTTTTGTTAGATTTAGATTTAAGTATTTCATTTTATTTGAGGTGGTTGTATTTGCTATTATATTTTAAATTTCAGTTTTCATATTTTTGTAGAAATTTGCTGATTCTTTTTTCTACCTACTCATATCTACTTTTGAGCCTCTCAGGTGAATTTTTCATCTCAGTTATTTTACTTTTCAACTGCAGCATTTATATGTAGTTTCCTATGTACTTGGTGTCTATTTTCTTATTGATGTCTATTTGGTGAGAAAGAGTTCTCTTTCTCTCTTCTAGGTCAGCGGTCCCCAGCGTTTTTGGCACCAGGGAACGGTTTCATGGTAGACGATCTTTCTATTGGTGGGTGCAGGGATGTGGCTGGTTTTCAGGATGAAACTGTTGTACCTCAGATCATCAGGCATCAGTTAGATTCTCATAATGCACAAGCTAGATTCCTCTCATGTGTAGTTCACAATAGGGTTTGCACTCCTATAGGAATCTAATGTCACTGCTGATCTGACAGGAGGTAGATCTCAGGTGGCAATGTTTGCTCACCCACTGCTCACCTCCTGCTGTGCAGCCCAGTTTCTAACAGGCCATGGACCAGTACCAGTCCGGGCCGAGTGGGGAACCCTGCTTTAGACATAGTTTTATTAGCTCTTTGAAAACACTTAGAATAGCTGACAACATCTGTAAGTACAATATCTGGGCTTCTTTGGGACAGCTTCAACTGAGTGACTATTTTTCTGTTTATGGGTCATATTTTCTTCTTTTTTTGCATGTTTCACATTTTTGCTGAATACTGAACATTTTAAACCCTATATGTGGCAACTCTGGGGTTTGCTGTTGTCATTGCTTATTATAGTTTTTGTTTGTTCAGTGACTTTTCTGAACTAAATTTGTAATGTCTATATGTTTTGTCACGTGTGGTACTTAGATCTTCCCCTAGCTAGTTCAATAGCAAGCTAACAAAGATTGTCCTAATGCCTGGAATGAAAAAGTCTCCCAGTCTTTGCCAGGGGTTCTGTATATCTGTTGGGGCATGTAATTAACACTCAACCAGGCAGTTGACAATTCTGTATTACCTTTCTCTTCCTGCTCGCACAGAGCCTCAAAGTCAGTGAAGGTGAGAATGTAGGGACTTCTCTGGCCATTTGGGTACATATGCACAGCCCTGAGCATGCGCACAGCCTTATGCATGCACACAACCTTATGTGTGTGTGTAGTCTTTTAGATACTCAAAAATATGTTGGAGCTTTTCAAAGTCCATATGAATATTTCAGTTTTCAACTATTCTGCTCAAGTTTTTTGATTTGTCTATTTTTGCCCAACCGTTATCCACCACCTCAAGCAGTCATGAAGTTAAACACTTTCTTGTAATTGTTTTCACCAAATGTCTCCTGGGGAAAAGCTTGAGTCAGATCAAATATGAATAGCCTTGCAAATGGGGTCTTCTAGGTAACCACCTGACTGGTAAAAGAATAATTCTGGCCGGCGCAGTGGCTCACACCTGTAATCCCAGCAATTTGGGAGGCCGAGGTGGGCAGATCACGTGAGGTCAGGAGTTCGAGACCAGCCTGGCCAATGTGTTGAAACCACGTCTCTACTAAAAATGCAAAAATTAGCTGGGCTTGGTGTCTGGCACCTGTAATCCCAGCTACTTAGGAGGCTGAGGTAGAAGAATTGCTTGAACCCAGGAGATGGAGGTTGCAGCAAGCTGAGATCGTGCCACTGCACTACAGCCTGAGTGACAAAGCTAGACTCTGTCTTAAAAAAAAAAGAAAAAAGAAAGAAAGAAAAAGAAAGAAAGAAAGGAAAGAAAGAAGGAAAGAAAGAAGGAAAGAAAGAAAGAAAGAAAGAAAGAAAGAAAGAAAGAAAGAAAGAAAGAAAGAAAGAAAGAAAGAAAGAAAGAAAGAAAGAAAGATAGGTTGGGAATGAAGCTTTGAAAGGGCCCTAACACTACACAGCAGTTATTTTTCAAGGCTACCACAGAGTAGTGGAAAGTGGGAGATGGAACTAAGGCATGTTAAAATGCAACAAAACTCTCAATTTTTATCAAGTTTCGCCATTTATCTTGAAAAAAAATGCTCACTTGGTTGCTGCAAGCCTTTGGTTAATTTCCAAAGTCCGGAAAAAGTTGGTTCTTACAATGTCTCCAGTTATCTCATTGCTTTTATGGAAGAGAGAGTTTTTAGTGAAACATACCCCACATATTGCTGACATCCTGTACATCTGTTCATGATGTAATCTCTTACAGTAGGAACTAAAGAAAACATTTTTATTCTGCTAAAGGACATTGGTAGCAAATATCTGTCCTTCTGGTGAAATATTGAAAACAACATATTCAGAATCAGAATCAAGACTGCCCACTGTCATCAAAACTACTGACATTACTAGAATTATTAGCTTCAAAAACAAGAAAAGAAAAATAAAATTACAGCATACACAATTTGGAAAGCAAGCAACAAAATTATTATTATTATAGTCATTCAATAAAATTACCTACATAGAAACCCAAAAGATTCCAGTGAAAATGAATTAGAATTATTAAGATAGATTAACAATGATGCTGAGTACTAAATCAATACACAAAATAATTTTGCATTTCTACATACAAATAACAACTGTTTAGGAAATTTAATAAGAAGAAACATACTGTCAAGCTTATATAAACAAGGCAGTGTAGTACACAGATAGACAAAAGTAATCAATGGGTAGAATGAGAGTCCAGAAATAGCCCCACAATTACATAGTCAGTTAATTTTTGATGAAGTTGCCAAAGCATTTCGATGGGGAAACGTGAGTCTTTTCAACAACTATTGAAGGAAACATGCAAAAGTAATCATTGTATATGTTTATTTGACCCCTACTAAACACCATATACAAATATTTATTTGAAATGAATGAAGGGTTTGTATTTAAGAGAGAAAACTATAAAACTACTAGAAGAAAACAGGAGAATATCTTCACAGCTGTAATGATAGGAAAGTGAGGAAAAATTAAATGAAACACAAAAGCACTAACCATAAGAAAAACTATTAAATAAATTAGACTTTGTAAAAATTTTAAGTGTCTACACACCCAAAGACACTGGGAAAGGCTCAACAAAACCTCTTGCTAACTATTCTACCTTAGTTAAAGGTTTAAATATCTGGTAGAATACTCTCTCCCCCACTTCTTTTCCACAAGTCTCTTGGCTGTTCTCTACTTTTGCTATTTCATAAAAATCCTAAAATCAGCTTGTCTAGTTTTCTCAAAAACAACAATCCCAGAAAACAAAAAATCCAATTGGTACTGGAATTGCTCTGAATTAATCCAGTATTTTTTGAAGAATACAAACTTGACTAAATTGGGTGTTCCTATCCAAGTATCTGAATATTTCTTAACTTCTTTGGGTTTTCTTTACTATCTTTCAATAAAATATGATATTTTCTTAAGGGGTTTTTCAATTGCAAATGTCCTTTTTTTAACTTTTATCTATTTCTTTAAACATTTAAGTGTAATTTACTTACAGTGAAATGTAAGCATATCATTCCGTGACTCCAGTGAAATGTAAGCATATCATTCCATGCAGTGAAAAAGATAAACTGCAATATATTAATATGAAATAATTCTATATGACAGTGAAAAATAAATGATTAGAACAGGGGCCAACACAAGCTTGAGGCCAAATTGAGTCCACCACCTATTTGTTGTAAATAAAAATTTATTGGAACATGGCCATTCATTTATATATTATCTATTTCTTCTTTTGTGCTGAAGTCAGTAATAAGTAATTGTGACAGAGACTACATTGCCCTGAAAGCCTAAAATATGTCCTATCTGACCCTTCATAGAAAAACTTTGCCATCACGTGCTCTGGAACAATGCATATTCACACAAATGAAGTTCTAAACAGTAATATTGAGCAGATAGGTATATATCAGAGAAAAATGTAATTTTATTCATGTAGGTTCAAAAAAGACAAAGTTTTATTGTCAGGCAGGTGTACACAGGTAATAAAACTGTAAGGAAAAGTGAAGAAATGAATAGAACAATGTTCAGGTTTGCAGTTACTTTTGAGGATAAAAGAGAATTCCCTCAGGTAAGTGAATTCAGGCTTCTCTGACACTGAACATGGTTTACGTCTTACAATGGTCTATCAATGTATGGTTGTTCATTTTATTATTCCTTAAATTCTGCCTTTAGAGTTTATATTTTTTCATACACAGGATATATTTAAATAACTTTTTTTTTTTTGAGACGGAGTCTTGCTCTTGTGCCCAAGCTGGAGTACAGTGACGTGATCTTGGCTCACTGCAACCTCCACTTCCAGGGTTCAAGCGATTCTCCTGTCTCAGCCTCCCAAGTAACTGGGATTACAGGCACCTTCCATCATGCCCAGCTAATTTTGGTGTTTTCAGTAAAGATGGGGTTTCACCATGTCAGCAAGGCTGGTCTTGAACTCCTGACCTCAGTTTATCCTCCCACCTCGGCCTCCCAAATTGCTGGGATTACAGGCGTGAGCCACTGCACCCGACCTTAAAAAGTTATTAAAGTATTTATAACTTTTTATAACGTTAAAAAGTTATTGATTTATAACTTTTTATAACCTTAAAAAGTTATTGATTTATAACTTTTTATAACTTTATATAACTATATATATAAGTTTAAACTTTTATAACTTTTTAAGATCGGGTGCAGTGGCTCACGCTTGTAATCCCAGCACTTTGGGAGGCTGAGGTGGGCGGGTCACCTGAGTTCAGGTGTTTGAGAGCAGCCTGGGCAACATGGTGAAACCCAGTCTCTACAAAAAAAATACAAAAATTAGCCAGCTGGGGTGGCACATGCCTGTCGTCTCAACTATTTGGGAGGCTAAGGCTGGTGGATTGTTTGAGCCCGGGAGGCAGAGGTTGCAGTAAGCTCAGATTGCGCTACTGCACTCCAGCCTGGGTGACGGAGTGAGACCCCATTTTAAATAATAATAATAATTTTTTAAAAGAACTCTAAAACTTTATTATTATTTTAATGCACACAATTTTACATATATATAATTTGAACACAGAGCTATCTCACAATTGCTGATCAGTTTTCATGCTAAGGTTATATTGAGTACATACCATGTACCTAACTTATCTCATTTCTAACTCCCAACATGAAATAAGGCAGAAACTATTAAATCCCTGTTGCATTAGTGAAAAAACTGATGCAAAGAGAATGGAAGTAACTGGCTCAACGTCAGTCAGTGAGTTGTCTGTATTTAATCAAAAGTCTCTCCGACTTCAGTGCCCAATATTTTAAACACAAGAGAGACTGCCCATTAAAAATACAAATGCACAGAATTATTCCAATTTGATATTTTTAACTTATTGTTTGCTACTTCATGGATTCCACATCTGGATAATCCTATCCTCTGTCAGGAAAAATTATCTGTAATTTTATCAATCAGAATTTGGCAGTTAATGAAGATAACATTATGTAAATAGCAAACATTTAGCAATCAAAATACTAAATAAAATATGAGAACCTAAAAAAGAATTAAGAAAGTGTATTTTGAGTTTCAAGGTAAAGCCTTGGATCACGGAAAACTAAGATTATATTTTGATTCTTCAGTGAAGTGTTTAAAAGAATGCCTTAAATAATATTACTGGGAAATACACATAAACAGTTATTTATTTTACTACTTGTACGTTTTCATACAGCAGGTGTCTGTTTTCCCTATACAGTGTAGTATCTTCTTTTCTCATCTACCTTCTGAACAGTTCTTTATTCAGCATCTTTTTGACAAAAATCCCTATGCTGTTAGTTCATACTCTCAGTTTCTTCACTGCCAGAGATATCCTATAAATCATACTGGAAGCCAGATTTATTCATTTGTGCGATACTGCATAGCAGAACTTTGAACCCAGAAAGCCACTCACCAGCTATGTGATGTTGGGTGTTCACCTCCCAGTACATGTCATGTGTTTCTTTGGGCTCGCTCTGAGATCCTGTTGCCCACATTGCTCACTGCAGCATCCGGGACCCAACTATAGGTGTAGGCCATTGCCTGCCCCTCTTGGTCTACAATTAGGACACCCCATACAAAATATTGATTCAAGTTCTGAGGAATCCACTTCTACATGTGAGTCTTAAGCATTGTTTTGGAATGCATATATTTTTTAAGTGATAGTGGTGTTTTATTAAAAAAATTCATGTTATACAATTGCAAGTCATAATATTTACATTATAAAATTCTATATAAATTATAAGATACTTTTAGGTTAAGCAGTCAAGAGAAGAGCCAGGCTTGAACTGTGACCTAGAGAGCTCACCTGAATGCACAGATTATTGTGTAGTCAAATAAGTTATTTTGCCTGCCTTAGCAAGCAGTCCAAGGTCCCTCATGATGGCTTTGACCTTAGCTACTGAAATTGATTGTGAAAACAGCTGAAATTTTTCAGTCATTCTGCCTGAAACCTAGCTTATGACTTATTATTGCAGTCATAAATGTTGTAGGTCCAAACAGTTCAAAATAATAAACCTTTTCTCCAGTAGCAAATATTTATGATGATCAGGTGGTGAGAATATTTAGTGTCTGAATGACCACACAGTATAGGACACCAGATAGAACACTGTTATGCAAATCTTAGAGAGATGGTTGAAAAAAGTATAGAGAAGACATGAACCCTATACTTCCAAATCTTACAGTGTCATCCATTGACAGCTAGTTGTGTCAGCATATTTTATCAAGGAGCCTACAAACAATTTGTCTATCTTTTTGACATCATTACCCATGATTCCAAAGCTTCACCCATTACATTTATCTAATTTTTTAAAAAGATAACACTAATGGCTGTAGTCTTTATGCATTTTGTGTGTTTGTGTGTTTATATAGGGATTCACAAAATCAAAAATGATGTGTAGTTGTACCATCTAAACTTTTTTTATTTTTTGAAATTTTGAGTTGAGTTTACATCATGCAATTGAAAATTAGATTGACTCAAATGTGAATAATGCTTACCTAATTTTTGCTTTTGTGTTTTTATCAGTCAACATTTATATAAGGCCTGCTTTCACAATATACTTTTAAGAGATTAAGCTTAAATAGCCAAATAAAACAATAAATTTTATTCAGCTTTAATTAAAATTACTAACATTAATTCTGTGAGATAAGAGGCTAATGAGAGTTACCTAGCAAAGATAAGTCAGCAATGAGGTTAGAGTAGTGGTTTAAGTGTTTAGGCTTTACTGATGTACCAATTCTTGTGAGGTAAACATTTAGAGCAAACACATTTTTGAAAATAATAATAATTCAAATATGGACTTAAACACAGGCTGCAGTAGACTGCATTTGGCTAAGACTCACATGTTGATGGTAAATTTAGGATTTATAGACATTACTTACATTTTCTAAATTTAGAGACTGTCTGCTTCTATTTGATGTATATTGGGCCTATTTGTTTCAAATAAAACTTCATTAAGAACAAACAAAAAATAGAAACCAAGGTTAGTTTAAAAAAGGAGAGTAAAAAGGAAGATACTCAATTTCTTTCCATTAAATCTACAGTAAATAGGTAAGATAAATTAAGGGAAAGTAATGTTCAGTAATCTATGTATTTATTTAAACTGTTTTCTCAGTGTCCAACAAAAGAGATAATTAAATGTGGAGCATTATAAATCCCACCTCTACAGGGATCCTCTCTCATCTAGTTCTGTTACCAAAACACCAGAGGTTCAGTTTAGCTTCTGCTGCTTGCCACACAGAAAGCCAATCACTGAGACAGCAAGTATTGCTAGGGAAGAAGGATTTATTCAGGTACTGCACCCAAGGAGAAAGGGAAGTCAGTCTCAAATCCATCTTTCTGACTGACTAAACTTAGGGGTTTATATAGCAGGGAAGAAATGTAACTATGTGTGGGAAAGCAGGAATTAAGGAAGGGTAAGGAAGAGGAGTTTGTAAACAGGAATTATGATGGATGAAGGGTCTTGCAACTCATTGTCTGGATACAGTGATCTGGTAAGTTTCAGTCCTTTGACATCTGGGAGGCCTATGGGTGGGTTTTCTGAGCAAGGAGCACAGATAAGACAAATGTAAGTCTCAAGATTTCAGACCAGAGGAGTTGGTTTCTATATTTATCAAAAAACACACACACACCCAAACCCACACACACACCCACACACACACACACCAGTAGACATCAGTTCTCTGGGACAGTTGGGACACTTTCTGAGAGATTGATCCAAATAAAGGAGGGTTACACTACCACCCAGGGACTACCCTTTCATTTCCATGCAGCTAATTCTGTCTCTGAGATCTTATGACTTTAAAGAAGCTGAGGATGCGGTGTAGTATTACAATGTCTTTATTGATTTCCTGTCTACTGGATCTGTCAATACTGACAGAGGAGTGTTGAAATCTCCAAACATAATAGTGGATTAATCTACTTCTCCTTATCATTCTATTTGTTTTAGCCTCATGTATTTTGATGTTCTGTTGTTAAGGGCATATATGTTAAGAATTGTTATGTCTTCTTGGAGAATTAAGACTTTTATTATTAAAAATTCCTCCTTTCATCACTGATAATTTTTCTTGCTCTGTAATTGATTTTGTGTGAATTTAATACATGTACTTCAGCTTTCTTTTTATTAAGTGCTAACATGGCATCTCTTCTTTCATTTTCTGCCTTCTCTGAGTATAATTGAGCATTTTATATGATTCCTTTTTCTCTCCTCTTACCATATGAATTATACATCTTTTCTTAGCCTTTTTAGTGGTTGCCCTAGAGTTTGAAATGTACGTTTGTAACTAATATAAATTTGCTTTGACATACCATTTCATAGGTAGTGCAGGTGCTTTTATGGCAGAGTATTCCAATTCCACCATTGCATCCCTTATAACAGTGCTGTCATTCATTTCACTTATACATATGCTATAATTACCCAACACATTGTTCGTGTTACTACTATGAACAAACAACCATCTATTAGATCTGATAAGAGTAAGAAAATAGTTCTCTATTAGATCATATAAAAATAAGATTTTATTTTACTTTCATTTATTCCTTCTCTGACACTCTCTCTTTCTTTATGTAGGTCCTAGTTTCTGATCTATATTATTTCCCTTCTCTCAGACTTATTTTAAAATTTCTCTCAAAACAGGTATGCCGTTTCTTGTTAGTATACCTGTCTTGAGAGAAAGGTCTGAGAAAGTCTTTATATTTCTATTCACTTTGAAGGATAATTTCAATGAATATAAAATTCTAGGTTGGGAGATTTCTTCTTTCAATATGTTAAATATTTGACTCTAGTCTCTTCTGCTTTTATGGTTTCTATCAAAAAGTCTGATATAAATATCCTTATTCTTCTATGGGTAAAATGTTTTCTCCCATGCCCTCTTTCAATAATTTGTTTTTGGTTTAGTTTCTGTCATTAATTTAAAAAAACTCTTAGCCACATAATTTAAATATTTTTTTCTGCTCCTTTCTCTTGTGTGCATCTTCTGGTATTCTCATTATACATATGTTGTACTTTTTGTAATTGTCTCACACTTCCTGGATATTCTAGGGTTTTGTCCCCCCCTTATTTTTTATTTTTTTTGCATTTGAGTTTGAGAAGTTTTTATTGACCTAACTTCAAGCTCATTATTTTTTTCCTTGGCTATATTCAGTGTGCTCATGAGCTCATCAAAGGCATTCTTTATGTCTGTTAGTGCTTTTTATTTTCAGCTTCTCCTTTTTATTCCTTATTAGAGCTCCCATCTCTATGGCTACTTTAACCATCAATTCCTGGACAACATCCACTTTTTCTGCTAAAGCCCTTAGCATATTAATCATAGTTGTCTTAAATTCACAATCTGATAATTCCAAAATATCTGCCATGTCTGGGTCTAGTTCTGTTGCTTGCTTTGTCCTTTAGATTGTGCTTTTCTTACCTTTTATCATGCTTATAATGTTTTTGAAAGTTAGACATACTGTATTGACTAATAGTAACTGAAATACCTAAGCTTTTTAGTGTGTGGTGTTATATTTATCTGGCTACAAGACAGGCTGTGTTTGCTATTCACTGTATCTGTATGTGTCAGAGGCTTCAGTTTCTGTAATATCCTTGCTTTTGTCTCTTTTGCCATCTTTGGGTTTTTCTTTAGGTTTTTCTTCTATAAATAGAATCAGAATCTTTTAGTTTTTTAACTGTAATCCATTCTTATTTTACAGAAGCCTTGTTGATGGGGGCAGTAAGGTATATGGAGAGATTAGATCTCAGTCTTTCAGTGGATGTGTGTCCCTGGGCTGTGAGCTTCAGAAATGCATCTCAGATTCCTCTTCTCTCCCTTGGATGAGACATGAAGACTAACACCTTCCTTCATGCTGGAAATCATTGGGTTCTGATGAAGTTTTTGCATTGCAAAGTTGGCCTTTGTTGTTAACAATGTTCTAGGTTTTCAGAAAATTTTACTTTTTCTTCCCTCTGACCAAACAGGATGGAGTTTTTTCCTGTTCTTCATCTGAAAATCTGGTGGGTTTTATCCTAGAGATAAATCCTAGGAAAGTACAGAAATCTCTCTAGATTAGGCATCTGGGGGAGATTGTAACTATCAAGCTAGTCTATACACACCCTCCGGAATTCCTTGAAGTTTTGGTTTAACTATTCCAATGACTTCTGCTTCTGGCAATCATATTTGTATATAATTCACTTGTTTTTCTAATGTTTGAGGATGTTGTTGGTCCTGTGACTTTAATTCTCTGACAGTTTTTTAAAATCATTTTGGCTTGTTCAGCTTTTTTCTTGTTGTGAGGATGAGTGATGACTTTCAAGCTCTTAGAATGGAAACTGGAAGTTTCATATTGTGTCTTAAAATTTATCTTCTCCAATTCAAGACACCACCCCCTTTTATGCCCTGCACTCCAGTGATTTACCATAAGTTGAGAATTGTCATCTATTCAATCAATTAAAACAAATCTTGACACTTCAGTCATCACAATAACTCAAAATTAAATGAGTGAATTCTTTTATAGTATAAAAATCTAGTTATAAACACCTACATGCATACACACACACACACACATAAGGTGAGCTTGGGCCATCTTTTTGTTTCTGAAAACAAGAATGATACCAAAGATTAATGGAGCCATTTCAAAAGAATGAGAGTCATCACAAAGAGCTTACACTGATCTAAATCGAGAGACTTAGAACATTGAAGAAAATAATGATTGAAATTGATTAAAACATATAAATATATTATAAAAGTTGTAAATTCATTAGTAAAAAAGAAAGAGGGATTCGGGGGATGAGTAGTTAAGGGAAGGGAACAATTCAGTTGGAGATTACTACAGGCACCAACCCATACTCTGAAAATCCACAACAAAATGAATAGTTACAAGCATTTATTTTGGCCTTCTAGAATGAATATTTTAGGCTAGCAGAATAGCTCTAGTAGAAAGAAACTTCTTCGATGTAGAATATTTCAAGAGAATAAATTAAGTATAAATAATAGAATTAGAAAAGCATCACTTTGCAATTTCTAATGAAATAACTGTTTCAAGGACACAAGCAAGGGTTATCAAAGGATAGCAAAGCATGGGGAAAAGTTGGTGGGAAACAACTACATGAGCTGCCATAAGCACATAATCTTGTGGAGTAAGACTTTTAGTGGTTTTAAGTATAAAGATAAAATTGCTTCTACCTAGTTATAAATTCCAGAGCACTATACTCTGATGCTTCTAAGCCAAATAAATTGTACCAATCAGATGCAGCAAGGATTTTATATCACCTCATTATTTTGGTGCTGTAGAAAGTAGCATTTTGAGAAGAATAACTGCAGTGTACTCGATGTACACTCAATCTCCATTATCAATGATTTTTTTCAAAAATCTATTTTTAGTCAATATTCTTAAGATGTTAAATGTAAAAATATGAGTTGAGTTTGCAGGACTTGTGCCTTATGCAATTACAACAACTGTAGCTTGTAATATTTAAGACGTTTTCAAAATATTTTTGTAATTCTGTTTAACAATACAGTTCTCAGTATGAAATTAAAATGGGCAGACCTCCTTTCTTTTGTCAAGTTACTATTTCTGCTACCACAATGGCCCTTTTTTTAGTTGTAAGACCAAGCGTGAGTTGGAACAGACTGATAGAAAATTGCTTTGTGGAGAGAAAATTGCTTTACCTAAAATTTTATAATTTATTTTGCTGATAGGACTGAATGAAATTTTGAGAAAAAAAAAAAAAAAAAAAAAAAAAAAAAAGATGCCCTGTTTATCTTCCTGGGAGAAAAGGTCTTATTTTAAATATTAACTTACCAAATATTTATTGAGCACCCAATAGCCTGGTTTATTGATGGTGATAATTTAGAGTAAAATGCGCATATGAAAGACACGCCAGTACTCTTATTTCAGAGAAATATGGTTATACTGCACCAATAAATGAGTATTTTCATTTCAGTGCAAGTGCATTTGAGTTAGCAAAACATAGTTTATTCTGATCATGTAAATGATTAGATAATCCTTAATTATAAATTATATTCATATTTCTGTCCTGGATCCCCATTACCTGCACAAGAAACCTTTCATCAGTAGCACATCAAATCCTATTGATCCTGATTTTCCTAGGATAGGATTTGAGAGTTCAGAGAATGAAAAGAATGGTGGGGTAGTAGGCCGTTTTTCATGTAAAATTTCATTATTTGCTACTCCTAATTTTGATACAATTTCTGCCCATGAGAACTAATTTTAGATATAAATTCTATCCATAGTTGGCAATGAGTGGTAGCTAGTGAGAAAGGAAGATAATATGATTAGTTAGAAAGAAAAATTATTTTGGAGCATTTTTCTAAACTTCATAATATTTTTAACATTAAAAGTCATTTATTTTATTTTATGTTAATTATTTCCAGTCTGTATTGTAGCCAAACTATGTTTCTGGTAAACCTGAAAATAACTAGCCATAGAGAGGGGTGTAAATATTCAAGATTGAAAGCAGGTTACTCCTTGTCTTTCCAAGGATAGACAGTCCCTAACAAACAATGGATTGACTTTTGATTTTTTGACCATAAGATGCGTTATTGAGGTATTAAATGAATTTTCAAATTATATTTTATACTTACAATGGGTTTATCAGGACTTAATCCCATCATAAGTAAAGGAACATTTGTACAGTGAAATGACTTATGTGACCTAGTGGATCTTACTATTAAAATTGTTGCTAGGTTAGTCATTGTATGGAAGCATTAACCTCCTTTTAATCTAGTTATAGCAAAAAGTTTGTAAATTCTGTAATTTAAATGTATGGTGCAATTGACTTGAGTTAGTTCAATTTAAATAGCTTTAAAGTAGCTTACCTAGAGAGTTATTATAAAATACTTATATAATTTAATGTAGAAGAATAGAATTTCCTCAAAGTGTGCCATAATATTTTCCTTTTAAACTTAAAATATGTATACCCAATTAAGCGGTCCATTAGAATTTTTAATAGACAATAAAAAATTAGTGAGTGCTGCAGAAATTTCAGTCATACATTTACACAATATTAGCATAAAATTGTTTAATGGTGCTCCATGAGCTGAATATCAAATACCTACTTTTAAATGGAGTAATCACAGTCTTATAAAATAGATTCTAAGGACACTAACCAATTGTGTAAATGATGTTGGATTATTTTAATAACTAATATAAATACACATATACCAACTATTCAGGCAAAAGTTTGGTAATATTAAAGGCCTAGAAAATCTCAAAAAAGGTATGTTATTATGAGATAAAGCTAAAATTTGGGGTATTTCCCTATTTGTGATTCCTCTAATATTATTTTAATATGGCTTTAAAATGGTGTGAAGTAAGAATATATTTTGTTCAGTTATTTTTTTCTGAAATATTTGCCATATCACTTAGATGTTATATTCTGTGGTCTTATATTTAAAAACCATATACCATCAATCAATACAGCTTACTCAATTTACCTGAGACATAAATGGAAATGTCTTACAGACTGACAGATACAGATTTGTCAAAACTTCCTGATTCCATTTATGGAAGGAGCCAATAAGTCACAATTTGAGTTTAACCAATTTTTATATAATTTGGACAATGAATAGTTCGTGACTTTAGACATGAATCAATTATGGTCTAAGGAATTTTAACTATAAACATGGCATAAGGAATCCATGCAATTCAACAAACTTAGCAACCATTAATGTAACACATTTATTGTAAAATGTCTCTGCTAAAATGATACAATAAATTCTCTCACAATTTGATTTTCATGACCTTAAAATAATTTAATCAAATTTTATAAACATTATAGCAGAATAACGTGGTAGGTAATATTCGAATTTTGGAATTAGCCAGCGTGTTTCTGATAATTAGTGGATATTAACCCTTGGGAAACAATAAATCTCTTTCAGACTCAGTTTCCTCACTGGAAAACTTGGGTTAATAATGGTACTTAACTAATATGGCTGTAATGAGGATTATTTACATATGCATAATGCACATAAAGTACCTCGCACAGTGACTGGCATATAGCAAACCCTCAGTTATTATTGCTTATTATATGATTTTGATGCCGTCTTTAAGCACTTTAAGGATAAAAAAGATACGAGTAATACTGAAGCAAAATGCACAATAGAATTTTTTTTTTTAGCAAGCATTATCAGCCTTACATAAAGATGATACAAGTGAAAAACTCCACAATTGAATCTTCACTCACTTGACATATTATGCCCTCATGTGGGCTCATTATTTCACCCTGTGATGGTACTAGTCAAATGACTGAACTCATGCCCTGGTTGCAAGAGTGAAAGGATGCATTGTTTATATGAACTATGACACACAGATGATGCTTAGGCACACTCATACTATCTTTTTATCATTCCACACAATGGAACACGAGTCATTTATAAACTGAAACTTGCCTACCACTGAGGATCTTACTCATGATTCCTGTGCAGAAATCCTATGCAACCGAATGTGCTGTGGGAGCAAGCTTGGAAGAGAGAGCGTAACCCCGGCTGGTTAGATTAGGATGCTGCCTAAAGAAGTGGCAGCACCTGTCACACCTTGAACAAGGGTGAGCTTTCAAAAGAAGATAATAGGCAGGAAGGGAAAAATTCACATAGGCAGTGGATTGTGAGTAAAGAAAAGAAGACAACATGTATGTAGAATGGAAATGGAACTTCAGTATAGCTGAACATTGAAAATGGCAACAGAGTGGAATAATAAAGCCTAGAAAAGTAAGTTTGAGATTTGAGAATTCTGTAGTTCATTGACAATAGGCTACATTGGAAAGATTTCCATCAGCAATGGTAAGTGACCAGACTAGGAGACCCTTAGTCACCTGTCCTCTACCAGAAATTACTCTCTAACATGACACAAAATGATTAATTTATACCCTGGAGTGAATGAACTCAACATATTACTTCTCTAGTTGGGAGATGAAAGCTCCATTTTCCTGTTAAGATTAAAGCATTATCAAAGAAAAAATTTTGCCTAATCAAAGATGTTCACAAACTAATAGCCAATATTTGTGAAATTTGTATGAAATTTGTGAATTGCCTTGTGCTAAGAAATTTTATGTATATTATCTTTAGTGCTAAAAATATGAAACATGTATTTTTTTATTTTATCTTCAGCTGAATAAACATATTTAGAGAGGTAATGTAATGTTCCCAAAGATAGCTAATAGTTGCAAACCATAGCTCAAACTGTAGCTTGTCAGAGGCAGAGGCTCATTTAACCATTATATTTATTATCTAGGAGAGATTTTGCATTGGAAGTTTGTTTATAAGTGGATTAAATGGTTTGGTTGTAGAATTAAGATCACTAAATTTGCGTCAAAACCAGATGATTTTCATCAACTGGCATTTATTACCTAATACCTGATATAAGAGATCAGCAATATTAATTTTAAAGCTTTACTTACCCATTTTCAATATACTATAAAATAAGAAACATACATTATTTTTTAAATAAGTTATTAGGAAATAATTTAAACTTACAGGAAAGTTGAAAAACACTACAAAGCACTCTCTTATCAACCTCACTTAAATTTCCCTACTGTCAATATTTCACTTTAATATTTTTCTCTCCCTCTCCCCACTATCTCTACTATTAGTAGTAGCAGTAGTAGTATTTTTCCGAACCAAATGAAAGCAAACCATAGATAAAATGAGTCACCACTCTTCTGCCCAAATACTCCTGTGTATACTTTCCAGAAACAAAGACACTCTTCTTAACCCTCTCTAACATTTAAGCTGGAAAATCAACACTCATACAACATCACAACTTTCACAAAATGTATTTCTTTCCTTTCTGTTCTGGGATCCCATCCAAGAAAATGCATATAATGTTGATTTTGTTTCTTGTAGTCTGACAGTTTCACAGTATTTCTCTCTTTCTTATCTTCGACAGCTAGAAAGACTATAGCCCATACAATTTTGTAGGATAATCTTTACTCTATGTCTTTCTGATCATTTTAAAAGTGTAGTAGTTCTCAACTGGGACACATTTCCTCCTGAGGGTTCCTTTGGCTTGCCTGGAGACATGTCTGGGCTATCATAACTGCAGGTATAGCGGATACTACTGACATTTAGTGGGTAGAAGTGAGAGGTGCTGCTAAACATCTACAATGTACAGGACAGTCCCCAAAATGAAGAATGATCTGGTCCAAATGGTCAATAGCACTAAAGTTGAGAAATCCTGTCCCAGTATAATATTTATACACAAACCTTCAAAGAAAGTAGGAGAAAGAAAAGTTATAATACAATCTCATTATAAACATAAAGCATAATGTTAGTAAATCAAATCCAATGATAAATAAACTGTTAGATTCCATGACAAAGTGGAGTTTCTCCCAGGAGAGCAAGTTTAATTTAATTTTAGGAAATGTATAAATTCATAATTTATAAAGAGGTATACAAATTTTGGATGGAATCAGCAACAAATTAGACATACTTAAAGAACATAGTAATAAACTCTAAGATAATTTGGTGGAAAATATACAGAATGTAGCCACACAGAGAGGAAAAAAGAGCTGAAAAATATTAAGAGATGTTAACAAATATTGAGATATAAGATGAAATGATAGGATCACATGTCTAATCAAAGTTTCAGAAGGAGAGGAAAGTTTACGTTTGAAAATCCAGTGGCTGAAAATGTTTCAGAAATGATAAAAGACACATTTAAGGAGCCAAACAAATCCAGAAAAAGTTAAGTGAAAAGAAATTTACAGTTAAGCACTGCAGACCACCAAATAAAAGATCTCTAATAGCATCCTGGTAGAAAATAAAAAAAGAGAGAATCTTTCAAGGAGCAACAATTAGATGGCTGCTGACTTCTTAACAACAATAATGGAAGCCAGATACCTTCAGTGGAATAAGAGAAAACGACTGTCAACCAAGAATTCAATAGCTGGAAAAAAGTATTTCAAGTACAAGGGCAAATAGGGACAACATCAGTCAAAAAACTGAGAAAGTTTATCACTTCACTGAAGACGTGATGGTAAATAAACATGAAAAGATGCTCAACCTCATTATTAATAAAAGAAAATATAAGCCAAGAATAATACAGGATATCCTTGTGTATTCACAAGTTTGAGATAAATTAAAAATATCTGATTATGTATCAATAAAGGTATAAAGAAAACAAAACAGAACATTTATGTACTTCTGGTGAAGGATTACTATGTGTAAACATTATGGAAAATAATTTAGCATTATTTTATATATGAGAAAATGAACATTCTGCTTGATCCTACCATTAACACTTGTATTGATGAAATAGAGAAATTTTTATATTAGCACAAGTGCATAGATATAAACATTCAAAGGTGTGCTGGTGGTAAGAGCAAAAAAAACCTAGAAACATTCAAATTGAACATGAATAATAGAATAAGTAAATAAGTTCTGGGATATTCCTTAATGGAATAACAAACAATGATAAAAATGAATGAATTATAGCTATGTAAAGCATGACTCAATTCCAAAAAATTCTTACAGAAAAAAGAAAAACATGTAGAAAAATACATAAGTATGGTTTCATTTAAATAAACTTCAAAATTATCCAAAATTATCTAATAAATTACTATAGAATACAAACATATGTGTAAAAACTACAAAGAAAAGCAAAAATAAAAAAGACAAAATTTAGGGTAGTAGCTATGATATAGTCTAGCTCTGTGTCCCCACCCAAATCTCATCTTGAATTGTAATCTGAATTATAATCCCCATGTGTTGAGGGAGACACCTCATGGAAGGTGATTAGGTCATGGGGGTGGTTCCTCCGTGCTGTTCTTGTGATAGTAAGTGAGCTCTCATGAGATCTGATGGTTTTACAAGGGGCTTTTCTCTCCTTCACTCTGCACTCATTCCCTCTCCTTCTGCCCTGTGAAGAGGTGCCTTCTGACATGATTGTAAGTTTCCTGAGGCCTCCCCAGCCATGCTGAACTGTGAGTCAATTAAACCTCTTTTCTTTATAAATTACCCAGTCTGAAGTATGTCCTTGAAGCAGCATAAGAATGGACTAATACAAGTTACCTCTGAGCAGGATGAGGGGCAAGAGATGGGGTCAGGAAGAGCATAAATGGCAACTTCCATATGAATGGTAATAATCCTTGTTTTTAGATGTGTGGTCTATACGTGGGTATTCATTATACTGTGATATTTTGTACCATGCATATGTAGTATAAATATTGTTTGGATACATTTAATATCTGATGTGTGTATAAAAATAGGTAATGTAGGCCGGGCACAGTGGCTCACACCTGTAATCCTAGCACTTTTGGAGGCCGAGGTGGGCGGGTCACAAGGTCAGGAGTTTGAGACCAGCCTGGCCAACATGGTGAAACACTGTCTCTACTAAAAATACAAAAATTAGCCAGGTGCGGTGGCGGGTGCCCATAATCCCAGCTACTCGGGAGGCTGAGGCAGGAGAATTGCTTGAACCCAGGAGGTGAAGATTGCAGTAAGCTGAGATTGTGCCACTGCACTCCAGCCTGGGTGACAGAGCAAGACTCCATCTCAGGGGGAAAAATAAGTAATATTTTTTAAGCAATCTCTGAGCAAAGCATTGTGTATGTAGCACCCCGATTGATATTCATAACTCTATCATTGTTCTCTCTTTTCAAAACTCGATATTTGAAAGCAGAACAGGGTCACTATAGTCAATACTAACTTCAATGTACACTTTTAAATAACTAAAAGAGTGTTATTGGACTGTTTGTAACACAAAGGATAAATATTTCAAAGAATAGATACCCTCATCCTCCATGATGTGATTATTTCACATTGCATGCCTGTATCAAAACATCTCATATAACACATAAGTATATACAACTACTATATACCCCCAAATTAAAATATAATAATAATAATAATAATAGATTTTTAAAAAGAAAGAGAAAAAACTTGCCTTTTTCTAATACAAGTAAATATAAAAATTATCCTCTCAAATCTCATTCAAAAGTTTCTTCAAATTAGAATTCAGATATTATAAACTAAATTGATTTGAGGTGAATCGACATTCTTATGAAATTAAGTCTTCTTATGTTTCTATCAGAAAAACTTCTGACTTTTTATCTCTTTTTAAGTAAATACACTGAAACATGTCCCTTTGATAAACATTTCATTCCTCAACTCTAATTCTCAAACAGATGAATAGGAAAGACAGGGCTACAGTTTCATTCCTTGCACCAAATAAGATGATGCAACTTAATATTTCTGATGGAAACTCTCTTTTCTTTGATCACATAGAACTCTCACTTATGAGAGATAATTTCCTTGATCCTGTTGAAGAATGAAAAAGTAGTTGTGATTGTCTCCTTTCTGGTGGCCCCAAAGATTTTTCAGCCTGAGAGAAATGCCCCAGAATAAGATTTAGAGTCAGAAAGAACTTTGGTTTCTGCAGCCAGCTTCTCCTGGCTTGCCAATTTTTCAATTTTCAGGAATTTTGCAAGCCAACTCTTAGACACAGCCATTAAACATAGCCATGCTAGGCTTAATACTTGGGTGATGACATAATCTGTACAACAAACCCACATGACAAGAGTGTACTTATGTAATAAACCTTCACATACACCCCTGAACCTAAAAGTTAAGAAAAAGAATTAAAATGAATTGTTATAATTTAATAAATTATCAGCAAGGTAATAATTATTCAAAACTATCACTTTTAATTATTTTGCTACATTTCACTATTATCTATGCTGTTGACATTATTTACAATTATTGTAACTGTGCGACAGAAATGCTATATAACAACTTTCTACTATGCATCTTTTCCCAACCCTGTATCTATTAACTTCATCGTGTTTGAAATGAATTTCTATACTTTTTAATCTCTTCCGACCATTAATCATGTTTCAGTCTATTGGATCTGCCACACTTTGAGGAATGTATCTTGAATTTTCCCATTATAACTATTATTACGTTTTCTCTTTATATTATCAGTTTTTTCTTTATGTATTTTGATGCTGTGTTCTTTTGTAAATGATGATTAATGATGAGTAAATTTTTTGGTAAGTCATAATAATTATTATTGCAAGTATAACTGTTTTATTTGATATTTTCACCTTAATTTTTAGTTTCTCTAGCATTAATACTTCCATTTGATATTTTTCTTCAATATTATGTGATACATATTTTCACTTACATATCATATAGAGGTAGATTTACTTTCTTTCAATATGAGAACCTCCATTTCTTCATAGGAAAATGTATCACTTTCTATGTATTTTCATTTGTAATATGTTTGATCTAATTTCTGCATCTATAATTTTGCTGCATATGTTTTCAGATGATTATTTTGAAGTTCTTTTCAAGTTCCTTCTCCAGAACATGTTGTCAAACTAGGATAAGTTTTCTCATTATACATTAATTATTATTGTGAACCATCAAGAATAAAAACAGATATTTTCTCATCTTGAAAACATATCTTGAAATAGAATGACATTTTTAATTAAGAGCAGAGCCCAAGTATCAATAATCTCCCAGAAATCCTTCAGTCTTACAATGATTGCTACCAGGAGAGTAACTACTATTGTTTAGGTCAATTATGAGACTCGCGCAGCCATCTGAAAGCTGGCAATCTTGCAAACAAAATGACCTCTTTCTTCAACCATGTCAAACCTTTCGGAGACATGTTATTGAACGTAGTTTTCACAGCAGTGCTGTCCGTATCGTTTAAACTACAATAGCATGTATGTTTTGAGGATATTGTCACCCCTTTGTGCTCCCATGGTTTAATATGTAATCTATATTCTGAGTCTCAAAGACACATTTTTCCTCTAAACATGAGGTTAATCTCACTCTGTCTGCAGATGTATTATAACTGCACATGAATTATATATTTAATCCTGTGACCCAGTAGTATTAATTAGCATTACATTTTAATTCACACATGAAGAAAATACCTGTACTGTGAAAAGCTTTTATGCCTATGGTGCAGAAGAAGTCTACCCTCCATAAACTAAAATTAAAGCTAGTTTAACACTACAAGATTTTTTTCCTTACCATGCTATGAATGTATTGTGATGTATATAGTTTATTACCATTGCATTTCCATTGACCCTTTGTGTTAGGAATTAATTTTGTTCAACAATTAATTATCAGAAATCCTGGGATTCACTCCTACTGTGTTATTGGATAACAATGTGACCTCAGGAAATCACTTAACTTGAAAGCACCACACCTGCATCTCTAAAATGTATTGATTCTTCTGGGGATATTAAGGTTTTCAGGACTCAATCTACTTTCTCTCTCCAAAATGTTCAGGCATGATTGTCTCTGTACCTGGTGAAACCTCCACCTCCTTATCAGTCTGGATGACTCCCATTGATCTTTTGAACATCTACTAAAATGTTTACCTCCTCTCTGAAGTCTTTCCTTGCTCATCCAGAGAGGGTTTGATTGACAGTCTATTTCTTATGATAAACTGGAAGCTCCTTCCAAACAGGTATTGTGGTGTCAATTCTGATTTTTACAGCCCTGAGGCCTAGCCTAATGCTTAAAACAGAGTAGGCACTTAAAAGTATGAATTTTATGATAAATCACTGGTTAAATAAATACACACATATGCATGAACACCCTGCCTTAGGAACATGTGACTAGGAAATACTTTGAGTTTAATCTATTTTTTTCTATGTACCGAAAAGATAACCCAATAGGCAATCAGAGTTCATTCTGCATTTATGTAGGTTTGAGAAAAGACACAATTGTGATGCCCACACACTAGCTTTAAAATTATTACTTGAGCATTAAACCAGTGTTGAAGAGGCAGGAAATGTTCTACTTTAAATTAATAGGGTGTAGGATTCAGCACTTAGGAAAATGAAAAGATTACACTTGGATCTACATTATGAATTTCTAGTCTTGTTATATAGGAAACATCATGAATGGTCAATTTTTGCCAATCCCTAATAAAATGCAAAGAGAAAACTAAGTTATGTAGTACTAGGAGATTAAGATGATTCTATTATGTTATAATTAGTAAGATGACCAAAAGCCTTCGGTATAAAAAGGAATGGCACTTTGAAGGAGAAATGACAGTTACTAGGTTATTATTCTGAGTCCAGGAAGCTGCCAGAAACACCTCATAACTGAATACACAGTCTGGCTGGCTCGGTGCAGTATGGCCTCCAACCCAGACACAGGTGGCCATTCTCTGTATCCTAGGAATTCTTCAGAGACAAAAATTTCAATGTATTATTTGACAACAAGAAGATATTCTAAACTACCTGGATGCTATGTTTATGTCTATAACAAGGGGCAAATGCCCCCCCCTCCAAAAATCTATCTTACCAAAATAAAATCTTCCTTAGTTTTGTTACTTTTATTATTTATGTGAACCCTCTTAATGAGCTATATCACAAATAAATCATATGTGTAATTAAAATAATTTTACAAGCATATAATTTTGTGATAATTTTCAGTTTAGGTATGCAGAACAATTTTAATTAGTAGATATGGATTCAACTTGATATTTATGACAGTTAAAAGATAAAAGTGCTATGTTGAGAGTAGTTTTTCTGATCATTTTATAACATGTTTGCATAAGAGTCTCATTAAATAAGTCTTATAGATATATGAAAAAATATGTAACATGCAAAGAAAATGTGATTCTCAATGCTGACAGATCTAACATAGCTCTTCATATTTATGTTAATAGCATTATAAATTCTGATTGTTAGAGGCAAATTAATATTGTCACTAGGAATCACAATTTGACAACCTCCAGGAGATGAGGAAATTATACAGATGAACAATATGTAATATAAAAAGTTTTTGTTATGTTGATATCAATAGCAACATCAAATTAAAGTTACTTCTGGAATTTGTGATTAATATATTGTTCACCTTTTTGGCAACTAGAATTCCAATTAACTGTTACTAATAATTTAACATTGAAATAATCAACACAGTTTACTAATTACAATCTGAAAGTCAAACCTTAGATTAAGGGGCATATTAAGAGAAAGGAAATCAATAATATTTTTATTTAGAAAGGATACAATTGGTATTATACAGGAGTCTTTTTTTCAAATTGTTATTGCTATCTAATGAAGTTTTGGGTAACAAATAAACAAGTTGAACAATAAATACCAAACGGTTCCCTGTTACTCTCTGTATATCGGGGTTATGGGTTATTTTTATACCATTCATTTATTTTTGAGAAATCATCTTTGTCTAAATGGCCACATATTGTCTTATGAACAAAACATTTAAAATTGCTTTTAGAAATCTTGAAAACCTATGTGTTTTTGAATTATTTTCCTTATTGTGCCCCTGAGGGTGAGGAGAATATCTCTTCTTAGACCACCTCTAGAGTGGATAAATCAATTTAATGAGGAAACAAAGGTGTCAGAAGATTCCCTGATTCCGGTCAACTCTTCTCTTTCTGCATTCACTCCATATTACATTTTAATTACAATTATTTGAAATACGTACTGATCTAGCCAAAGTGGATCCTCAATTTTCATTAGTTGCTCAGAGTCCCGTGATACAAGATGAAATAAAACCATACACTTATTTACCATTGCTGTTTTTCCTGGCTGCTAGGTATTCACCAACCAAGCCAGCAGTCTTGCAGTTAATTTCGCTTGACCACAAGGAGGAATGGCAAAAATGCGTCATTCGATCCTTCTTCCAGGAGCTGGGCTGAACCTAGCAGGAGCAATATTTTTACAGTGCAGTGTAGAAGGGCTTAGTGGCTGTTCTCTTAGCTCCAGTCTTTCAAGAGACAACTGCAAATCATAACTACAAAACAAAGTCAAATACTGTATTCAAAGAGGAAAAGAGCCACTGTAATCAGATAAGGACAAGATGTTTTGAGAGAGAGACCAGAAAAGATCTGTAATCAAAGGGCAAGGAGAGAAATCCCATAAATTAGCTATAAAATATGAGCACTCTTTTTTGCTAAATGCTGTCCTTGTGACCTGGAAAGAGCTCTCTATATCTACAGGTTCAGAACCAGGCAGAATAAAAGTGGGTCCTCACAAATCCATCCCTATCCCTAGGGTCTAGGATGTCTGAATTACTGCCAGAAATAGTTTCTATATTGGTATATAAAGCACAGCATTTACAGTCTTGCATTGTTCAATGACAACGACAAGTTCAGAGAAAGGCATTGTTAGGTGATTTCATTTTTGTGAGAACATCATAGAATGCACTTGCACAAACCTAGATGGTATGGCATTCGATCCACCTAGGCTATATGCTACAGCTTATTGCTCCTAGGCTACAAACATGTACAGTGTATTACTGTACTGAATATCATAGGCAATTGTAACACAATTATAACAATTTGTCTATCTAATATCTAAAAATAGAAGAAATAATGTATTGCCCAACTTCATTACAACAGTTATGACATCACTAGGAGATAGGAATTTTTCAGCTCCATCATAATATTATGGAACCACTCTTGTATCTGTAGTTGACTGAAACATTATTATTCTGTGCATGACTGCAATTATGTAGACTTTCAGATGAGTGTGTCAAAATCCTTTAAGTGATGTATTTATTTTTCTACAATCTCATTGCATATATAGGATGAATTTAGGGACAGGTATGAGGATAAGAAATGAGACATTGTTTAATCAGACAATATGCACCTTAAAACAATATACAGTTCCTCCAAAATATTCTGTGCATAGCTCTTGCAACTGGCCAAGAACCTGCTACAAGTTGTAGTGTGTCGTGAGTGAAATAAAGTTTCTAAGAATGAAAAACATATCCTAGGCAAAACTAACTTTAAGAAAGATAAATAGTAAAGAAAGAGTTCAGAACAGGGCAATAGTGTATGTATACACCTTCCATGTCAATATCATCATCAACAGTGTCAAATATGCACTGTATCTGGTTTCTCAGAAAGAAACCTTAAACAAGATCCTACACCCACCGGAGGTGGGATATAAGGGCATTGTGCTAGGAATGTATGCTGTGATAACTGGAGAACAGGAGATGCCTGGTTTCTGTTACCTTGTCTCCACAGTTGACTATAAACCCTTTTCTCTTCCACTGTAATTGCTGCACCAGTGCCTGTGGCTCTTAGTCACAATTTTTTTTTTTTCGTGGCTGGTGTATATGCAACAACATGAGGCAGGTGTACTGCCTTTGTTTGTTATTACTTCATTTATTTGAGGGACAAAACAGATATGATTAAACTCCTGCTTCAAACCAACACAGACTGTATCCTCACAGGGCCAATTTTGGTGAGTCTGTCCTAAGCTTCAGCATAAATAAATAAAAATGTAATCTATTTTCATGCTATTTATTACTCACTAATATGATCACAAGTGAAATAAAATGCCTCAGTGTTTCTCACTCTGGGATTTTTTTAAGTTGCTATTTACTCAATTATGAGATTGAGACCCGAGCAGGATCAATCTTTGATATTCCTTTCTCAGAAGGGTTTTGTTTTCCTCTGCTCATTGTTGGTAATAACCTCTGATTCTATTTCATAATAGAATTGAAAGGAAGCAACTATATAAGCTGAGAGCGAATAATTGTATTATTCTTTAAATGAGCCCATTGAAATGGCAAGGAAGGAACATTATAAATCTTTTTTACTGGGATATATATTGAGTTTTTATAGGCCTAAGTTTGTGAAATGCTACACCATATTACCATTTTCAGGATCCCACTGAGGGCTACCACAGTAATAGTAATCACAATAATTATAGACGCAGATAGCAACTATCTTCTAATCAGTCAGCTGTCTCTAAGCAACCAGGTTTAACAAGGCTAACAATTGCCACCTCACATATTCATGGAAGAGTAAAACTCTCAGAATTTAGTCATTACAGAACCAATGCCATAAGCTATCTGGCCTCTATTGGATTTGTCACATGTATCTCCAATGTCTGGGATCTAAACTAGCTCTCTCAGTTTTATAAACTGGGTGGTGATCATGTTTCTTCTGTGCTAACTGCTTAATGATTAATTCAAATGTAATTTTTACTAAAATCAGATGTAGGATTCATTAAACACATAACAAATTATTCTTTTCAACCCTAAGATTTTTACTGGGAATTAGAATGTATACAGCCATATGCTATAACATAGATATATGACATAAGTTATGCCTTATAGTTTTAGGTCATGGGGACCTATTCTTTAGGCCATGTCTCTATATAACTCCAGCAGTTTTAACTGATTGAACAAGACAGTTAACCGAAAATTTTAAAGGAATACCACTTCAGACAATCTGTGAGAAAGTCATTAGCATATCGCTGACCAAGTACCTTTCTTTCTTTAAAATCAGGGATCAGAGTAATTAACCCCAGAAACTATAAGGATATTCTTTCATATCAGCTGACCTTGCATTTGTATAATGGTTTATTTCTTTTTCTAGCTTTTTCATATGCAGAATCTCATTTGGTTCTTAATCAACCCTGAATGTTAATCAGGGCAAGATCTGTAATCTGAATTTTCAGGTAAGAAAAATGAGACACTGAAAGGTCATGAAGTTTACCCAAGGTCAGCATGGAAGAATTAGGACAAGCATCTGGCCCATTCCTTTTCTGGAAATATCACATTGATTTATTTGTTATACAGCCAGGGGTCAGCATGGTGCGGGGGATGAGGGCAAGGAGTGAAGTCTATGCTCTCTGAATTCACCAGGCAGTATTGCTTTTTTTTTCCTTCAGTGTTCATGCATAATTTCACTTGGTCTCAGCAGCTGTATATCTGATTGAAAGACTTGTGTTTCTGCCAGAACTGTGCCTGTAAGGGCCCTCCCTTTTAGCTGCAGGAAGTCCACCTGGTATTGTATTAGGTAGTATCTATGACATCTTTCTTTGTTTAGTTAATTTGGAGAAGTCTGCAGGGACCTTGCTTCTTATTACAAGGCTCACTCACTGGGAAACTATGTCTCTCCAATTGTGCTGCACTGTTCATGATCTATTTAAGTAATAGTGACATTTGGTCAAAAGAAAAGCTCTCCCTCGGACTACCTTTGCCGCTGCCAATACAGCTGCGTATACACAAGGGAAGCAAAACAATGGGATTTATGCTCTCTTCCACTCTCCCTTTTTACTATTGAATGAAATCAAATATAATAGCTGCAGTGGTCACAGATGCAGGCATGTCCCACAGTTGTCTACATAATTAAATCTATTCAGACTGGGTACAGCAGAAATGCACTGAAGGTCCACTCTATGTTAGCAAATCTATAACAGGTCCCAGACCAAGTATGACTGTGCAGGAGATGCAGTTTATCTGCAGTACTTTTTCGTTTCTGATCCTCCTTCTCTGCTTAAATAGGGCTTCACTGGCAGCCCGTGCCTTTGGATCTCTCCTAATCTATAATGGCAGAAAGAAAACCTTCGAAAGGATTTATTAGAGTCTGCTAACTTACCTAATTCTCACTGATGTATTAGTGATATATCAAGTGAAGTATTTTGGGACTTAATCTCGAAATATGATTCCTGATGATAGAATTTTTGGTAATGTGCTCTGCAAATCGATGTCACATATGTTGGGGCAGAGTTGGTCTTTCATCTCTCACATAATATGGAGGTGGCCCCTTAATACCTTGAATATAAGAATAATATTATAACTCTCTATTATTATAAAACAAAATGTCCTTACGGCACGGAACAGAAGCGCATACATTCTAGCTGAATATACAATTATAAAATGATACCGAAGCTATTATTCCCCCTGATGAAACTTTATTTAAAGTTGTATGCTCATTTCCAAATCTATTTTTTTCTGATATGGATATGCTAGACTTCAACATTACAGCGACATTAACCCACCCTCCAGGTTGCTACCTGATATGGTTTGAATCTGTGTCCCCAGCAAAATCTCACTTTGAATTTTAATCCCCAATGTTGCAGGTGGGGCCTGGTGGAAGGTGGTTGAATCATGGGGCATATTTCTCATGAATCATTTAGCAGTATCCTCTTGGTGCTGTCCTCATGGTAGTGTGTGAGTTCTCAAGAGATCTGGTGTTTAAAACTGCGTGGCGCCTCCCACCTCTCTCTCTTGCTCCTGCTTTTGGCATTGAGACACTTACTTCGGCTTCACCTTCTGTCATGAGGAAAATCTCCCTGAGGCCTCCCTAGAAGCTCAGCAATGTTGCTGCCATGCTTGTACAGCCTGTAGAACTATGAGCCAATTAAACTCTTTTAAAAATAAATTACCTAGTCTCAGATATTTCTTTATAGCAATGCTAGAATGAATGAATACACTACCCCTTCTTTATTTATCTTTCATAGGCATATTCAGTAGTTAAGTTTCCTTTAAAAGTGACAGCAATAGTAGTCAAATGCCTCCCAGACGCCAAACAACTATCAAAATATATCACACATACACACCCAACAGAACCCTGGATCAAGTTTGCTGTTCTCAATACAACATACTATTGTAACATAAAAGCAGCCTCAACTTTTATTTCAAATGAGAAGTTTTGCATATCATCTCAGTTGTTAGTCCTGCCTTCAAATTTCATTCCACTGGACCTTCTCCAGAGCACTGAATTTGGCAATTAATAATTTATTCAGTAACCATTTGAGATACCTTTATGTGTTAGGTCATTTGGGTATAAAATATGTACAAAATGTTTACCTGGCCTTTTTATAACATTCAGTGTTCACAACAAGCTTTCACAATAAAATATTCAAATGAATTATGCATTCCATTGTCCTAGAACATGGACAAGAGGAGCTTGGCACAAGGTAATACCTATAATTTCACCATAACAAGAAAATAAATGAGAAAAACAGGCAGAAGGATTAGGATAAGGAAAAGCATAGAAATGTGGAAGTGCGTTAAAATTCCAATGGCCTCCAAACCCGGAATCCATTAAAATTATCCAGGGAGATTTTTAAAATTTATATTTCTGGGTTCTGCTAAAAACGCAGTGAATCTGGAACTTGTGAATATAAGGTCCAGAAATCCACATTTAATAGAAAGTGTACTGCTAGCCTGGCCAGTTTTGAGAACTAATGATCTAGTTTGCTGAGCGCATTGATTCCTCCAAAAAATATTTATTGACCTCCAATTACGCATCAGACATGGTTTTAGATGTTTGGACAAAGTAGACAACAACCGTATTATTGTGTAGCTTACATTCTGGCAGTGTGAGGCAGATAATATTCTAAGTACAACATGTGGAGTAAGCAAATTGTTTTGTACTAAACCACTATCAAGTCTTCATTTCCCTTATGAGGAAAGCGAAGGCACAAAGAGTTTAAACAATTAATCTAAGGTTACATAACTAGCAGGAGGGAGACTTGGAATTCTCAATGTGATCTAACTCCACACCTCTCATGCATGGCTGGCCACATATTTTGCAAGGCCCAGTACAAAATGAAAATGCAACGCTACTTGTTCAAAAAGCAATAAAAAGCACTGTTAAAGGTATTAAAATATAAAGTATTTTTCTTTCTTTTGTGTCCTCTTTCTCAACTTATTTTTAATTTGAGATTTAATATGATTCTAAGAAAGCAAAATTAATTTTAAATTATTAGTATGACAGCTATCATCTGTCGTTATATTGTACGTCAGTTTTATTTATTTTTTATGTTTTTTTATTTTTTTAATTTATTTATTATTATTATTATTATACTTTAAGTTTTAGGGTACATGTGCACAATGTGCAGGTTTGTTACATATGTGTACATGTGCCATGCTGGTGTGCTGCACCCATTAACTCGTCATTTAGCATTAGGTATATCTCCTAATGCTATCCCTCCCCCCTCCCCCCACCCCACAACAGTCCCCAGAGTGTGATGTTCCCCTTCCTGTGTCCATGTGTTCTCATTGTTCAATTCCCATCTATGAGTGAGAACATTCGGTGTTTGGTTTTTTGTCCTTGCGATAGTTTACTGAGAATGATGATTTCGAATTTCATCCATGTCCCTACAAAGGACATGAACTCATCTTTTTTATGGCTGCATAGTATTCCATGGTGTATATGTGCCACATTTTCTTAATCCAGTCTATCATTGTTGGACATTTGGGTTGGTTCCAAGTCTTTGCTATTGTGAATACTGCTGCAATATACATACGTGTGCATGGGTCTTTATAGCCGCATGATTTATAGTCCTTTGGGTATATACCCAGTAATGGGATGTCTGGGTCAAATGGTATTTCTAGTTCTAGATCCCTGAGGAATTGCCACACTGACTTCCACAATGGTTGAACTAGTTTACAGTCCCACCAACAGTGTAAACGTGTTCCCATTTCTCCACATCTTCTCCAGCACCTGTTGTTTCCTGACTTCTTAATGATTGCCATTCTAACTGGTGTGAGATGGTATCTCATTGTGGTTTTGATTTGCATTTCTCTGATGGCCAGTGATGATGAGCATTTTTTCATGTGTCTTTTGGCTGCATAAATGTCTTCTTTTGAGAAGTGTCTGTTCATATCCTTTGCCCACTTTTTGATGAGGTTGTTTGTTTTTTTCTTGTAAATTTGTTTGAGTTCATTGTAGATTCTGGATATTAGCCCTTTGTCAGATGAGTAGGTTGCGAAAATTTTCTCCCATTTTGTAGGATGCCTGTTCAATCTGATGATAGTTTCTTTTGCTGTGCAGAAGCTCCTTAGTTTAATTAGATCCCATTTGTCAATTTTGACTTTTGTTGCCATTGCTTTTTGTGTTTTAGACATGAAGTCCTTGCCCATGCCTATGTCTTGAATGGTAATGCCTAGGTTTTCTTCTAGGGCTTTTATGGTTTTAGGTCTAATGTTTAAGTCTTTAATCCATCTTGAATTAATTTTTGTATAAGGTGTAAGGAAGGGATCCAGTTTCAGCTTTCTACAAATGTCAGTTTTAAATGCAAGTATAAGAGCATTTAGCACATATGCAGGATCAATGCAATTATACAATTTGTATTTTATTCTTATGAAACAATGGAGATGCTTCACAAAAACACCTCGGTTGTTTTTATTTTACTGGATAGACATATATATATATATATATATATATATATATATATATATATATATATATTTTTTTTTTTTTTTTCGAGATGGGGTTTCACTCTTATTGCCCAGGCTGGAGTGCAATGGCATGATCTCAGCTCACCGCAACCTCCGCCTTCTGGGTTCAAGTGATTCTCCTGTCTCAGCTTCCCGAATAGCTGGGATTACAGACATGTGCCACCACACCAGGCTAATTTTGTATTTTTAGTAGAGATGGGGTTTCTCCATGTTGGTCAGGCTGGTCTTGAACTGCTGGCCTCAGGTGATCCGCCTGCCTTAGCCTCCCAAAGTGCGAGGATTACAGGTGTGAGCCACAGGGCTCGGCTGGATAGACACATATATTATATTAACATTCTCTACCGTCCTCTTATGGATGAGTAAGGAAAGGATTGAGAAAAATAGGAACTATGTGTTATCTTTTATTTCCACTGCTTCCTGTGTCATCATTTATAGTGTTAGTGGTTTGCTAATACCTGGCAAGTAACATGAGTAAGAAAGGATATGATGTTGTTCCTTTGTCATCTGTGTATCTTGGAGTCATTATGCCTTTTTATGATTGAAGAAAGTTTTGGTCCATATGGAGAGTGTGGCCTCTCTTGGCTGCCAGCTTCTGCACTTATACACAGTTGTAAACACAAGTAACATGATTATTTTACATTCACTTTAAGTCAGGCTGTACTTTCATGCATTGTGGGTCTACCAAAATTCTGGGATCATGACATATTGCAAATGCTATGTGGGAAATGCATGGAAAAAAGTTGTGTACATGTGTTTTGTGCATATCTTCTCTGCTCACACACAGGCTCTCTTTTCCCATAGGACTTCAATAAAACACCAGTTCAAAGATGAAATTATTTAGTGTTTCAAGATGGCTGCAGAATAGCATAAAACCAAGCATGGTGCCCCATTCATTCCCACTACCTATCATAATATTACCTCTATTATTATGTGCCAGGCCCTCTTCAAAGTGCTTCTTTTAATCCTCACAGTAGTGCTAATAGAATATACAATACCTTATATGCATAGGTAGAATAGTGAGTCCTTAAGATGTTCACATGTCATAGTTCCTTGAACCATTGCATATGTTACATTACATATCAAGAAAGAATTACGGTCACAGATGGAATTAAAATTGATAATTAACAGGTCTTAAAATAAGGAAATTACTCTGGATTATCTACTGGGCCCAGTGTAACCACAAGGATCCTTAAAAGTGGAAAAGGGAGAAAGAGGAGGAGTTGGAGTAATTCCTTGTGCAAAAGACTCAACCTATCATGGCTGGTTTAGAAGATGGGAGTGAGCCATGAGCCAAGGAATGTTGGTAATCTCTAGAAGTTGGAAAGGCAAGAACACAGATTCTTCCCTATAGCCTCCAGAAAGGTGTGTAGCCCTCCCGACACTTAGATTTTAGCCCAGTAAGGCCTGCATCAGACTACTGTCCCCTGAACAAATGTCTTTCATTTAGAGTTCTCATTACATTTCTGTTGGATAGAGGTAACATAGCCCTCTGCTTTATATATAGTAGTTAGCAAATGTTTTTATATAAAGAATCAAAGAATCACTTTCAGGAAATAATAGCCTCTTTTGTGAAGTGTTTATAATATTCTCAATGTTTAACATACACCTCTACTTCCACTAAGAAAAAGCAACTAGGGAGCGTGAACCAAACCAAAGTTTTGTAAAAAGTAAAAACCTAGCAGTAACCTCAGACAAGCAGCTTTCCTGGACATTTTGCATTCCTCATCTGTCTCTCTTTTTTTTTTAGCAAATTATGCTCCAAGAAGATGTTGCATTTATCATTCTAAAACATGAAAAATATATGTCAAAGCTACTGTCAAGAGGCCACATAAGTCTTGCAGACATTTATTTGCCAGTGTTCTGTACATTATTGCCTTTCTTATGCATTGCTGGCAATTTTTTAAGAAAAAATAAAGGGTTTAAGTAAGCCTTATTAAAGCTTGCAAATAAAACATCAGCTAAGACCCGTTAACTTCATTATGAACCAGCAATTAGCTAAAGTTGTTAATTATTTAAAGAGCTTCTTATTATACCTGCCAACCTGAAATCCCAGGTTAAGTGAAATGTGTATCTTCCCTAATATGACTGTCAGGTTGCATGTTTATATTTTGTAGTCTTCCAGGATCCTCTGTGATATACGTAATTTTTTATGTTCCTTCTTTCTTCATTGCATGCTAATTCCTTTCACCACTGCTTTCACCTCTGCCAGGCCCTGAAAGCGAATAGACAGTTTTCACTACAGAGAAGCTACCAATCCAATGTTCTCTGCATAATTTATATGTGCAGCAGGGGAAAATTAGCAGCATACTTCCACTGTGTCATTTACACAGTTATACTCAATTGCTCTTCCCTGAAGTCATCACCATTTTTATTTCCAAGCATTGCCTTTTCTCCCTGTGTCTTTCATTCCCTTATTATCTATTGGGTTATATTCCCATATCCAGGAGGCCCATCTGAGAGTCTGTCGAACTGGTCCCTGATCTTCACTCCCAGTTTATTTTGACATCACAGGCGAGCATGAAACACAAAAGAAAACATGCTGCTCTTACCTTCAATCTTTTTATGAAAAATCATGAATTATGCAAGCTCTGAATTGTATTCTGAAAGATAGTTTTATTTTTATCCATCATCTATAGCTTTGACTTTAGATATTAATTTTAAAACTAAAATCTCCTTGGCTGATTTACCATTTTGTAATTAACTGTAAATAAAATATCTGCCTATAACTGATCACATCACCCAATCTAAATGCTCTTTCTTGTGATGCCTCTAATACCCCCACACCTCATCATCTCTCCTGCCTCTATCTGCCTATTATCTTTTGGGTTTTCTTACTTTACCTCCAAAATAGCTATAAGCGTACTTAGGTGATTACTTTATTGAGGAGGCTCAGCTCTTTTATGCATATGCATCAAATTGTATTATTGCTTCCTGTAGTTCAGCTGGACTTTCCTTTATCAGTTTCCCCTTTCCCATTAATTAGTGGGTCTGTTAATTACATTTTTGCAAGATGCCATATATTTTTCAGTTAGTATCATTACATGGGCCCAGTGTAATATTTAAGACTCCGTTTTTTTTTTCAGTTGATAAAAATATCTACCTCAAACAATGGTCAAGCTCATTTTCTTCTTCTCACTGTGCAGGCTAATAATGCACTAAGCTCCACAAGCTGGTAAAGAGGAAGGAACAGGCATGGCATGGCCCTGAAAGAATTCCCCCATCCCCCACCCTTTTCTCTTCAGGGCAGTAATCTCTGCAGGATTGGTGGCTAGATGTCAGGATAGAGGCAGCAGAGGTGTACTTACTTGACCACAGGAACTGGCAGTAGGGAGATGTCCCTGGTCTCATCCTACTTTTGGCAAGTTTAATTTCATCATGGTGGGCTCTCCTGATGTGAGGGTCTCTGGCAGTGGCAGCTTCATGGAAATGCTGTCTTTCCAATTGCACAGGGCCTCATGCTTAGAAGCGCCCTGCACTTCATAGAGTGTTCTGCTTTGCCATCTGGAAATTCTTAATTTTGAACCAAAGTTCCAACCTTTTCATTTTGCCTGGGCCCCATGAATTATATAGTTGGTCCTGGTCTTTGGGTACATAATGGTCTTGCTTTTCTCCAAATACTACTCAACTCTATAAAAAATCGTGCTGTATTAAGGATCCCCGCAAAGGGGAAATCCTCTCCCATTGCAAATGTCAGACACAACACCTCATCACCCACTCAGTGGGGCATTCCATCACTTGTCCTGTGATGCCATGAGGTTATTTACCTCCCATGAATGTTTCTTCACATTAGCCATTGAAGCTGATTAGATCATTTTCTCTTTTCTTTCTTTACTTAAAAAAGTATATATATATACACACACACATATACGTATATGTGTATGTGTATCTGTGTGTATGTGTATATATATGTATATATGTGTGTGTTTGTGTGTGTGTGTGTGTGTATATATATATATATATATAGAGAGAGAGAGAGAGAGAGAGAGAGAGATGGAGTCTCACTGTGTTGCTCAAGGTGGGCTCAAAGTCCTGGCCTCAGGTGATCCTCCTGCCTCAGCCTCCCAGGTTGCTGGGATTAAAGGCACACTACCATGAGCAGCCAGATCAGATCATTTTCTATACCTTCTAAAAATCACTAAGAACAGAAATACATGGGAGTTGCCCTCATTCTCTTTCCAGACATAATATAATGTAATTCCTTCCTTTTAATAAGAAATATGAAGCTTAAATAAAAATTAATCAACATAGATAAATATTTAGGAATTGAGAAACTTGTATTTGGGCCTTTTTACCGCACTATTTTAATTCTTTCCTAGTTTTATGCCATAAATTATGCCAATACTCTATCAGCCATAATTATTTAATAATCTGTGCATAGCAACTTGTTTTAAGCTCTTCTTTTGTTTAGTTGAAAGCGAAGAGTTGGAAACAATCTCACTTAGAAATGCATATTAGCCGTTCATCAGAGTCACTCACTTCTAAAACTTTTTTCACTAATATTTCCATTTGTCTTTTTGGTATCACAGAGGAATTTGGTACCCAAAGCAACACATCTGATTAAGATACAGAGTAGGTCGAAGAAAGGCTTTACCTTTGTACTTTTGAGAAGAATGATTCTGCAACGGGTAAAAAGCTAAGATAACATTAATTTAGGAAAGAGTACAGTTGGTATATTGCTGAATTCAATCACCTCCTGCCATATCAAACAAAAATGAGGTCTATAAAGGATAAACTACTTCTGAAGATTTCATAACTGCTTGATTCTTCCAATGTGAAATTAATATTTAGTGAGCACCTAATGCATCAGTAGATGAGGGTTCAGAGATGAACAAGACACATTTTCTGCATTCACAGAACTTACAGTTTAATGGAAGATGTTGATTCTTTAATGCAGACATTCTATTTTGCCATGAAGTTCAAGGGCAGCATATGATCCATAGTCTCTGGCAATTAGTGATATAAAATGGAGAGGCAGGATGGAAACAGAAGACAAGCAGAGCAACAAAATCACAGCACTAGAAGAAACTTTTGTGAGCTTTCTTATTATTGTCAGTTTACAAAAGAAGCCACCAAACACAGACCCCAAAAAAGGTAAGTGATTTTCCCAAGGCGCCTGAGTAAAATGGCCTCCACTGTTTTTGTCTGCCCTGCATTCACTCCTCCTCCTTTTGGTAATGACATCCTATCCTTGTTTGGAGGTATTAGCTCTCCTACACTGGCTATAATCTTGTAAGCACTGCTAATCAAGGAAAACTGTCCTCCTCAGCCAACTATAGGTATGTGTCCCAAACCAGGATAAGCAACCTCTCCCTATAATTGGTAATGGCTAGGGCTAAATCTTCTCTACAGCTTTCCAAAGAAAACTCTCTATTGTTCTTGATACTTAAGTGTGATTGACTAAAAATGACTATAAATTATTTGCAATCCTTTCCTATGAGAAGTGGTTATTTCCCCACCCATTGAATGTAGGTTGAAGTTGTAACTTGTTTTGACCAACAGAATGTGACTGAAATGATGATCTACAACTTCCAAGGCTAGTCATCATGGAACTTTGCAGCTTCCCGTCCACTGTTTTGGAATGCCACTGCCATGTGAAGATACCCAGGCTATTCTCCTAGAGGATGAGAAACGACATGAAGAGAGAGACCCAGCAGACAGTCACCACCAACATAAGACATGTGATTGAGACCATCTCTCACCCAACAGACCCACTTACCAGTAGCCACTTAAGCGACCTCAACAGCTCAAGTTTAAAATAAAAAAAAAAAGAGATCAGCAATTCTAACCAACATTTAATGCATCTGTTTCTAAGTTGTTGATTGTTTCTTATTTTCACTTTCAACTAAATGGAAAAATAACCTAATCAACCTAATCTAATTAAGTTGTCATCTGATAGATAATTAAATAATTATGTCTGATAAAACTTTGGTATGATTTTGGGGTATATGCCTAGCAAGAAATTAAATAATTTGAGCCCATCCCAAATCACTGACCCACAGACTAATGAGCAAATAAAATGGTGGATTTTTTAAGCCACTAATTTTTGGTATAGTTTCTCACATTCTCAAAATGTTATTTAATTATTTACTCTGTTATCTGCTCTACTCCGGCAAGCAATTAATTTCTCTTTTGGTTAGTAATCCAAAATCAGATTTTCTTGTTTACAACATAACTCTTGAGGCACACACAGATTTAAAAGAATGACCTTCTAGGTTTCCCAGCTGAAAATACAGGATTTTTTTCACATATTTTCTGTTGATTTCAAAGAAAATAAATAAACCCACAAGTTTTGCAGAAATCAAATTCATATAACTGAAAATGCTTTGGGAACAAAGGGAGAAGTTGGTCAATTGAGAGAGGAGCAAATTAACTTAACTCAGAGACTTACTGTTAGTTCTTCTATCAACATGATCACCCACAGGACTCCTTCATTTCCCTTGGAGCTGGCACTCCTTAATTTTTTTGGAAGTCTCATATGGAACAAATATATATGAAAACTTGATGTCTAGAAAGGTTGAAAAATTAGAAATAATATTTTCCCAAGATACCTACAATACAATTCTTCAATGATTTCTGTGCATTCTGTCTCCACAACTTCAGGAAAATTAAGGTAATGCTATAGGATGATCTCATTACTTCGAAGTGCAAAGCTATTAGAGACGATACGGTGCTAAAGGAGAGTACGATTTAATCAATATTGACCTTCTACAGGACAAGTTTCATGAAATGTAAAATATGGATCATTTTATCTCTAGTGCCCAGCACATGGTGGACACACAAAATGTATGTGTTGAATAAACGATTGGTGAACTCAATAGGTAACTAATTTCAAATAGCTGGCAGACGCTAGGCACAGAATAGAGAAACTCGATGTTTTATTTTATCGAGAATAAATGAAAGAAATAGTAATAGGATTAAATGAACAAGTTAATAAGGTAGGGGAAAAAGACAATGTGGCATACAGTGTAGGTATGATCTTTTTCCAGAAGGGATGAAGAGCTTTTTCTAACCATGTTGGGAGGGATATGTAACTTGGGTTGACCTGCATTGTTTTCTAAAAAGGCTTTCCTTATATTTGTGCAAAATGACCTTTAGAAACATCATCAGTCATACTACAAAGAAAAACCTATGGAAAAATCTCCGAAGAACTGAGAGTACACATTTTTGGTTACACTTATTCTTTTCAGCTGAAAAGTTACCACTAAGTTTGTATTAGTTTTCCCAATTTATTGCTATAGCTGTTGGTGGACAAGGAAAACACCTTATGTGTTTGCATCTGACATGCAAGCGAGAAGGGGTTAGATTATATTCATTCAATGATCAAAGCTTCAGTATTTTAAGATAAACTCTCTTACCTAAAGGGGCTCATGGGACCTTAAGAGCAACCAAGAGAATACTATAAGTCCATCACCTAATGTAAGAACCAATGTATTTCTTGTTATTTTGTAAGGCTCCAGCTACTTGCTCTTTAAAATTGTTTGCCAAATAAAGAACATGGTTAAAGTCCATAATGCAAATTTTGATTGTAGGTATTTATATCTCTCATTCTTCATATGTGTTTTGTCCCATAAATTTCATAAATATATTCACCCTTTATCTTACTGAAATCTTGCAATGTATATGTTGCTTTGACTAAAAGACAATTTTCTATTTAAGATATTCGTGGGCTGAACTTCCTGTGTATGCTGAAACCTTGTTTTCCTATGGAATTATCTTTTTTTTTTTTTAACCATACATGTATTTCTTGTCTAGCCCTTATGGTGAAATATAAGCGTTCAAGCCCTGGCAAGACCCTTTGCAAAGTATAATTTAACACACAGTTGATATAGCCCAAACAGAGTCTCCCTAAATATGACAACCTTTGTAGGTGCAATATCATTTTAGTAATTTAATCAATTACACTTAGTCACACTTAGTCTCTCTTCCTTTAATTGATTACCAAGTAGCTAATTTGAAACATCATAGATTCAAAGTAATAAATAACATCTTGTTTTTTACTTATATTCAGGAGAAAGCTTTGAGTACAGAAAAATCTGTCAAAATACTATTTAATTATCTTCTCTATATCCTCAAATTTGCTATAAAATTAGGAGTAGATATTTTGTAAAATCCTAAAATGTCCCCAAATTCAAATTCCCTATGATCTCTAATATAACAGGAGTATAATATATAATGAAGGAGGCCACTGAATTCACAACGAGAGGGAAGAGGAATAAAAGATGAGGAGTGTATAGCTAAAATATTTTGATAATCTACATTTTCAATCTCTTGTCCTAGTCATTTATGTTTTTTATTTTTTTAAGATTTCTAATATTCAAAAAAAGTTATAGAGAATAAAAAATACCTTTGAATGGGCCCATGAGCTTCATCAAATTTTAGAGTTTTGTCATATTTGCTTTAGATTTTTCTGTCAAAAAATTTACTCGTATAATTTAAGTTCCTGGATAACTCTCCCTAATCTCATGCTATTTCCTTCCTGCACATGGTAACCATTCTCCTAAAATTTTATGAGACCAATTACCTTGCTTTTATTTCCGTCCTATTGTTTAAAAGATCATGCAAAAAACATTTACTGAGTGCTTATGGAATGATGTTTTAGGTCCTAAGCAGTACCCAAAACTTTTGGCTACCTATGAAAATATAAAGTTTTAATATTTTTGGTGTAAATATTTTGGACATGTCATTTCATACTTTCCTGTTTTCTCTCAGCATTGTGTTTTTGAGATCAATACATGCTGATAATGCTCCTCGGGTTCATTTATCTAACTGGCTATATAGTATGTCACTGTGAATATATGACAATTTATATTTTCTTCTGTTGATAAAAAATTACGTCACATCTAAAGTTTGTTATAAAAATGCTACAATAAACATTTGTTTACATTTCACTTTTCACACATGTGGTAGAGAAGATATATACCTTAAATCAGAATTTCGGAGACAAATATTTACAACTTGAAATCTATTAGGCACTGTCAATTTGCCCCAGGTTAGATGCAAGAATTTACAAAAGTAGCACATGAGCATTCCTCAATAAAATTTGCTAGAGTTGGGACTATTTACCTAATATGAAATGATATCTATTGTTTTAACTTGCATTTTCATTACTAGCAGGGATGAGTGTAGATTATACATAAAGTATATTATTCTTCATTTCAGTTTTCTTCTAAAATTTTTTTATGACTACTTTGCCATACTCTTTAGTGGTATTAGAATTTGTTTTTTATGTTTTTCTTATTGATTGCATAAGTTTATAAGTATTGATTACATAATTTAAACATAATTTCCCTTGTAATATATGTGAAACATATCTTCTTTTCATTGGATTTGATTTCCTATCAGTTCTGTTTATAATATTTTTGTTGAATAGAAAATTTAATATTATTTAAATTAACATTTAAATCAAACTATTCCTTTCTACTTTTGTAGTTTCTTTAATATATTTTATATTTGGAACTTATTAACAAATTATCCTAAATAATCTTCTAAAGATTTTAACATTTAACTTTTCACATGAAGATCATTATCCACATGGAATTTGTTTTCATGAAGGATACTGACCCATCTGGTTGATTATTAAGTATCCATTTTCCCATCAATATTTAAGTGACCCTCTTGCATTTCAAATTTTTATACATGTGAAAGTGTTATTTATCATTTTCTGATCTCTCCAATATGTTTGGTAAGGCCACGTGTGTCTCTTTATCAATACCACATTATCATAATTAGATTCAGTTTTTAATGAGTCATTATCTGTTAGGGTGAATCTCCTATATTTTTGTTTTGTTTTGTTTTGTTTTTGTGAGGAGGTTTGGTTCAATTTTTTCTTTCATAGAGATGGGATCTCCCTATGTTGCCCAGGCTGGTCTCAAACTCCTGGGCTCAAGTCTTACTCCCACTTGTTGGGATTATAGGTATAAACCACAGCACTTGGCTAGTCCAATTGTTTTAGTAGCTGTCACTTCGTTCTTACATAGGTAATTTAGAATAAGCTAGTCAAATTTAGAAAACAAATAGTTACAATGTCGATTGAAATACTTATTACATTTATAAATGAAGTTTTGAAATTTGATTTCTTTACAATATTGTCTTCTGATACATGAACACTGTTTGTCTCATATTTTATTTAAATATTCCTTAATGTCTTAGAAATGAGCTTTGTAATTTTCTTATAAGGAGTTTACGCATCTATTGCTTAATTTATTCCTAGGTATTCTAGGGTTCTTATTGCTTTGGTTGTTTTTGTTGCACTGCCATATATCTACCAATTATTTTGTTAATTATCTTGTGTCATTCACAGATAATCATGCATCATTTGCATGTAAAGGCAACATTGCCTTCTTTTTTTTAACTCATATAGCTTTACTCCTTTTTTTTTTTTATCTTATTTTGCAGGCTAAAACTTCCAGAACAATGAAGAATAAAAGCAATATGAGAGGGCACCCTTGTCTTTTTAAAATTTTATTAGAAGACTTTTAATGTTACTCCATGAATTTGACTTGTGTCTAATAATTCTAAAAATATATACTTCTTGATAGTATGAAAGATTCTTCTTCATTAATTTTCTAAGTCCTATTATTTTTTGTAACTTTTGTTGCATCTATACATGTGTCTATGTTATGCAGCCATTGTGTCACTAAATGTTGCATTAAGTGAACCATGACACCAGCTCAATTATGATGTTACCTATGAAGACACTGGTTTCAGGAACTATAATTACTACAGAGTATATAGAAGTGGTCTTATCTTAGTTATTCACTACCTATATGAATGTTTAGAATATTTCCAACTGACCTAAGTCAAATGCTTAATAATCTGTATATGTGAGTAAATATAATCCTTGGCATTAATAATGCAGTTTTGTTATCCTTAGTATTATTAGGGAAGTTTCATGATATATTTTGCTTCCAGGAATGTTTCTTTGCATATGTAAAAGCTTCTGTGAAACAATAAGCATTTTTCCCAGCTTAGAATTATGTACAAGTTAGAAATTATTGAAGCAATAATGACTTAAAACTTAATACACTAGGTCAAAATTTTATGCATCCCAGTCAACAAAAGAACTCAGAATTAGCAAGTTAGCATCATCTAATAAGTATAATTTATTATATAAGTGACTCAAAGAATATAATTATTGGCACTATAAAAAACTGGTGAAAACAACGCACTAATAGGCTGTCATGAAATTATCTCTTATGTTTATAATAAACACTATTGGCAGGAACAGAAGTTTTTATCTCAGTCAAGCTAAGATGTTAATTTCTATTTTATTAATGAAAAAGGTAATTTGATTCTTTTGATTAATAAAAGAATTCAATATTTCAGGCTAATACCACTCTGCAATATTTCTTTTAGGAGACTCTCTGCAGACTGCTAAAAGGACCTCATTTGAGTAAACTGAGTATGTGAATGCCCTATAGAGCTGTTACGGAGAAAGAGGTAATTTCCCTTTGCCCTTTTCCACTACTCTTTTTATTATAGCTATATGGAATGTTATAATATTCCTTAAGACAGAGAAAGATGCTCTACATAGCTTGAATTACTGAACACATAAAGATTTAAAGGTTAGCCTTGAGGGACATTATTACACTTCAGGTCAATAATATCTACTAACCTTTTCCATATCTATTGGAAATAAATAGAAATTCTATAATACTGAATTTTACTCTAACTGAAAGTTTCTACAAAGTCTGCTTTGAGGCTAGGAGCTTGGGAGAGTGTTCCCAGGAGGATTTTATATAAGAAGACCAGGAGCATATGGGAAGCCAGCACTTTCCCCAACAATGTCTCTGGCTTTTATTTAAAAGAAGGTGCTGATGGGGCTCTTTCCTCCCAATGAAACATCCCAGGATAACTCAGCTGCCAGACTTGTTCCTGTCGCCTTTTAAAGTGGTCCATTTCAGAACAGGCTGTTGATAAACTTGCTCATTTTATGGCTTTTTTGAAAGATAGGTTTAATAAAAAGGAATGTTACTGTAGCTCTGATGAGCTAGTCTCTCCTCTGTTCCAAGGAGCTAGCAAACAAGTCATGTCCTGCCTAACGACAATATGACTTACATTAATAAAGTCTTATTAGCCCCAACATGACCTATGAATTCTACTCTAAACAGAGGGATGCTGTGCTATCCAAAGACATCATCATTGACTAGAGGAAAGTTAAAAACTCTGTACCCCTTCCAATTGGTCACCAGCTCTGGGCCTTTATGGACCTTAATTTCCTCATTGGTAAAATATGATTGCTGGACCAGAAGCAGTTTGGAGAGACACTTTTGTTCTAATTATAATATATGTCCACAGGATCCATGAATATAAGGATACAGTATTTTTTCAAGTTTTAATATTCTTACATGTACTCCTGCTCTAAATACATTAAACAGTGGTGATATATATATAATATATATATAATTTTTTATTTATGCATTGAGGTCTCTCTATATATAAAGAAAATGTGACAGAGAGTATATGTAGCCTGCAAAGTGAGGCAAAAATATTTACTATCTGACCATTTACAATAAAATTTTGAATACTCCCTGCTAGGAAATATCTTAGTTACCTTCTAAATTTATCCATTTATATCTTATTGCTATTTGGCCAACTTGCAATATTTAGGATTTTTAAGATACGTATTTCCACTATCTGTTTTTTCTGTCTTGTTGCCCTTTTTGTATCTTGTGGTGAGCAAAATATACAGTAGACCATGTAAGTTTATTTTCCTTTGTAGTTTTCACTTCTTTTGTCTTCATTAAGAAATGGTTTTGGCCTAGGGTAATAAAATTATTTTTCTATATGGTATTTATAAATTTCATGCTATTGTTTTATAAATTTAACTCTTTAATATCCCCTGGAAATGATATTTGTATTTGATATGAAGTATACATTAAGATTTAGTTATTTTCTTGTCTATGGATTACCAATTATTCTGCCCCTTTTATTAATCTAAAATCTAAATCTAAAAGACTAAAGTCTTTTAAATATTATTGCCCTGGCCGGGCGCGGTGGCTCACGCCTGTAATCCCAGCACTTTGGGAGGCCGAGGCGGGCGGATCATGAGGTCGGGAGATCCAGACCATCCTGGCTAACACGGTGAAACCCTGTCTCTACTAAAAATGCAAAACATTAGCCGGGCGTGGTGGTGGGCGCCTGTAGTCCCAGCTACTCGGGAGGCTGAGGCAGGAGAATGGCGTGAACCTGGGAGGCGGAGCTTGCAGTGAGCCGAGATCGCGCCACTGCAGTCCAGCCTGGGTGACAGAGCGAGACTCCGTCTCAAAAAAAAAAAAAAAATATTGCCCTATAGAGATATAAATTAATATAGTCATATTGGGACCTAATTTGGTATTGTCTAGTAAATACAAAGATGTACATATTATAAAACCCAGAAATTTCATTCATAGAAGTATATCATAGAAAATCTTGAGTGTGTGTGTGTACATATATGTACATAAATGTGTGTGCACATGTATATTTGTATATGTATACAGATATAGAGATACGAATAAAAAGTCTCCAGAAGCATTGTTTCTTACAGCAAGAATTTGTTAACAATGCAAAGTCCCACAATAGAAAAGCAAATAATCTTAAAACAGTCTTTTATACACAACATGGTAAAACCGAACCAACTACAACTTCTTGTATCTCATAAAAATTATATTGTGCAAAGTCACAGAATAATTTATACAGTAGCTTGCACTTATATAAAGTAAAAAAAATGCAAACCTAAGTCATTCCCTGTATAAATACACATTCATGTGTGTTTAAGATAAAAATACAAAACAAGAAAATAATAGGCTAAAAATGTAGGATTATGTTTACATCTGAGGATGGTAGAGGGCTACAAATTCAGAGAGAAACTGACAAGGGTTTCCAAGGAATTACTAACATTCTATCAATGAAAATATTTACACATATTTAAAATGGATTATAAATAGATGGAAAATAAATTGATTTTTGGTGGAGAGATAAAAGGGTCACTGACTCTAAATCTAATGCATTCACCATTACATTAAATTTATTTTATAGTATGTTAGATTTTTATACAGATTACTAAAATTTAAAAATTTTCCTTTATTTAGAACCACCGTTATAATGTTATATTTCCATTTCTTCAGTGTGACGGTTAATACTGTCAACTTGATTAGATTGAAGGATGAGAAGTATTGTTCCTGGGTGTGTCTGTGAAGGTGTTGCCAAAGGAGTTTAACATTTGAGTCAGTGGACTAGGAAAGGCAGACCTACCCTCAATCAGCTGCCAGCACAGCCAGAATAAAAGCAGGCAGAAGAATTTGAAAAGACTAGACTGGTTTAGTCTTCTCGCCTCCATCTTTCTCCCATGCTGGGTGCTTCCTGACCTCAAACACCGGACTCCAAGTTCTTCAGTTTTGGGACTCAACTGGCTTCCTGGCTCCTCAGCTTGCATACGATCTATTGTGGGACCTCATCTTGTGATCGTGTGAGTCAATCCTCATTAACAAATTCCTCTATATATACATCTACCCTATTAGTTCTGTCCCTCTAGAGAAGCCTGACTAATACATTGAGTAGGTATTATGTATCATGCAGAATGGGAAGGGTTTTTACAAGAATAAATTTTAATCTTAATCTCAAACTTTCAAGGTAGTTTTTGAAGATCAGATAAATTTACAATCTGCTCCAAATATCACAGCTAGTAAATGACATACTTGTCTTCTAAACTTCAGTTTATCTGGTTCTAAATAATATACATTTCAAATGTACAATTCTGGTGTATTATAAGACACAAGTGCTAGATTGCATAATAGTATATCCTTTAATTTGGAATATCAATGAAACTGTTTTCATGAGCCATGGGAATTTGTGAAAAAAAATGGATTGAGATTGGAGTTCAAAATTTGGCTGTATTTCTTATGTTATAGTCTTAGTTCATTCAATTGTAAAGGGACTCAATTATCTCTACTAGCTCAGGTGAAAAACTACAAACAGTCTGAAATAATTAATGTTTGGTTGTAGAGTATAACTCATTTGGAGTTCTATCAGCCTCTCAATGAATTCTTTCCGACTACCAGTTTAAATCTTAATGTAAGTGTAGCTGAGAAAGTTTGTCGTTTCTGCATTCCCAAGATCACTTGGCCAATCATGGTGATCTAAACCATTATCAGAACTCAACTAAAATATAAAATGCATGAAGCTAAACGTGCCTTCTTTTCACGACTTTCTAAGAGGAGTTTTGGTTAAGCTTTGGGGCAGCACAGGATATCCTTATGGAAACAAAATCTATAAGCAAAAGAGAGAAAAATAGAATGGATCTATCTTCTTGTGAAGTCCTTGTACATGTCTGGTAATCAGCCAGGTATTTCCCATCTGATAATCTAATTCACCCCTCCCAATTCTATGGGTTAAGTATTATCACACCATTTTCACGCTTGTGAGAAAAGACTCAGATTAAATTATCAGCCAGTATCCTTCAGGTGGCAAGTAGTTAGAGCCAGCAATCAAAGAAACCTTGCACTTTTGATCTAATGTTGCATCACAACTCTATTTTTGAACTGCGTAGAGTAGTATAGTAGCTACTAGAATAGTATAAATACAGTAGCCACTAGCCATTTATGGTATTTGAATACTTGAAATCAGACTAAACCAAACTGACTCGTGTTATACATTTCACATGCACACCAGAGTTCAAGAACTTAGTACAAAAAAACCACAAATGTGAAATATATAAAAACAGGAAGTGATTATTTTAATTATATTGGATTAAGTTAAAATTTTAAAAATTAATTTCATGGATTTCTCTATACTTTTAAAAATATTGCTAGTAGAAAATTTAAAATTACATATGAAGCATGTATTTTATTTCTTTTAGACAATGCTGGCATAGACTCTTTCATAGGGAGCCAGGGAAATTTAGTTTTGTAAGACACTTGTGCTCATCACTGTCTGTGATACCTTAAGCCAAATCTTAGTTTAACTGAGCTGTGTTTTTTCATCTAACAAATGTGGATAATAACATATGCTCTGCAGGGCTTACACTGGGGCTAGAGGCAAAGTATGTAAAGCATTTTCCAAGCGTCTGTACCATAAGGGGCACTTGAGACAAAGTAATAGTAATAATCTGTATAAAATTTTAAATTCTACATTTTGAAGCCCTTTGGACTCCAAACACTATACTTTTTCCACTTCCCATATGATTTCCCTATCAAAAAAGTTGATAGTATGCTCAACATCATGAGACCTCAAGAGGAAGTGAGGAGGTAAGAATATTGAAGTTTCAGATAAGCAAATGAATATGCAATGTGGGCCCTCGAAAATAAATGATGGCAAAACAACAAACTTTGAGTTTGGTTTCAATGTGTTTTTATTGTTGGCAATGAGGCTTTCAGCACTATTTGCTATAATCTTCCCACAGATAATCACATTTAACATTTTCCCACAAGTCTGCTTAATAAATATACTTATTTACGTGCAAAATCATTCAAAGGTTAAGCCCTTAGCTGTTACTTATAAATTATGTAGCTATATATCATGTATCAATTTTAGGTCCATCTAGGCAGAACTACATAAAAACCATGCCTGTAAGCGTTAACTAGGGCTATAACCATTCTCATAGAGGCCTTTGATAAATTCAAAATTTCTTGTAGATATTTAAACTTTCATTCTATGATGAAGACCATATATGCATTTTAGCATATACCATTATAGTAAATAAATTATAAAATTATTATTATGGTTCTGATATTAATCTACAAATTTCTTTTCACCCAGAAGTTCATACTAATGTTCAACCAGAGTAGCTGACAAATACTTCTGATCTGTTTGGGGCCTTCTTTGGCAGTCCCATGTTATTTTCCTTTTGTAGAGAGGATCTGTTTAGGATCTATTAACTGCAGGGAATCTGTGCATTAAAATGACAATTATTAAGGACAAACCTTCATCAGGTAATAGCTGCTATGGAAGCCTTTACTTCCCACCAATAAACTCCACTGAATGCTATTTACCTAATTTTCTTATTATGCCAAAGCACTGTGACATTCTCCAAGACAGTTTCTCTAATCTAATCACTCTCTATCTGTATTCTTTCAAATGAGAGACCAGCATGTGGTGCTTCTATGATGATCAGAAAGATATTTTAAGCAATTTTTGGCATGGAAAGTCACTTTTGGATTCAAATCTGAGCTGAAAGGGATATGTCATTGCAGAAATGAGGACTCTGTGACACTTCCTGTGCCACACCATGAAATCTCTCCTCTGTAACTGCTCAGAGACATTAACATCTAATTACTTTCTGCTCATAATTGTGAATGTTACATTTGCAAACAGCCATTTTCTAAGAACTAATATGGCTATTTGTGTCCAAAATCATCTCCATGTACTTTATTTTCTGTGGGCTAATTTTGAGAAGGTTGTTTACATCTTGAACAATTGTTTGTATACAAAAAGTGCAAAATGAGGGAATGTCAAAGGAACTAGCACCAGGTTTAATGCTTTGCCTGTTAAGCCAGTTTTTTTCTCACTAAAACTGTGTGTGTGTATTTTAAATATATATATAAATATATATATATTTAAATATATATAAATATATATTTAAATATATATATTTAAATAAATAAATATATATATATATATATATATATATAACTATGTATGTATATAGAGGGGGATGTGTGTGTGTATACAAACTATGTATATAGCCTGATGGAAGCTTCAGTCCTTCAAGAAACTTTCACGACAGCAGATGTCTCAGCTGGTCTGGCATGCTCTCTTCTCCCTCAATGGAAAGCAGGGATGATTCTCTCTGATTTGGCATGAATTCCCAAGACTAATATCACAGCATGCTCTGCTTTCTGCCTGTGGATACAAGGTTCCATTGCAGAGTGCCAAGGGTTTAACAATAGTTAATCTCTCAAGAAAAGCAGGTGGCCCTTGCCACTACTACTTCTATTATTGTCTAAGTTCCCCTGAGTCTCTGCCAGTTGCTTGCCTTTCAGACTTGGCAGAAGCCCAGAATTTGACTGACTTCGTTGTTACCCCCTCATGACTCATTTTTAGTGCCCATCTTTTCTCATGTTGTATTTCATTGTCAGTGTCCAAGAACACTTGACAATGTGAGTTCCTTGAATGTGAGTTCCATTTTGAAAAACATATGTTCCGTGGCTTCTTTTTTCTGTAGATCAACCCCATCTCAGTGACTGCATTCTCTAATTCTCTTGTGCAATGGAAATGCTAGCATGAGAGAAGGCGACAGCACCACCTCCAAATCTGCAGACATCCACCCTTTGATGTAGAACAATCACACTGGCCATGCCACATGAAATCCATAATTTGTATTATTCATTTGAGAATATATCATGATCAGAAAGCATACTCATATTCAAAGTTTAAGGAATTGTCTTTTTGTGTAATTTAATAAAGTATACACATTCCAAAAATAATGACACGAACTTGCTTTATCCAACATTCCTTGACTATCACTAAAAGTAGTAAAATTGGCATTTATTCTTTTTCTGCTTCAGCTCCTGGTTGTAAACCCTACCTGAACACCTACAGTCATAATCTGTAGCTTTATACTAGAACTTACTATAAACAAGCAGTACAACAGGGACCATAATTTTCCACGAAGAAAATGCACTGTAGGAGACATACCTGGTTCTCATTTAACTTCAGAAACATCAGCAGATACCCAAGACTCTTCAAAAATTGATTCACTGTTTTGAGAATAAGTTGAAGTTAAATAGATTCTTTCATATGGATGCACTATTGTATTTAAAACTGGAAAGGCTTTGGAGTAGCAGAAACAAGTAAAAGAGGAAATATTTTGCTAGAGAATGTGAATTGTACTGATGGCCATTCTGGATTTATTTTAGAAAGCAATGTATCAAGATGGTAATAATAAAGAAATATATGTAAATTTTTGTACTTGTATGGTTTGTGTATTCATTATTCACCTGTTTATTGGGAAATGTATGCTTTTAAAGATGTTACTATAAAAATTGCACAGAAAATATATACACAGAAAATCTAATTTGGTGGTAATTACTATGGGAAACTTTCTAGCTGGAAGTAATAGGCGTTTCCTTGATAGCTAATTTTTATTAGGTTACTGAAATTTAGATACTGTTTCTCATTCCTGTGAAGAATCTAAAAGACCACCTAGCATGAAGTAGAGGTCCAACAAATGTTTCTAATACATTCTAAATGCCACACAACACAGATGCCATTGGAAAGCTTTTCAAGTTGTTTGTAACACAGATAAATAAAGAGACATCTACTAAGACCTGAACAAATAACAATAACTATTTTTAAATTTAAACTATTAAATTATACATGCAGGACACTAGAAGGAATACACTGAGAGGAAGTGGAAGAAATATATCAACATGTTATTTTTGTTTTTATTATAAAGTTATTTATAAATTTGAAATAACATTCCTTTTCCTCCCTAGTCCAATTTCCAATCCTTCCATACATCTTCATTTCCTCATTCCCTAGGAGAACATCATGGAGTTTATGTTTTTCTTTATAGTCTATGTTTCTGAAATACACACACACACACACACACACACACACACACACACACATATTCCACACACACAGAGAGACACCGCAAATAGAGCATGGTATAGGGGGATGAGTATGGATTTGAATAAACATAAATGATATGAACAAGGGAAAGTTTCTGCAACTTGTTCTTTGCATTCAAATAAATGTTTGAAAGTCGTATCTACGCTCATGCATTTACAGTTAGTTCATTCATTACCCTGCTATATAGTGTTTCCTCAATTATTTCTCTAATGAAACATAGGAGTTGTGTTCTATTTTTTTATCTCACAAACAATACTACAATTAAACACATTTTGATGTGACTTCCTGAATATATCATGCTAGAGGTTTTTAGGTTATATATCTAGTAATAGAATTGTAGTGTCATAGGATACAGGCATACCTTAGAGACATTGCAGATATGTGTAAAAAACAATGTATAGAATTTTATTTTAGAAGACTTCTTTTTGCTAAAAAATGCTAACACATTTGAGCCCTTAGAGAGCCATAATCTTTTTGCTGCTGGAGAGCCCTGCCTCAGTGTTGATGGGAGCTGATTATGGTAGTGGTTGCTGAAGGCTGGTGTGGTCATGGCTATTTCTTGAAATTAGAAAATAATGAAGTTTGCCACATTGATTGACTCTTCCTTTCACAAAATATTTCTCTGTAGCATACAATGCTATTTGGTAGCATTTTATCCACAGTAGAACTTCTTTCAAAATTGCAGTCAATCCTTTCAAATCCTGCTGATGCTTTATCAACAAAGTTTATGTCATATTCTAAATCATTTGTTGTCATTTTACCAATGTTCATAGCATCTTCACCAGGAATAAATTCCATTTCAAGAAACCACTTTCTTTTTTCATCCATAAGAAGCGACTGCTCATCCATTAAAGTTTGATCACAAGATTGCAGTAATTCAGTCACATCTTCAGGCTCCACTTCTCATTCTTGTTTTCTTGCTATTTCCACCATATCTGCAGTTACTTTTTTTCACTGAAGTCTTGAACCCCTCAAAGTTATCCATGAGGACAGAAATCAACATCTTCCCAGCTCCTATTATTGTTGATATTTTGATGTCCTCCCATAAATCACGGATGCCCTTAAAGGCATCTAGAATGGTGAATCCTTCTCAGAAGGTTTTCAGTTTACTTTTCCCATATCCACAGGAGGAATCACTATCTATGGCAGCTACAACCTTTTGAAATGTTAATAAGACTTGGAAATTGAAATTCCTCTTTGACCCATGAGCTGCAGAATGTATGTTGTGTTAGCAGATATGAACACACCATTAATCTCCTTGTACATCTCCATCAGAGTCCTTAGATGACCAAGTGAATTGTCAATGAACAGTAATATTTTGAAAGGAATCTCTTTTTTAGCAGTAGTTCTCAACAGTGGGCTTAAAATATTCAGTAAATCTTACTGTAAACAAATGCGCCATCATCCAGGCTCTGTTGTTCCATTTATAGAGGACACACAGGCATAGAAGATTTAGCATTATTCTTAAGTAGCCTAGGGCTTTGAGAATGGTTAGCGAGCATTAGCTTCAACTTAAATTCATCAGCTGCATTAGCCCCTAACAAGAGAGTCAACCTGTTCTTTCAAACTGTGAAGCCAGGCATTCACTTTTCCTGCCTATCTACGAAAGTCCTAGGTAACATCTTCTTCCAATATAAGGCTGTTTGGTCCACATTGAATAACTGTTTTGTATAACCACAGGCTTTGTACCACAATCCTGAGAGATACAATCTCACATACCATAATCATAACTGTTGAAACCTCGACATATCCAAATCCCTAAAGTCTAAAATTCCAGACATATAGCTTCCCCAAAATCAATCACAGGATAGTTGCATCATCTTCAGTGGAACTATTACCTTGTTATTGTCTTTATTTGGAAATTAGGTATGGTTTAAGGAGATACATATGGGTGTTGTATTAGTCGGTTTTCACGCTGCTCATAAAGACATATCCAAGACTGTGTAAAGAAAAAGAGATTTAATGGACTCACAGTTCCACATGGCTGGGGGGGGGGGGCTCACAATTATGGCAGAAGGTGAAAGTCACATTACACATGGCAGCAGGCAAGAGATAATGAGAGCCAAGTGAAAGGGAAAACCCCTTATAAGCCCATCAGACCTCGAGAGACTTATTCACTACCATGAGAACTGTATGGGGGAAACTGCCTCCATGATTCAATTATCTCCCATCGGGTCCCTCCCACAACACATGGGAATTTGGGGAGCTACAATTCAAGATGAGATTTGAGTGGGGATACAGCCAATCCATATCAGGTGCCAACTTGACAAGGTGTGGACTTGTGCAGTTAATTTAGATGTCAACTTGACAGAATTAAAGAGTCCCTAGAAGCCTGGTAAAGCATTATTTTGGGTGTGTCTGTGAGGGTGTTTTCAGAGCAGTTCAGTGTATGACTCTGAGTGGACTAAGTGCAGAAGATATGCCCTCAATGTTGGCAGGCACCATCCAATCAGCTGGGGGCCCAGAGATAACAAATACAAAAGAAGAATCGGATTCTCTCTGAGATCTGGGACAGACTTTTCTTCTGCTGCCTTGGACATCAGAAATTTGACCCCATGAAAGTACATTATCACATTGACTTTGTATGTGATCATTGTGCATATCTTTAAAAACATTGAAACTTCCTCAATAAATGAAAATATTCCCTTTTATATATCTACATTTGTGAAAGATAAAATTTCTTGAGATCTCAGCTCTTTGGGCTGGATTGATCTTCTGTCCAGACCACTGAAATTTTCACCATGCCAGCTATGAAGCTGTTCTGCTTTCTTATCATTCATGTGTTCACTGGAGTAGCATTCTCAGTTTCCTTCAAAAACTTTTCCTTTGCATTCGCAGCTTGGCTAACTGTTTGATGTAAAAGGTCTAGCTTTAAGCTTATCTTGGCTTTTGACATACCTTCCTCACTAAGCTTAATCATTTCTAGCTTTTGATTTAAAGTGAGAGATGTGTGACTCTTCCTTTCACCTCAATGCTTGGAGCCTGTTGTAGGGTTATTAATTGGCCTCATTTCAACAATGTTGTGTCTTAGGAAATAGAAATGCTCAGGTGAGAGAAAGAGAGAGAGAGACAGCAAACAGCTGGTCAGTGGAGGAGTCAGAACACACACAACATTTTTTCCACTAAGTTTGCCATTTTATGTGGGAGCAGTCTGTGGCCCTTCAAAACCACTGGAATAGTAACATCAAAGATCAGTGATCATAGATCACCATAACAGACGTAATAATAATGAACAAGACAGAAATATTTGCAGAATTACCAAACTGTGACAAAGAGACACAAAGTGAGCTATTGGAAAATGACGCCAGTAGACTTGCTGGACACAAGGTTGCCACAAACCTGCAGTTTATTAAAAAATAATGCAATATATGTGAAACACAACAAAGCAAAGCATAATAAAACAAGGCACGCTTACATATATTGATTTTATAGATATTTCCAGTAGAATATTTAACAAACCTACATTCCCTCAGTGTTTCCTTTATCTTTACCAATAGTTAATACTCTCAATCTTTATAATTTTTATCAATAGAGTGGTTCTAAAATAATATCTCATTATTTTTTGCGATTGTATTTTAATGTTTTTTCTTTTATGTTTTTCTAAGTATTTTTTAATAAGCATATATTTATTTAGAAAAGGATACAACTCATTTTATAATTTTTTCTTTCATTTCACTTCAGTAAGTATTTAACATTATGCTGATTCCTATAATTACACTGATAAATTTTCTTTTTATAAAAAAGGTATACCTATCATTCTTGCCCTTATAGGACTTTCAGTTTAATCAGGCAGACAGATATGTAAAAAAAAATTACATTATTTATTGGTCTCTACAAAAATAAAAGTATATGGGAGCAGAGAATTAGGAGAGATTAGCTCAAAGGGAGGCATTTCCAGAGAATCCTTCTGGAGATGTGATGGATAAGTTCATATTAACTTTACTCTGAGGATTTTGTAGGCTTCTATTGAGGATCTAGGTTAATAGAACTGGTTAAAAAATAATATACAGACATAAATATGTGGTATATGGCAGAATGATTTGAAGATAAATGAACATTAAGATTCATTATAAGAAACAGGATCAGAATAAATTAGTATGGGCAGGTTGAATCAGGATGCCTCCCTCTTTGAGACCTCACAAATGACCCACTATGTTAAGTCCCTTTTCAGATTTTCTGGGACTATGACAAAGAACCAAGTTAGAGCAGAAATGGGAGCTGATAGTGACAGCCTATTAAAAGTTCCTCACACTTCTGATCAGAGAATCGCAATAGAGATAGTTGCATGCCCTCCTGGCAATGATGGATGACAGTCCCATAACTCTGTAGATGGGCCAATGCTTTCTGGTTCACCAAGCACTTTCAAGTTATTATGTTATTTATCATTCTATATTCTCAGTGAATGAAAGAAACAAGTTTCAGAAGAATTTGAGTTGTCTACATTCACAGAACTAAAATGTAATTCATTTGAAATGAAAATATAGAATTTTGAACTCTAAACTCATCCTTTATAGAAGTTCTTCTATTTTCCCTCTTCTAGGACTTACTTCTAAATGCAAATACTTGCCCATAAATTTTATATAATAGGTAAGTAGATAGAAACAGTTAGTAAGAGATTTTTGAGTACTCATTTCATTAGGAGAATTTTGAGTAATATAAAGATTGTACATTTGTAGTAGTACGTCCTTATACATAATGTCCTGTTTCTTAAATTTTGTATTTTTCCTTGCAATTTGGAATTTGTAGGTACATAACTAGTGCTTAGAATTGCAAGTGTATTCAATAAAGCTAATGATTGACTGAGAACATTTCAGCCAGTAAGGAGTTATAATCAAATTAATAAAGGTAGCTTGGGGAAAAAATGTCATTTTTGTTTTTCTTTGTAATGAAAAGTGATTTAATGAGACAATCTTGGAAGAATATTCATCTATGTATCCATTCAACAAATATTTTTTGAGCACTCACTATGTACAAGTCAGGGTAAGTATTTTACATAAATTATCTCATGTTAATCCTCATAACAGTACGATAATATACGACAATATTGAAATTGTTAACTTTATTTTAAGATAATGAAACTGCAAGAAAGAAGATTAAGTAATTTAATCAAGGTCACACATCTTTTAAGTGGCAGAGAGAACCTCAAAGCTTATTTCTAATCCACTGTGCTATACTGTAAATATGTTTTGTTATACTCTAACAATTTTGGGGACCTGTGGAGTTGAAAGCAATTGTCTTCTAGAGGATAATGACAGATTTTCAAATTTCTACACTTCCAAGTGTAAAATCCCAACTGATCTCATCAATGAATAATTATTAATAATTTAAATATTTTTAAAGCATAATGTCAGAGATACTCACATACTTTTGAATGAAGGAATTACATTTGTATGCATGATAATGTGCATTGTCAAGCCATTGATCACATCATTTTATACTTTCAGAAGGAGCCAAAGCAATTGTAATTGGTATAATAAAGCCCAGCTGGTGAGCCAATCTCTGGAATAACTCGGGACTAGCACAGCAGGGGCAGAGTGAAGAATGTATTTGGTAAGAAAGAAGTGATTTAGCATATGTCCTTTATTCCTCATATTTCTGACTGCAGTCACCAATACCTAATTTTATTTAAGGTAAAGCATCTTTGAATGTTCAGATGATTTATACTGGAAACCATGTCCTCATGCTAAACAAAAATAAGGGTAGATTAATCATGACGAATATAGAAAAGGAAGTAATTGATTCTTTGGTCTGAATTTTCCTCTGAGTTAATAGATTTCCCCTTTAGCAACAACAAGGCAAAATAATAAGGAAGGATACAAGATAACTTAAGTTCAGCTAGCTTTGGCACTGCCAGTCACTAAGAGCTTATCTAGCATTTCCAGCACTCTTCATGAATGGTCCTTCTGCTCTATGTTTAGAATAATAAAACCTTGTAGCTCCTCAAATGTTAACTTTGTCTTGGAGAAAAAAACCATAAATATAAATTTGCTGTAATGCAGAGTTCTCTCGTTTGCTTTTTGACATTTAAGAAAACTGTTACAAGGAAATCTATTCTGAGATAGATGTTCTACTACTTCTAAATGTAACAGTACTTAACAATCGTAAATATAATTTAGTGTTCATATCATACACAATTTAAGACATTTTTCACCATAATATGTTTTTAAAACATGCCTCAAGGAATCCTGGTGATTTCATCAACCTTGAAATTAATTCCAAGGTGTTTAGAAAAATAAAAAATGCTCTAACATGACATCACAATCTTCTTATGCAAAAGCTTGATGTTTTAAAGGTTTTTAAGGCTTTTTTACTGCATGAAAGCTATAGACAAAATGAGTATGTGTATAAACACATTGAAAGCCTAATAAAACTGCAAATATAAATTCAAATGAAGGTATGAGGATACAACTTCACATAAAATTTATTTCATTCAGTAGATGTTGAATATCCTGTATTGATGTCAATTTATCCAAAATCATATATCAACTACATCACAAGTTAATGAAGTTGAATAGAAACCTAGTTCATTGTACTACTAGCATGAGAAGTAGACACTAAAAGATTAATTTCCAAATTATTTTCATTCTCTTGAATATCTGTTACAATTGTTCTCTAGTCTTCCACCTCTTAATCAAAATTATAAATCATTATTTAACTTACTAAATATGTGGTATCTGTATTCCAATTCATTTCCACATCAACTATATTTTTAACATAGATGAATGACAACACAAATAAGAGGAGATAGGCTATTTTCCACAATATCTATACGAATGGAGTATACTGTACAATATAGATACACAGTGGGGTCCAAAATTAGTGTAAATATACACACATACATACCTGATAAATATATGCACATATATGCATATGTGTATATTAGGCATAAGAGAGTTAGCATTTCTCAGAGGTCCATAGAATCTGTCAAGCCAGAGTAGAGAGAGTTTGCTGAACCCCTTGAGCATTGAGACCCTAGAAAGACCACACTTCAGCAGTAACTGATTAGTCTAATCCTGGAGGAAAGAATACTCTTGATTGCTTTTTATGCAAGTCTAACAACATATTGAGGTAAAATTGATCCAGAATTAAAATAACTACCTGCCAAAATAAAACTCAATAATTTCTAAAGGAAACAAAGGGAGTCTTTAACCAAAAAACATTATAATGTCCAGTGCTCCTTAAAAAATTACTAGACATGTTCTACACGTAGCCTCAGTGATGGCCCCCAGTGATCTCTACCTTCTGATACTCATACCACTGTGTAATCACCTCCCATTGAGTGTGGGCTCAGCTGGGCTTGGTGACTTGTTTTCAATAAATAGAATAAGGCAGAAGTAATGGGATGTCACATTTGAAATTAGGTTATAAAATATTGTGACTTCCGGCCGGGCGCGGTGGCTCACGCCTGTAATCCCAGCACTTTGGGAGGCCGAGGCGGGTGGATCATGAGGTCAAGAGATCGAGACCATCCTGGCTAACAAGGTGAAACCCCGTCTCTACTAAAAATACAAAAAATTAGCCGGGCGGGGTGGCGGGCGCCTGTAGTCCCAGCTACTCGGGAGGCTGAGGCAGGAGAATGGCGTGAACCCGGGAAGCGGAGCTTGCAGTGAGCCGAGATTGCGCCACTGCAGTCCGCAGTCCGGCCTGGGTGACAGAGCGAGACTCCGTCTCAAAAAAAATAAAAAAATATTGTGACTTCCATCTTGGGTTCTCCCCCTCACCCCCTCTCACTCTCTGAGATCACGAGCTCTGACAGCATCCAGCAATCATATCATGTTAGTAGATGAAGAGGGCCATATAGCAAGTAACCAAAGCACTTGCAAACAGCCAAATGAGTGAGCTTGGAAGTACATCTTCAGTCTCTTTAGATGACTGCAACACTGACTGACAACTTGACTGCAACCACATGAGACACCTAGAGCCACAGCAATCCAGCAACACCACACCCAGATTTCTGACCCTCAGACACTCTATAAGATAATAAGTAATCATTGCTTTAAAGTGCTAAGTTTTAGGATAATTTTTATGCACCAACAGACAATTAATATGACAAAAAGAAAACAAGAATCTATGTCCCATAACTAGGAGAAATCAGTTCATAGAAAAAGATGCAAAGATAACACAGATTTTGAAATTAGTAAACAAATATTTTAAAATAACTGTTGTAAATGCATATAGCATGTGGGATCTATAGATATAATGAGAAAATAAAAGTGGTTAATGAGAGAATAGAAAGAATTTCAGCAAAAATTAAAACTATAAATAAAAAGCAACTCTTTGGATCACCCCTCTTGTGGGTGTGTGTGTGTGTGTGTGTGTAGTATGGAGAGAGACAAAGAAAGAAAAAATGATTAATATATGTTAATTATGCCTTTATCTAGACAGTAAAATTTTAAGAATTTCTTTGCATTTGTCTTTAAACTTTTTAATAATTTTTATAATTCTTACATTATTAGTATGCATTTTAAAAATAGTTATTTTCACAATTTTCTTCTAATACCTCCTCAGTATACCAAGACCCCAAGATGATAGCTTTTGAATGTTGCAAAAATAGTAATGGGAAATCTCAAAAAGTAATTTTCACTGTGGAAAATCTTATATAACTCCTTACTGTTTATTGAAATACAATAGGTTTTTTTAAGTATCAAAAATTGTAGCATATACTTAATTGAGTGAAAACCAGAAAGCATATTTCAGATAAAACTGGAATATATTTTAGTCATTTATAGCCACCATATTTTACGAATTCATAGGTTTTACCTTGTATTAAGTTATAAGACTTACATCTACAACGAATGTCTATGTAACCGTGATTGGAAATCCATTTGCAAGATATTCAGGGATATCATTAAAAAAAAGAATTATGTTCTGCATTTCTTGGCAGGCAGGGCAAGCTCAGGCTAAACTGTGGAGGAGTCAGTTGATCTTTGCTGAACACAACATTTCTTTTATACTCATTCACTCAAACTACCTCCCACATATTCATAGACTTTCCCATTGAATGATTAAGATGTTCATTTGTATATAACCCCCAAATATGCATTTATAATGTGATCACAGAAAACTGTGTTATGATATGTTGTAGCATAATGAACATAAGAGTCTGGGTGTCTTTATAAATATTTTCACAATGTTAGGATGTAGAGTGATTAATATGATTTCTTCATCGCAAGTACAAATTACATAATAATATGATGAATTTCCTAAGAGAAAAATCAATGGCAGAGAACTCACTGATACAAGCCCTGGATTGCAAGTTATAGAAAACACATCCAGTGAGGCAGGAGGGCCATATTGCCCCTTCATTCCTATAAGCTGCCTTCCTAAGTTATCTCTTGTCTACTTCTTCCTGCCCCCTACTTAAGATCCAAGGAAAGGTCATCTATTTTCAAGAAGTGTAATACATATCATTATCTCTATGCAACATTCCTCTAAAATCATATTTCTGTGCCCTTTTAATTTCTCAAAAAATGGAAAAACAAAAAATACTGCTTCACATTTATCAGAAAGTTTCACACTTTAAAATTTTATTCTATGAACAATAGTAGAAATGAAAAGTGGGACAGCAATGATAGAAAAAACCTAACTCTAGTTCTGAAAACTTCTATTCTCATAATTATGCAATTCAAAATCAGTATTATGGTTACTTGCTATAGCACTTTTTATGAATATAATCGTTTTAGCAAATTAGAATAATCTCAGTCAACAGATCATATGGTATGTCCAAATAAATGAAGTGTTCTGGAATATACATTACCGTGCCCACAGTATAACTGATAAAACAATAACAGATAAAGAAAGACAAGAGTTGGAAGAGTAGTGGATTTATCTCTTTGGTAAAAATTGCCAGAAACAATAACTTGTTGATAGATGAGAGATTTCCTCCCAATTGCTGCATTTATGCTTGGGAATTTTGACAGTGAAAATCAAATCATTTCATTGACTTTACAAGCAGGTCTAACATACAATACATACTCAATCAAGCTCATTATTAAAGTTGGACATTGTAGATTAGCAGAAAGATCATTAGCTTCATAATCAGAAAGCTCTGTATTTACAATTCAGTTCTTTGTTTACACTAGATCTTTAAATTTACTGAATTATAATTTCATCTTCTATAAAATATGAATAATACAGATTCCTCAATTGTCTGCTGTAAAATGTTTGTACAATGCTTAGTCCTGTGCTTAGTACAGGATTAGAAAGTTCTTAGCAAATAATCCAATATTATCATTGTTGTTGTCTTGGTGACTATGTAGTCATTTCTTATTATTCACAGTAGCATATTCTATAAAGTTACTACAAACAATAAATTAGTGAATACTAATTACTGCTCCAAGGGGAAATACTGGGTTAGGTTCCTTTGAGCCACTGTTCACATTAACATCAGTGAAAATGCCATTTGTATTAAAAAGGTTCATTTGACAACGTCCTTGAAAAATAATCCATTATTATTACTGTTGAAATCCTGCTCTTCCATATAACTCTTTTCCCGTATAACATGCAGCAGGTACAATCTAACCTCATTATTAATGGATTTCATATTGTCAAATTCACCTACTCACTAAATTTATGCATAACCCCCAAATCCATAATCTCAGTGCATTCACAGTCATTTGAGGACATGTGAAAAGTGGCAACAGAGTTGTGTCACCTAATGGGAAGGTTCCCAACTGAGCTTGAACAAGGTAACCCTCCGCCACTTTGTTTCAGGTCCCATAATTTAAATAACTGTCTATCCTTCTCATGGTCCATTTAGTGTCATGTTTTTGGCATTTTGTGCTTTTTGCTTGTAACGTTTAAGATGGCTTCCAGGCATAGGACTGAAGTGCTGCCTGGTGTTCCTGAGTGCAAGAAGACTCTGAAGTGCCTTATGGAGAAAATACATGTGTTAGGTTCACCCCTTTGTATGCCTCAGGTTGTTCTAGGCAAGTGCTTTATCTGGTCCAATCAGGAACCGGAGAAAACATTCTCAGGTTTGTTCTGGCAATTTATAACACATTGGGAAAATCTGAGTTCATTCAATCTTCTTTTAAAAATCTAAAGTGAATGTTGTTTTCTTCATTTTACAGAGGAAGAAAATGAGAATTTGAACTGATATGTTTCATAGTGATATTAATCACATTCTTTGGATAAAGGATTTTCTGATGAGAAAAGGAAGAAAATCATGAATGACTTCACAACACAATTTTTACCTGTAACCAGCCAATACTTCAAATTTTAGATATTAGATGTGTGTTAGATTGTAAGAGATCTTGGTAATCATCATGTTCAACTTCCTGCCCCAGTCAAGATTCTGTTTCTACATCTTCATTGATAGATGCTTCCATTGCTACTTGAATATCTAGGATAGGAAGAAACATTCTTTATCAAAAGGAAATTCATTCAATTTTAAATCACTTACATATCCATAAAGCTGTTTTAAGAGTAAACTGAAAAATGTTAATGCAAGCCATTCATTCCATTTTAATTTTTAGAGAAAACATGACCTTGTTATTTCTTTTCACCTGACCATTCTTCCTGTCATATGGTAGAAACTTCCAAATGCATTTCTAGTTCACTCCCAGACTATGTTAGTCACTAGAAATAAAAGTGGAACAGAAATTAATAACTTTGATACATTTAGCAAATGTAGTTTGAAAATCTTAATAGTTGTAACTACAACTAAATCTATATTAAGTTTCAGCAATAAGCCAGAAGATTCGTCAAAGTCTTTTATTTGTAGAAACAATTTCAACAACATTCTTTTCACTTTTTTCTGCAAAAATTTACCTATACTACGAGTCTGATATATGACTCAAAGTTTGCATCTAGATAGATCGTTAAAAATGGTTGACTACACAATAACAGAAAGGAAAGAAGAAAGGAAGGAAGGAGAGAAGGAAGGAAGGAAATATAAAAGTTATATTCAAAATTGGAAAACTATTTAGTTTTAAAAGGACAGATAGTCATAATATATAATGACCTTAATATATAAATACTTTTTCCATGTCCATGAAAAGATAGAAAAACGGTCAAAGATATGTGGCAAGCAGCCTCTAAGATGATGCCTAATATCTCATTTTCTGTTATTGATGCCCTTATATGATCCTTTCCCCTTGAGTATGAACTCTACAAGATCACTCCCTTCTAATGAATAAAATGTAGCAAAAGTGATAGATGTCACTTCCAAAATTAGATTAAAAATTCTGCCTCGAGCACACTCTCTTACTGTCTTTCTCACCCTTGAGGAAGCCAGCTGCTATGTCATGTGTACCTCCATGGCAATACACAGATAGCAAACGACTGAGGCCTGACAACAACCACATGAGTGGGCTTGGGAGCAGATTTCCTCCCCCAACAGTTCAATCTTCAGATTAGACAGTATCCTTCATGAAAACTTCACTGGAACCTCATGAGAAATCTTGAGCTAAAGCACCCAGATAAGCTGCGCCCAGAATTTTGGCCCACAGAAACTGAGAGATAATAAATGTTTAAGTTGCTGAATTTGAGGATAATTTGTTACATAGCAGTAGGTAAGTATTATAGAATTATAATTATAATTAATACTATTATTACAATTGATAAACATCAAAGAGATGATTTATGGAAAAAAATTGTTAACCAAGATTTATACAAATATCTTTAACACCATTAGGAATTTGATAAATAAAAATTGAAACAGTAATGACCACTTTTACAGCTCAAATTGAAATATAGAATAATTTAAAAATTTTACTTACTGAGTTTCTAAAAGAAATAATGTTTGTATTCATGTTTGTTTCTGAGTATAGGTTTTAGAGATTTCAAAATTGAAAATTTTGATTTATTGAACGTCTAAAGGGAAGAGGACACAACACATACAAACATGTGTCCTCTCCCCTTGAGACACACATACATTTATGTGTATCTGCATATTTGTGTTGAGGATTGAGTGGGCCTTGCAATAGAAATGCCCTATGTCTCATAAAAAAACTCAGAAATGTTTCAAGTTGTTCTCGTTATACTGTACATTACTTTAGATCCTGTATGTTTCATGTGGCACCCAGGATTCAAAAACTAAAAGATTTGGGTTCTTTTCATCTCTACCATGAAGTTTATGAGCTTATATATAATTTTTTCCCAGAGCCTTAGCTCCTTTTCTCTATAAAGTGAACATCGTACTCATAACTTTCTGTACAAGGTAGTAAAAATTATTGAGATAATGTATGTGAAAATGCATTGTAAATAGCAAAACAGCATTGTAGGTAGCTCATTGTAAATGAGCAAAGTGATATGTATTTATAAAGTGTTATCATCTTGTAAGTTCTCATTCCCCAAAGCATTTGTGGCTCTAGGGTAAAACTATAACCAGTGAAGGTAAACAGCCAGGTTTTAGCCTCCACTGAGTTCTAACACTAGTCAATTACAGCTCTTGTTTCTAATTTTGAGTGAGCAGAGAACCCTGAAATTCATTAAAGCTTAAAGGTATGCAGCCAAAGAATCCTATTTCTACACAATAGGCCTCATCCTATTTGGTTCATCCTTCAGATTTATCCTGGAGATAAATATATTTATTTCAGTAAATTACAATTTTTAAAGAGTAGTCATATATTTGATCTTCACCAAAACTCTGTTAAAGGCAAGCATTATCGTTTTTGTTTGACAAGTGAAGCAATTAAGAAATAAGTAAGTTCTCTAATGTTATATTCCCAATAAAACAGCTGGAACTCAAGAATTATGAATTCTAGGGCAGTATTGTTTGCTGTGTTTTTTTTTTTTTTTGTGGCAACAGTACTTATAATTTTGAATAATTGAAGGTAACTCTATGTCCAAAAATCAGGGTGTTGGGTAAATAGTGGTACATCAATAAAGTAGTATATTGTATAGTTATCCAAAGTGATAATAAAGAAGGATACAGGCAATTGCAGGTTAGGTACATTTGTATGTATTTTATAATTGTAAGTATTTCTCCAGGAAAACAGGTGCAGGTCAAAAGGAATATGAGATCTAAAATAAAGTGCTACTATAACATTTTTACTTTTTTCTTTTTTCCCATTTCCCATAATTATCATAATAACTTTAATATTTATACCCATAAGTTTCCAAATTAGATGGTTTTCCAAAAATGCCTATTCTTGGCTCACTTTAAATTTTAGTAAACCATCTATCTATTCCACCTGTGCTTTGGCATTCAGAGAGAAAATACTTCACAAAAGAATCTTTGCAAGAAATATTTCTCCAAGACAGCACAGTTCCCAGTAAAATGATCTGAAATTAGTCTTCTGAGAAAACATGTATAGAAATATCACATTAGAGGGAAAATGTTCTTTTTATGGTTAATCAAGTTGTTTCAATAGCTGAACTCAATGCAGAGTTCAATGAAGTAATCGAAAACCTTGTTCTTAAACATCTATTATTTTTTATTTCACCATGGACCCTTCTCAATGGGTCTATATTTTTTCTACAAAGGTTATTCTATTCACAGGTAGATATATTTCTGAATATGTCTAATCAGGAGATATCTTTTCTTCTTTCCATCTTTGTCATCCTTTCCACTCTGAGCGGCGTTTCCCTGCTGAAAATTTCAGTTGACAGTATAAATAGCTATTAACCTTAAAATGGGGTTGACTGGTGCAATAGAATTCTAATGAGAGAGAGAGAGAGAGAAAGAAGGAAAGAAAGAAAGAAAGAAAGAAAGAAAGAAAGAAAGAAAGAAAGAAAGAAAGAAAGAAAGAAAGAAAGGAGGGAGGAAGGGAGGAAGGAAGGGAGGAAGGAAGGAAGGAGAGAGAATGAAAAAGAAAGAGAAAGGAAGGAAGGAGAGAGAGAGAAGGAGGGAGTGAGGGAAAAAGAAAGAGAGAGAGAAAGAGAAAGAGAGAGAAAGAAAAAGAAAGAGAAAGAAAGAAAGAAAAAGAAAGAAGAGAAAAGAAAAAGAAAAGAAAGGGAAAGAAAAGAAAAGAATCAAAGGCAGGCTTTTGGATGAGTGAGGAGGGATTCCATTGGCAGTCTGTCTTTGAGATGTTCATTTCATTGTATTTCCTTGGCTTTTAAAACATCTACGTGGGTAGTGATAAGCAAACGTAAGGAAAAACCAATTGTAGACAGCTTCATGCACCCTTGAAATAGATATTACTTGATTTTTCAGCTCACATAATAAGTGATAGAAAAGAACACTTTGCTTTTGTAATTAAAATTTTAAAAATGAAGTAAGTCCTTTAAAAAATTCTGAATATAAACTGTTCACCCAATTTAAAAAGTTCATTTGCCTTCAGTTGACAATGTAGAAAGGGACAGATAATTGCTGCTGTCTATGTCAACCTTCTGAAGAGCTTTCCCAAATCAATAAGCATTCAGAAATTTTATTCGGCCTGAAAATTTTCCTTAACTTCACTCACACTTATTATAAAACCACTCCCTGACCATTTTTGCCCGCTCTTAGAGCCCTCTATATCATTAAGTAAAAGCCTAGCAACCATTTCCCTGCAAAGATAATAATTTTTTTTCTCACCAACAAAAATTTTCATCAAAATCAAAATGAAGGACACTGGAAAGCTTTCTAAGAGAATGCTAAATTTCCTTCAGGACTATATCAAGATGATATTAAAATAGCCACCCATGGTAATATTATCTTCATTTTTCACCATATATGCCATGCAACTGATTGATTTTGTACAGATTTCAGCAGAGATGATAATTTGCTTTGGTGTCACGTTGATATAGTGCACGTTTAATATCAGATTTTTTAAAAGTTCTGTTTTACCACTGCTATGTTTTGTCCATGAGGTCTAAAGTTTATTTTTCATGTTTAAGCCATAGAGAGAACATACAGAAGAAGTCATAAAGAAATAACTAAAGAAACAAATAGCTTCCCATATTGCCTGATGTGCTCTTTCGTCTCCATCCTGACATCCCACACTGACTAGAGAGTTTCTGCAGTGGTAGGCTTTGTCTGTGGGGTTAGTTGCTCTTTATTTTGTATTTGTTATGCTGGGGGGAGGGGTTCTCATCCTGGGAATTTCATGTATTTTCCCCTTCTGGCAATACTAATAGACTGAAGCTGACAAGCATCTATTGTTAAAATCAGAAGTTGCAGACTTCGATTCAGTGCCAGGAGTTATTCGGAAAGACATTTCTTTCCTAATAATGGTACCCTCGTTTGTATTTCCCACATCAATTTAGTAATTAAATGAAGCCAGGAAATACTGGAATTCGTCTTACTGCAAATTATAAACCTTAAAAACAACCAGGACACATCCCAGTGGCCTCAAAACTGCCCTGGGTTCAGTTGTCACTGAGTGCAGTTTTATCCTCCAACATTCGCTGCCAAGTAGACTCCTGCTGGGGCTTGACTGAGTCCTCTGGGTATCTGTGTGAGCAGCAACACTTAAAATTCACACTCTGTACTCCTCAGCGTTGGCCATTGCTGGAGACTGTTTTCAGACCAGAGAATGCAGCACACTAGAACAACAGAACATTTTCTCCTCCTTCTGAACTGAAAATGAAATCTGAAAGGAATGTTGTTTCTCATTTTCCAGTGAGATTTTATAAACAGGCCATTTCAAAGACTTCTTAGTAATGTCTTTAATTGGAGGCAAAACTCTACCAACAAAGCCAAACTTCTGAGGTGCTGTTGAGAAACAGAGCCACAGACCATTCCAGTGCAGTGTCTGGGGTAATTTCTGAGATGAGGGTGGTGATAATGGGAGTGATGGTGATAATGGGAGTCATGGTGATAATGTCAGTTGAAGTATTTATTGTTTTTTTTTCTGGAGATAGCAGTTAAGCAAAGTGAGCAGCTCCATTTAACATATGGTCAGAATTTCCTCTATAAATGATTATCAGGGAGAACCAACACATTCTATGCTTTTTTTTTTTTTTTTTTGGAGGACAGTCTATTTTGAAGTAGAAAGTTTCCTTAGTTACTTTCTATAACAGCAGTGTGGCATCTTACAAAATAATTTGTAGATCTAATACCATACAGGAAACACACTCAGAGACAATCGAGAATGAAGTGTCCAGCATTTTCTAAAGATGATAAGCCAAAGGCCTGTGGCAACTTTGGTGGAAAATTTCATTGAATAAATTCCCATTTGAAAGTCAGTTCAATATGATAGGTCCACAGAGTTACCTTACAGTGTAATTACAATGTAAAAGTCAAAAGGTGGTTTAAGAAAACAACAACAAAACAAACAAATAAAACAAATAAACCTTACCTCCACTCTCAAAAATAGAAGGATGCATTTTGGAGACTCTATTTCTTATCCGGAGATCAGCAAAAATTATAATTCTTCAGCCGAATTTTGTCCTCACCCGAGTCCAGAGCAATTTTTTATAGGTAAACTGTGGCATTTATTAACACTTCCTGGGGCCAAGAAGAGTTCATAAGTTGTTCTTTAAAGTGTTCTGAGGGCCAGTGTCAGTTGTTTGGGCTTCGGACCAAGTACAGTTTTGCAGTGTAACCTACCCTACTCCTTCATAACTAGAAGCTGCCAAAATGATGTCTCCTACCTACAATATAAATGTCACATTGCAAGATCATCAGCAGGCTCCTTCCTTAGAGGCCAGCTGTTGAGTGGGCTATGTCTGGTAGCAGCATGGAACAGGAGGCAGGCAGTGCCAGAGATGATTAAAGAAAGGAAGTACCAAAAGAAGAAATACACAACAGCTGGAAAATGTGCAAGAGGCCTTTAGAGATGGTGTGCAAGTCTTTCGAGAAAGTATCTTAATAAAAAACACATAGCTGAGCTTGGAACCCTAAAAGGAATGAAAGAATAAAAGACCATGGCAACAATTTAAACTCCCTTTCAAGAATTATGTCAAAAAGGCCCATCAAGAAATAGGAGATATTTGAAGAGAAGATGTTTGTGGGTTTTTTTTATTTTCTACTTTCAAGTCCTCCTACAACTTTAAACTTAATGTTTTCACACTATGGTGAAAGTACCTAATTGCTTCCCCTCAGCAGGAGAGAAGCCTGGTGCCTTTAGAGTGTAAAAGCAGGAGGCCCCCAAGAACCTCGGATGAAGGGACTGGTGAAGAGTCACATAATATACACCTACGTACAAAGAACATGAGAAATACAGTGTGACCTCATCAACAGGGCCCCTACTAAGGAATAAGACTACCAATGCATCTATACACCTCAGCCTGGGGCTGGCATCCTGCAGAGATATGAACAAGAGAAAGAGAAAGAAGAACAAAAACAAAACAACCTTAAAACACTTAAATATAGCACTGGTTCACTTTTTAAATTGTATTCATTTATTCTTTCTTTCTTTTGCTAAAAAATTGGCCTCAACATTTGCCAAGTGTGCTATGCTTTTTCAGCTTTGTTTTGCCACATGACTGAGTCTTTAGTATCACTTAATGGGCTGGCAGATCATACAGATAGTCAACTCAACCAACTGCAGCCAAAGGTAGACACCTCAGGACATCTAATGTTCACAGTGGGGTTGAATGTAATCTGGTTTCTAACCCATAGGTGCAAACATTAGGAGTTTGTGAGCAAAATCTCCTCCTATTTGAATGGTTTCATCTCCTGTCACAGGAACCTCAAATATCGGTGTCTGTATCTGAATACTTTTCTCTGCCTGACACCCTCTTTCTGGCTCATCTAAAACTTCTTCAGTGGAAAGTGTGACATTAGCTCTTGTGCAACTTAGCACATCCAGTTGGCTGAGAGTTAATTTGGAGACCATAGTAATTGTTGGTTGAGGTATGACTAAGGCCTAGACAGTTTTGATTTCTAGATCAAGTAATTGATCCAGTATGCAGCTGTTTGCAGACTTGCCCCAGCCAGGCAGAGGGGTGAAAATGCAAATCTTCTCAATCAGAAAAGTTTAGTGTGATTACTCAAGGGAAGGAAAACTAAGAATAGGTTCTGCAATCCAGGTGGCATCCTGCATGTTACATACGCTTCACCATGTTTTGAATACACATGATAAAAAGTTTTTCTTTTATTCCTTTAATAAGCCAGATTGATTCAGGGGCTTAGAATGTCTCTCAACTGTATGTCAGAAGTCCCACTTGTTAAATTTTGCTCAAAACCAAAACTTCTGGGACATTCAAATGTTGAAATATTATCTACCATGGAGTTGGAACTCTAGAAAAGTATTGCTTCAATCTGTCCCTTGTTTCTGTGTACTCATTTTTCATTAAAAGGGATAGCAAGTGCCCTGAGCTAACCGTTATAGACTGGCATTTTTTCAATTCCTGGAAACAAAGCCACAATATAAGACACAATAAACAGAAAGACAAATAAAGAGGGATTGGGCAATACTATGCTATGTTGCTTTTTCTTTAATAATGGAGTGGCAAAGGTAGGTATGCAGAGTATAATCTAACTGGTCTCCAAAAGGAAGAAAGATGGCCTGTGAGAATGATCTATGGAGTGGGAAATCTAGCTCTAGCTTTAATTTCTTATGTGTATATGACTCTTTATATGCAATGAATTTTTATTTTAGCCATTGATATGGTTTGGCTGTGTCTCCACCCAAATCTCATCTTGAATTTTAGTTCTCATAACCTCCACGTGTCATAGAAGGGACAAAGTGGGAGGTAATTGAATCATGGGACAGTTACCTTCATGCTGTTTTTGTGACAGTGAGTTCTCACAAGATCTGATAGTTTTATAAGGGGTTTCTCCCCCTTCACTCTCATTCTTCTCCTTCCTGCTGCCATGTGAAGAAGGATATGTTTGCTTCTTCTTCCACCATGATTATAAGTTTCCTGAGGTCTCCCCAGCCCTGTGGAACTGTAAATCAATTAACCCTCTTTCCTTTATAAATTACCGAGTCCCAGGTATGTCTTTATTAGCAGTGTGAGAACAGACTAATACAGCCATTATCTCATCTTCAGTATTGAATCTCATGTAATTTCTGCCTACTGGTGGTAGGAAGCACCAGCACTCCAGAACATTTTGTGACATTAATAAAATCAGAGGTTTCCCTAACCACTTCAACTCACTAAACCTGAAAGTTTCAAACACCCCAGCCCACCAACCCATAATCTATATAACATGCTCCTCAAATATAATAAAACTGAACAGCTGGGGTTAAAAACTTAACTTTTTAATCCTGGGCTTTCAATGTTTTCTTAGTGTTTAAGTTAGCCTTAACCTGAAACAGTCAAATCAAATCCAAATTATTGATTTAAAAAAAATCAATAGAATGGAAAAATCTCAAGAGTGGCAATGCTAGTTTGGGGAGGGGGAAAGGAAATCATTTTCTATATGAAGACATAAAGAATCATAGTAAGCAAAGTTCTAAAAATCCTGCAGTAAAGATATCACTTACATATACTGATACATATTACCCATAAAATTAGTCATGTGTTATGCAAAATGGTGTGTTCTTTCTGAGAAGATTCTTCAGTAAGCTTGATCAAGAACATTAAATATGAATATAAGGAAAAAATCATTTACATTGTTGAAAAGTAATTAAAAATATATTTCACCATATGTTTCTCTGTCATTAGTTCACTTCAGAAAAACAAATTCCTAACACATTTATTATCCCCCATCATTTTTAAAAGAGACCTAATGTTCACATATGGCACTAAAGCCATGTGGATAAATTGAATCAGCTCTGAAAAGAATTTCAAGAAATTTATTTGTCTGAATTCAAGGAATGATATGAAATGACTTAATGTGGAAATCCTTTCCCCTTTTATAAGAAAACTGTTGGTAAGTTTCATTTCCACATATGGCTCATTCAGACTATACTGGTTGAAGGCCGTTGTTAATGGACTGAATTTGGGTCTCCCCAAAATTCAAAATTCCTAATACTCAATGTGATAGTATATGGAGGTGGGGCCTTGGGGAGGTGATTAGTGCTAAATGAGGTCATGTGGGTGGGTCACCATGATTAGGTTTGTGTCCGTAAAAGAAGAGAAAGACACTAAACCTCACTTTCTGTCTGCCATGTGAGAATATAATGAGAAGTCAATAGTCTACAACCCAGAAAAGGGCCCTCACCAAGAACCCAGCCATGCTGGTACACTGATCTGAGACTTCCCTTATCCAGAACTGTAAGAAATAAATATCTGTTGTTGAAGCCACCAGTCTATGGTCATTTGTTATGGCAGCCCGAGCTGACTAAGATAGTCATTTAGAAGGCAGCACAGTCTATATTACCCCTTTAATGATGTGAATATGAGAGTTTTCCATTTAATTAAAAATAGTTAATCAAACACAGAGTTTTCACTTAAAATCCTGGATAGTGCCTTTACAGAGATGATCATTTTAGATTATTCAACATGATTTTTGAATTCATGGAAAATATTCAAAAGAAGCATACATCTTTAGGTAACAATGAAGCTTCACATTCACAAAATATAATGTTTGCCAGATAAATCACTTAATCAGAGAAAATATGAAATGAGGGATTGTTTTACAAATAACAACATAATACACAACTTTTTTTTTTTTCTGAGATGGAGTCTCGCACTGTCACCTGGGCTGAAGTGCAGTGGCACGGTCTCAGCTCACTGTCACCTCCACCTCCCGGGTTCCAGCAATTCTCCTGCCTCAGCCTCCCAAAAACTTTCTTTTTTAAATAATTTCAACTTTTATTTTGGATTCAGGGGGTACATTTGCAGGTTTGTTATCTGAGTATATTGCATGTTGCTGAAATTTGGGGTACAGATCCTGTCAACCAGGTAGTAATCATAATACCCAATAGGCTGTTTTTCAACCCACACCATCCTCCCTTCCTTCTCCCTATAGTAGTCACCAGTGTCTATTATTCCCATCTGTATATCCATGTGTAATCAATGTTTAGTTCCCACTTATAAGTGAGGACCTGCAGTATTTGGTTTTCTGTTCCAGCCTTAATTTGCTTAGGATAATGGCCTCCAGCTACATCCTTGTTGCCACAAAGAACGTGACTTTGTTCTTTTTTATGGCTGCATGATATTCCATGGTATATATGTGTACCACGTTTTCTTGACCCAATCTACAGTTGATGGGCACCTAAATTGATTCCATGTCTTTACTATTATGAATAGCACAGCAATGAGCATATGACTGCATGTGTCTTTTTGGTAGAATGATTTATTTTCTTTTGGGTATATACCTAGAAAGGGGATTGCTGGATTGAATAACAGCTCTGTTTTAAGTTCTTTGAGAAATCGCCAAACTGCTTTCCACAGTGGCTGATCTAATTTACATTCTCACCAGCAGTGTATAAGCCTTCCCTTTTCTCCATAACCTCAGCAACATTTGTTATGCTTTCACTTTTTAATAATAGCCATTCTGACTGCTGTGAGGTGGTATCTCACTGCGGTTTTGATTCGCATTTCTCTGATGATTAGTGATGATAAGCATTTTTTATATGTTTGTTGGTCACTTTGCATGTCTTCTTTTAAGAAGTGCCTGTTCATGTCCTTTGCCTATTTCAAAGCTTTCTCAATGGATGTAATATCTCCCATGTTGTAAGGACCAATACTTCATAATTAGAGAGCCTGTGCCATATTCTTTGGATGGCATTTTGGCTTTCGCATTGCTGTGGCTTTAATGGGCTCTTGTCCAACTATGCCTTCTGTTCCTAAGATTCATTCCTGGAATTAGGTTCCAAGAAGATAGAGTCCAAATTCTAATCCTGCATGTATTCTGATCTTGTATTAGGTTGTTGGATCAATAAACATGACAGAGAAGGGGAAATGTCTTTTATTGAAACGTGGGCAGAATGACCACTTCCCTCAAAAAGTACATACAAATAAAGAATTAAAAATAAAAAATATATATATGTTTAGTAAATTAGTAAAAACCCTAATACAGATAATGCTGTTTTGGACACAAAATACCAAGGCATAAAATCAGGTTGATACTATCCTTTATTACCACAAATTTTTTTTTGTAAATTACAAAAGGTAAAAAAAAATGGTAACTCTGTATCTTTCTCTTTAAAGGTTTTTCTTCTTGGACTCTTATTTTCCCAGGTTCTAAAGATGAAAATTAAATAGGTGGTACCATTGTGCAAAGAACAAGACCGTGGTCCTCCTAGTGGATTCTAGCTCACAGCTTGGCACATAGTTTGGGATGGGGTTCAGCATTCCTTACCCCCTCACAGGGAAGTTTTTTAATGTTTTGTTTTGTTTTCTGTCGATTTTTTTTTAATACACAACTCTGTAACAGTGTTGGAAGAATGGACAGATGGATAGATGTATAGATGATAAACAGAAAGATATAGATAGATGGGTATATAGATGGATGGATACATATTATGTATCCTTTAAGGGAGGAGGTTTTCAAGAAAGAAATGCAAAAGAAAAAGTTTGCCATACAATTTTTTTATAGAAAACACAATGCCAAATGATGATGTCCTTTCTAGAAGTCAGATCATCAACAATAAACCTTAATTATCCATGTAGGAATCAGTGCCACCATTTCCCCAATTGCCCTGACTTACATTTTCTCTCACACTCAACATCAGCAAGATGGCTGGGAATAAAGCTAGAGAAATAAATGACTAACTGACTCTACTTCCAGGTATGTCTGAAATCTAACCCCTTCTTTTTACTTCCACCATTAATCACACTAATCCAAGCCACCAAGGCCACTTCTCTTCAGAACTGCAGAAGGCTTTTGTTTTTTTTGTCTCCTTTGGTATTTCACTACATTTTATACTCAGTCTAATAGTCAAATTATCCATTTAAAACACAAAATATATTGTCTGTCGCTGGTCAACACCCCCATGTCCCCCAGTGGTCTTCTACTACATCTAGAATAAAGCCTAAACTTTTTTATTGTGGCTTCTCAGGCCCACCATGGTCTGGCTACTGGGTACATCCCCATATCATAGAGGTATTGCCTCTTCCTTGTTCTCTCTGTCCCAGACACCCTGGCCTATTGGCTGTGTCTGCTATGTAATCAGCACAGTGCAGGGCCTTTTCACATTGCCTGAGATGCTTTCCTTTCCCTGATGTAGTGTTTGTCCAGACCCTTTCTCACTCTACTCTACGACTCCACTCAGGTCTCTGTGCAAACGTCACTTCCTCACAACACCTTTGATCCATCTATCTAAAATAGATACCCCCACTCTTCCCTGCTTTATTTTTTACAGAATATGTATTATATTATATTATAGTATAGTATATTATAGTATATTATCTGGGTTTTTATCTCCAACAATATAAAATGATTTTCATAAGTAAACAGAACTCCATCTGTCTTGTCTTATACACTTATCAGCTAGAAACACGACTTGTTCCTAAATTAATTATAATTAATTATAAATTATTTATTTATAATTAATTATAAATTATATAATTATAATTTATAAATTAAAGAATGAAAAGAGCATTATTATATAAAATACAATTATAAGAAACTCTTATTAATTTCTGCAGAGCAGAATATATTATTCCCCCACTGAAAGAGGCAGTATACCTCAAGTATATCATAAAATATATTGGATAAAGAAATTACAAAAACCTATTTTCTAGAAAATATAACACAATTTTTCCCTCATTTTATGGGATAGAGGTAAAGATAGGAATATGAATTTGAGTATATATGGGAGCATTTCATTTCAATGAAAAATGTTTATCTTTGATGTAAGTTCCAGTTGATCTTTGTTTGCCAACTCAAGAAAAAATTTAAAATGTAGATAAAATTTTTAAAATATGATGAAATAAAGGGACAGGGATTAACCAAGAAGTCTAATTGAATTGATCCAACAACCTGAATAGAGTTAGAAAGAAATTATTTTTTCATTCAAGCCCTACTTATAATGAGCACTGTTGAAACATCCTTTCCTTACCATATTCATGTCTCATATATGAATTGAACTGCAAAAATGTCCCCTGCAACAAAGTTTTCACTCTAGTCAGCTATGGGGAAAAGCCAGGTTTTTCCTCATGTCTCTAGATGATTTTAATAAAAACCAAATGAGAAACAATACTACTGAACATCCATTTTTCTCCAGCCATGTCCAGTTTATAGAAAATTCTATATTTTATCAAAAATATTAAAAGAATCTGTGAGTTGGTATTCAACCCCTTTCTTCAGCATTCTGTTATTGACTACTTCCTCTCTCTCCAATCCCATACATTTAATGAAAGGTTTATTTCCTGAGTATGAAAGTCGGATGTCACCTTAAGATGATATGACCTACAAAAAACAATTAATTTTGAACCCAAAATGAAATACACAGTAATGTTTCTGACTGTATCCCTTAGCCTCTCTTTACTTATGTATTAGTCAGGGTATTAATAGTCTATGCTGCGATATCAAATATCTCCAAAATTGTAGTGACTTGACAAAACAAGCATTTATTTCACACGCATAGGACTGTCAAAATGTATTGATGGATGGTTTCTCTCTCCCCAGTCTGGGACCAAGGTTGATGGAGGCTTCGTAATGTTAAAGATGCACATTCTCTAAATATGGTCTTTGTGACCAAGGAAAAGAGAACTGAGTCATCACACCAGTTATTTAGTGTTTTTTTTTGAGACAAGGTCTTACTCTGTCACCAGGCTACAGCCTCAAACTCCCAGATCCCAGTGATCCCCCCACTTCAGCCTCCCAAGTAGCTGGGACCACAGGCGTGTGCCACCACACCCAGCTAATTTTTAATTTTTTTGTCAAGACAGGGTGTCACTATGTTGTCCAGGCTGGCCTTGAATTCCTGGGCTCAAGTGATCCTCTTGCCTTGGCCTCCAAAAGTGCTGGGATTACAGATATGAGCCACTGTGCCCATTCCCAGTTTTTAATATATAAAGAACTAGATATTTGTTTCCTCTGACTGCCAGAACAAATTACCACCAACTTGGTGGCTTAATACAACAGAAAGGTATACTCTCACAGTTTGGATTATTAGAAGTATAAAAGCAAGGTGTTGACAGAATTGGTTCTTTCTGGACGGTTTGATGGGAAATTAGGTCTGTATCTTTCTTTTAGCCTCTTAGCCTCTCATGGTTTGCCAATAATCCTTGGCTTTCTTTACTTGTAACTGAATAACTCCAAAGTCAGCTTCTGTCTTCACATGGCCCTCCACCTCTGTCTGTATCTCAAATCCCTTTCATTATATATATATATATATATATATATGTGTGTGTGTATATATATGTATATATATGTGTGTGTATATATATTTGTATATATTTCTATATAATAGCTTTTTTTCAACTTTTATTTTAAGTTCAGGGGTACATGCGCAGGATGGGCAGGTTTGTTACATCGGTAAATGTGTGCTATGCATTTACTGCACAGATCATCCCAGCTTCCATTAGCTATCGTTCCTATTGATCTCCCTCCTCCAATCACCCCCCTCCAGAGGTGCCCAGTATGTGTTTCCCCCTGCATATGTCGATGTGTTCTCATCCTTCAGCCCTCACTTATAAGTGAGAACATGTGGTATTTGGTTTTCTGTTCACGTGTTAGTTTGCTGAGGATGATGGCTTCCAACTCCATCCATGTCCCTGCAAAAAAAAATGATATTGTTCCTTTTATGGCTGCATAGTATTCCATGGTGTATATGTACCACATTTTCTTTATCCATTCCATCATTGATAGGCATTTATGTTGATTCCATTACTTCACTATTGTAAATAGGGCTGCAATGAACATACATATGCATGTATCTTTATAATACAATGATTTATAGTCATTTGGGTATGTACCCAGTAACGGGATTGCTGGGGCAAACATTTATATTATACATTATATTATGTTATATGTTATATTATATATGACCATATATACACACACATATATATGTACATCATCCAGGATGATCTCATCCTGAAATCCCTAACTTAATTATATCTACATAGGCCTTATTTTAAAATGAGGTCACACTCATAGATACAACAACGAGGACTTGGACATAGCTTCAGGGGACACTATTCAACTTATTACAGTGACACACATAGCTTCCACTTTCAGCCCATCAATCCCAAGTTAACTTCAAAGGAGACAGAAAGTCTCTCCATGTGCCCAACAAAGACAGAAGAATTGAACACAATGAATGCTAGTAATCTCTTCCAAATCTACTAGTGCACAAATGAGAGAGCCTGGGGTGGTATTGGCTCAGTAGTATCTCTAAGTGTCTCAGAAGGGAGAGGTGAAAGATAAGAATCAGGAAAGAGACAAGGTTGGCTATAGTCAAAAGCAGAGTAATCATTACGAGTACCTATTTCATACATTATTGTTAAAATAGAACAGTGCCTTTAATTTTGATATTTATGTTGATATAGTTCTAACAAAGTAGGTAAGAAAAATCAGTCTGGTCAAATATTTTTTCACATTTTCTTATTATTTGCTATAATAGATTGACTTGTGTTCCCTCAATATTCATATGTTGAAGTCTTCACCCTCAATGTCACTATACTTAGAGACAGGCCCTTTTAGGAGGTAATTAAGAATAAACAAGGTTATAAAGGTGGAGATCTAATCTAATAGGACTGGTGTCCTTAAGAAGCAGAAAAGACATGAGAGCAGTCTCCTTCTCTCTGTGCACGTGTGCATGTACACATCATGTGAAGACACAAGAAGAAAATGCCATCTGCAAGCCAGGGAAAGAGGCTTCACCAGAAACCAATTCAGCTGAAACTCTGATCTTGGACTTCCAGTCACCAACATTGTAAAAAAAAAATTTCTATTGCTCAAGTCACTCAGTCTGTGGTATTTTGTTATGGCAGCCCAGGCCAACTAATACAGGTACCCTTATATCACACACTACATCTCCCCATAAAAATTTTAAAATCTAGCTTAGCTGAGGTTCTGTAATAAATCCTACAAGTTCCATATGTCTCAACTTACTCAAATCTTACTCAAAGTGGTTATTTTTGCTTTGGGAAAAAATATGTGTGTATGTATAATGTGTGTGTACACACACACACACACACACACACACACGTATTTTTTCCCAAAGCATATATATTTATAACATTTTCTTTTAACAGGTTACTTTCAAATATCTAATGCTTAAATTTAATTTTTATACATTTTATACATACTTGCAAGTGGGTTTTTGACAAATCTTATTTGCTCAACTTTATTGATGTATGATTGGAGTACAATAAACTGCACTTTAGGTGTGTAGCACTTGGTCAGTATTGGATATAGATACATTATGAAACAATAGCCACAATAAAGAAAACAAGCATTTCCATTATATCTCATAGTTTGTAGCCATTTATAATCCATTTATCCCTATAAACCCATCTGCAGCCAACCACTAATCTGCTTCTTATCACTATAGATTAGTTTGCCTTTATATAAATTTAAGTAAAAAGAATCATACACTATGGATTCTTTGTTGTCTAGCTTCCTTCCCTCAGTATCATACAAAGGCATACAGGAAACAGAAACATATTACTCATTAAAAAAATAAATTTACCAAAATCATTCATGAGAAAGCTCAGATATCAGAATTATCAGAAGACTTTGAAACAACTGTCTTAAATATGCTCGAACAGCTAAAGAGAAACATGGACAATGAATCAAAGAAAATAGGAAAAAGATTTATGAACAAAATGAGACTATCAATGAAAACAAAGAAATTCTTTTTTAAAAATAAGTAAATGGAAATTCTAGAGCTGAATAGTATAATTATTGAAATAAATACTCATTCAGGAGTTAAAAGTTAATTTGATATCATCTCACCGCAGTTAAAATGCTTTTATCCAAAAGACAGGAAATAAGAAATGCTGGCAAAAATGTGGAGAAAAGGGAATGCTTATACACTGTTGGTGGGAATGTAAATTGGTACAATCACTATGTTTTGAGGAACAGTTTGAAGGTTCCTCAAAAAACTAAAAAGAGCTACTGTATGATCCAACAATTCCACCACTGGCTATATATCCCCAAAAAGGAAATCTGTATATCTAAAAGATATATGTAATCCTATATTTGTTGCACCACTATTCACAATTGTCAATACATAGAAGCCACCTAAATGTCCATCAATGAAAATGGATAAAGAAAATGTGACACGTATACACAATGAAATATTATTCAGCCATAAAAGAATGAAATTCTGTCATTTGCAACAACATGGATGGAACTGGAGGATATTAAGTGAAATAAATCAGTCACAGAAAGACAAATGTTACATGTTCTCACTCCTCTGTAGGAGCTAAAAAACAAACTTATGGAGATAGAGAGTAGAATGACAGTTGACAAAGACCGAGAAGGGTAGCAGGGTGGAGCAATAAAGTGGGAATGGTTAATGGGTACAAAAATACCATTAGATAAAATAAATAAGCACCAGTATTCTGTACCACAGTAGAGTATACTTAATAATAATTTATTGTATATTTAGAAGTACCTAAACGATTAGAATTGGAATGTGCCTAACACAAAGAAATAATAAAGATTTCAGGTGATAGAACCCAATTACCCCGATGTCATCATTATACATTGTATGTCTGTATCAAAACATTATATGTACCCAATAAATATATTCCACCATTTTGTTGTACATAATAGTTAACCATAAGTATTTTTTTAAAAATTTGAAAAAACAAAGTTGGCAAAAGAACATAAATTATAAATATTAAAGTGGAGATAAATAAATACTAGAAATATAGAAATGCAATAAAGAGAATCAACGACACCGACTGTTAATTCTTTGAAAACATCAACAAAATTGACACAAACTTTTAGTTAGACTAACAAAGAAAGAGAGAAAATGCAAATAAATACAGTTAGTAATGAAAGCGTAGACTAAGTTTGTACAACCCTCAGCCTGCAGGCCACATGCAGTTCAGGACGGCATTGAATGGGGCCCAACACAAATTCATAAAGGTTCTTAAAACATTATGAGTTTTTTTGTGTTTTTTTTTTTACCTCATTAGCCATTGTTAGTTTTATTGTATTTTATACGTAGCACAAGACAATTCTTCTTCTTTCAATGTGGCACAGGGAAGCCAAAAGATGGGACACCCCTAGTGTAGTAATTACTATAGATCTTACAGAAATAATGGAGATTAAAAGACAATATGAAGAACAATTGTTTACCAATAAATTAGATAAAAAATAAATGACAAATTTCTAGAAACATACAAATCATTTTAACTAACTCAAGAATAGAAAATCTCAGTAGACTTATAACAGTAAAGACATGGAATCACTAATCAAAAACCTCCCAACAAGAGAAGTCCAGGACCAGATGGTATCCCTGGTGAATTCTATCAAACATTTAAAGAGGAATTAACCCAATGCTTGTTAAACATTTTCAAAAAATAGAAGAGTAAACACTTTCAAACTCATTCTACAGACCAACATTTTCTTGATACCAAATCCACATAAAGACATCATAAAAAACAAAAATTATAAACCAATATTTTACACTAATATTGCTTATGAATATAGATGCAAAATTCCTCAAAAATGAAGCCAGTGGCATACCAAAAGGATTAAACATATTGACCAACTTTGGATTTATCACAGAAATGCAAGAGTGGTTCAAATACGAAATTACATCACTAGAAAAAGGGGAAAAAAACCTCATGATCATCTCAATTGATGCAGAGAAAACTTTTGACAAAAATCAAACACAATTTCATGATAAAAAAAATCAGAAAAGTGGGAATAGTCATCTACAGGCTCAACCAAATCCTTACCAAAATTTTGACACCTTTGTTTTGCAGAAAAAGCCAATCTTCAAATTCATGTGTAATTGCAAGAAGCCCCAAATAGCCAAAACAAACTTCTGAAAGAAGAGCAAAGTTGGAGAACTCAAACTTCCTAATTTCAAAACTTACTGCAAACCACACAATCAAAACAGTGTGGTACTCATATAAGAATATCCATATGAGCTAATGTAATAGAATTGGAAGTATAGAAATAAACTCATATCTATACCAATTGATTTTTTATAAGGAATGAAATCCATTTAATGGGAATAGACTCCAACAGATTCTACCAGAATAACTAAGTTTCCACATGCAAAAGAAAGAAGTTGGATCCCTACCTCAAAAATCAACTCAAAATGGATTAACAGCTTAAAAGTAAGAAATAAAATCATATAACTCTTAGAAGAAAACAGTAAGCATGAGTCTTAATTACCCATGACTTGGAAATAGACTCTTAGATATGATATCAAAAGCATGAGCAGCAAAAGAAAAATAGATAAATGAGATCAATTTAATTTAATTTTTAAAATAAAATTTTTTGTGCATCAAAGAATATTATCAAGAAAATGAAAAGACAACCTGCCAAATTGGAAAAATATTTGCTAACCGTATATCTGAGAATGGTCTAGTATCAAGAATATGTGAAGTACTCCTACAGCTCAACAAAAAAGAATCCCGTCAAAAACTGGGCAAATGACCAGAATAGAAATTTCTCCAAAGATATGCAAACGGACACTAAACACTTGAAAAAATGTTCAACATTATCAGACATTCAGGAAATGTAAACAAGTCAAAGTCACATGAAATACCATTCTACACCTGCTAGAATAACTACAATCAAAATATCAGAAAATTGCAAGTATTGGCAAGAATGTGGATACATTGGAACACTTGTACATTGTGGGTTGGAATATAAAATTATTCAAACTGCTGTGGAAAGCAGTTTGGCAGTTTTTTGGAAAGCTAAATATAGAAATACTGTGTGACCCACTAATTCTACTCCTAGGTATATACCCAAAAGAATTAAAAACAGGGACTTAAACATTTGTATGCCAAGGTTCATTGCAGCAGTATTCACAATAGGCCAAAGGTGGAAACAATCTAAGTTTTTTATCAATGGATGAATGAGTCAGCAAAATGTGATGTATACGTACAATGGAATACTATTCAGGTGTAAAAAGTATAGAGTCTGTTACATGTTACAACATGGATGAAACTTGAAAACATCATGCTAAGGGAAATAAATCATATACAATGGGAAAACTATTGTATGATGCTGAATTTTGTAGAGACAGAAAGATAAGAGACTATTGGGACTGAAAAAATGGCAAATAGGGAGTTATTGCTTAATGATTATAGCATTTCCACTTGGAATGATGAAATGCTTTAGAAATAAATAGGCTTTAGAAACAATAGTGGTTTACATGGCAAATATATTTAATGCCACTAAATTCTATACTCAAAAATGGTTAGTATGACAAATTTTACGTTTACCACAATCAAAAATAAGAGTCAATATTTAAAAGGTTAATATTTTATGGTTTCATATACTTATTTCATTTAAACATTATTCTAACAGGCTTAGCATCAGAAATGATATTTTAATTAATAATGTCATTGAAATATATATAACATTACATAACTCCAAAATTATTTTATCTATTTCTTTTTAGTGACAAAGGAACAGTAATTATACATGCATATAACACCTTCCAAGATTTATTATGTAATATAATTTTGCAAAGCACAATAAGGAAAATCACTAGTCAAAGAAACACTTGTATGTTTGACCAGTGCATTCCCAGCTGCTTACCTTTTAACAAATAGGAATAAATAGCAGCGCATGACCTTTATAATGTATTGATTATTTTGGCATGATATTTATACATATATTTTTGTGATTACACTAATATTATTGAATATTTTTATACACAAATGATACCTACCTGTATTCTCACTGTAGAAAATTGGAATATAAGACAAAGCAAATACCATCTCCCTATAACCACACCCTCCTACCCCCAGTGCCATTTCTCAGAGAAAAATCACCATTTTCAGTCATTTTTTACTCTTGGAGACCTCAAAACAGAGGACCATACTGGGTTGGGGTGGGGGGTATCCTTATAATGTTATGTTTACTTGATTAATTTTATGGCATGAAAAAGCAACTGGGGGGACCTATTATATTTTGGAGGCTTGCTAGAGATACTGGACATTTTACACACATTATCTTATTTAACACAGCAAAACTTTAAAGTGTAGATCACTATTCCTATTTAGATGTGAGGAGACTGAGAGAAGATCAAGGGAATTTTCTGTGGCCACACAGCTAGTAAGTAACAGAATCAAACCTTTCTTCCTGTCAAAGTGCCTCCGTGATAATCTGAAGGGCACGCTCGATAGGGCAGCTCATTACTAAAAGCCTATGCTGCCATATTAAGAACAAAACAGAATGAAAGGTGAGAAGAACAAAGAATGTTTGTTTTTTCCACTCCTAATAGCTCTACAACTAGAAATGGTTCTGAAGTTTGATTTTTTTTTTCTTTCTGCAGACAGATATTTGTAGCATTGTTTTCTGCAACATTGACAGTGGTGAGTGTGTAGTGGACGTGTTCTATAAATCTTGTTTCTTCATCAATGTACAGTGATGAAATCAGATAGAAAGGATAGAGAGGAATAGGATAAATCAGTTCTAGATATTTTATAATCTCCAATAGACAAAAGAAAATGCAGAGTTACTTTCCATTTGACCAGAGGTAGCTAAGAAATTTAATCATGCACTTTTAACAGAGAAGATGGTATCTTCACTAGTCAATGAGAAAATACAAAAGGCTTAAGCCAAATTGATTACATCCTGATTCCCCAGATCTACACCACTTCGTGCATGACAGAAGCTTCTGACCTTCTATTTGCATGCTGGAAACAGTGATCCAGGGCAGTCAGAGTAGCCTGACTTTAGCATCAAATGGAAGCAAGTCTGCCTTTTGATTTTTTTTTTTTTTTTTTGAGAAAGTCGCTAACTGGACTAGCAGAGCAATGTCTTTTTGGTCTTCAAAAATCTGATTCATCTCCAGAAGAGTAATATTGAATTTCCTGATTAGAAAAATTATTTCACTAAGACTTGAAGCAACAGTATTCTCTCTTTTAACAGTGCCCCTAAACAGGTACAGTTTCCCTCTGGGCTCCGCTGAGCTCCTGTACGTGCTTCACTGTTCAAGAGACTTTTAGTAGATGGTCTTAGAATGACTGGGCGAATGTAGCTTACACTGTGGCAAATGATCGGAGCACACTGCGCACTTCTAGAAAGACCATGCTAGGGAGATACAGTTATTCTATTAACCACAGTGAATTCATTTTAATTTCAGATTAAACCTCACATTTGAGGTTAGCAGGGTCAGAGTTCCCTTGTATGTATGGTGATCAATTAACTTTTTTTTAAAAAAGAGGGTCCAATTTACTAAGAAGAAAACAAACTTTCAACCTGGAGTATTTCCTAAAGAGCAAATATTCACTAGAACTATAGGCAGTTCCCTGTTTGCTTTGTTTTGCTTTTGTTTTCGTAGGCATGCTGTCATTTTCAAAAGCTTAAAGACAGAGGCACCCCAAACTCTTTATTCCCACAATAGAATTTCGAACTGAGCTGGCCTCCAAGCCTCTGAGATGTCAGATGTCACATGCTGAAAGAGAACCAAACTTTTTTTAAAAATCTTTTTGTTAAGGGGAAACTGTACATTTATTCTGCGTATCTGATACTACGCTACTAATGCGATAGGATATGCCCATTGGTTACTTTATTATTATTAATTAGTTGCAGGAACATTTCTTTAAAAAAAAAAGAAAAGCTTATATTTTCTTTTATTACATATAGACAAGAATATTAGATTCCCATTTTGGCTCTAAATAGCCAGGAATCACACAGGTAAATTGAATACTTAATTGTGGATACTATATTAGCTTATATTATTTTATTTACTCTAGTTTTTATATTTCACTAATTTCCTCATTTCTACCTGAATAGCATTATTGTATTTATATTATGTTATTGCATTTTCTATTATGTCACTTTAAAGATATTTTTAAATAGTTGGATTACAAGTAATAAATATAGTAAATATCTTCATATGTTGTAATTTCTACAAGGAAAATTATTAGCAGCATTTAATAATCTGCATACATTAGAAATTTTACAAGAATTAGTGGATCATAAAATAGAAACTTTACAAGAATTAGCAGATCATTAAGAATATATCAAATACTAATTGCCACTTTGAACAGCATAGCCAAGAGTGTCTATATCTGACTTAGAATAAGACATATTTAGAAACATCATTACTTTCTTGCCCTGTGATGGGCCACCTTTCCGTTTTCTATATTGGTTCAAACCAAAGAACAAAAAATAGTCAGTGCCAGACCAAAGAGTAAAACTTTGAGTATTCTGGGAAATAATGTTTATTAACAGGAAGAGTTTGTCTTAATGAAAGGCAATTATCATGAAATAAATGATAGCAATAAAAAAAAGGGATGATGTAATTTGGTGTAATAAAGAATCCGGTACCCCAATCCTTTAGCTGTTATTTGAAAACTCAATTCAAAAAAAATTAAAACAAAAACAGTACCATAAAGATATTTCTTTATACAGATTCATAATGTTATAACACTCAAATGATTATTCTAGAATACATTAAAAAGAAGGTTATTTTCCCTATTATTAAGGGCTCCTTTTTAATAGAGTTATTTATTGTATTTTCCTGAAGAAATTATGTCTGTCTGTCTTCTCTTCTATTCCCAGTTGTTTTGAGTAAAGGGAGCAAGGAAGGAAAAAAAAAGCAGACCTCTGGCTTCTAGTCTTAGTGCAAATCCAGAAATCCTCTTTTTTGCTTTAATGCAAGCTACACACAATGACAAGAAAGCCCCCATTCACTTCACCCCTCATTCATTGTTTCTTCCTCTAGTAGCAGACACTCATCAACCATTCACAGTCTCATTACATGCAAAGTCCAGGCTGACTACTGCTTCTAGCATAAGGAAGAAGAGCACATTTGAAAAAGCTTTCGATGACAAGGCTTTATTTCCTCGCAAAACTTTTTAAAGAGCAATCTGGGCCTCTGATGGTAATGTCTTGCCTAGCAATTAGTGGCAGAGGTGCTGCAGCTTAAAAGGCTTTTAAATTATCTTATGAATGGTCTCCTACAATGGGCTTTCATTACGCGGGGGGAAGTCCAGTACTCCACCCATTTTGGGGGCACAACTTGTAAGCCCTTCTTAAGGAGTCACTCACAAAGATTGACAGCTTGAAATTTGCTAGACACAAAGTTTTCAGTATAGCATGGCTGCAAAATGATACCCAATTTAATATGGAAATTGCCTTTTTTCTTTGAGTGGACTAACGAGCAAACTTCAAAAGTTCCTTAGATTTGATTCATGTTTATCTGAAGTATATCCAAGGGCATCTGTGAGACTTTGAACAGAAAAAAGAAAAAAAAAAAGCAGGATCTTTTTCTTCAGTAATAGGCCCAAAGTGCTGGGAATGCATCCCTGGCAATGAGGCAGCTAGAACAGAGATTTGTCTCAACTTTGAGCTGCCCCAGCACACAAATAAAAGAGGACAGGTTATCTCAGATACCACTAAGAAGAGAAGCAGCTAAAAATGACCAAGTAGTTCTCATGCAAATTCAGTTCTTTTTATGGATTGTCAGAGATTCTCAGTTATACTGGAGAAGGTAACCCAACTGCAACAATATTGATTAAAAATCAGTTCAACCTCAGGAGCTGGAAAGGGCAACAGGGTTGGATCACAGACTTGAATCATGGCTCTTTGCATCTCTTCTTTTCTCCATTGGTGTTTTCTTTTTGCTACAGAGTAGAATAAGTGAACAAATGTTCTGAGTACAACCATGCATCTCTTAATGGCAAGGATACACTCTGAGAAATGCATTGTAAGGTGATTTAATGTTTGTGGAAACTTCATAGAGTATACTTACACAAACCTAGATGGTATTAGCCCACTAACCACCTAGGGTCTATGGTATAGCCTATTGCTCCTAGGCTACAAACCTGTTCCGCATGTTACCTTACCGCACTGAATACTGTAGGCAATTGTAATACAGTGGAAAATATGTGAGTATCTAAACATTTACAAAGTGAGACAGGAGAGTTCTCCCTTGACCCCTTCTCGGGACTTGCCACAGGGGTATGGCTCATTTTCTTATGCTCCTACTCCTTGCGAGAGGGGTAGCATGAAAGTGAGCGGGTGCACGAGCCAGGGCAAGTGCTTTTGGGCGCTGGCAAGAAAGAACCCTGTAACACCCCAGCATCATCTACTGCCCCAGCAGCATCTAGGGGTTGCCCATGACCTCTGGAGCCCCAGAGGGCATGTGTTACAAACAATGCTCTTTTAGCTTTGCTGTCCATGGAAGGCTTAAGTGTTAAACAGCTCAGTGAAGAGTGACTGTGACAGCCTTTTAGGGTTCCCACACCAGTGCATCCCGAATTCTTGTCCAGCGTCTAGGAAGAATCAGGTTACATGAATGCATTGAAGGGTGGTGTATGCAGAGGATTTTACTGAGTGATGGAAGTGGCTCTCAATAGGATGGGGAGCTGGAAAGAGGATGGAGTGGGACAGTGGGACCTCTCCTACTGTCCCTGGCCAAACTCCTGTCTGACCACAGTTTGATGTCCAGCTGACTCTTTTCCTCTCAACATTCAGATGCTTCTTTTATTCTCTCCTTCTCTGCTATGCTGCCCTGCTCTTCTGTCAATGGAGCTTAGGTTTTTTTATGGGTACAAGGTGGGGGGTGTGGAGGGCCAGGGTAATGTTGGAAAAGGCAACATTTAGGTGGGAAAACAGGAATGCATGTCAGGTTTTCTATAGGTACAAGATGGGAGTGTGGAGGGCCAGGGTAATGTTGGAAAAGGCAACATTTAGGTGGGAAAACAGGAATGCATGTCAGGTTTTCTATAGGTACAAGATGGGAGTGTGGAGGGCCAGGGTGGTGTTGGAAAAGGCAACCATTTAGGTGGGAAAATAGAAATGCATGTTCTCATTTAGGGCTGCGGGTCCAGGCTTGAGGGTGGAGCCCTCGCCAGGGACCCCACCCTCTTCTACCCCGTATTTTCTTGCCTCCTGTCTGTATCATTAAAGTACAGTTTATAATCTTATGAGACCGCTGTTGTATTTATGTTTCATCTTAACTGAAACAGCCTTATGCAGTACATGACTGTAACTGGAAGCATTAGATGGCTTTGCCATCTAAATGCAACACCCTTAGTTCTTTTTTGTTAATGACTGGGAACTTGGTTGCAAAAAGAAATACAACACGCCCAGACTGATGCAGACTCCTCAGCTGAGTAATAGTGAGAAGAAATGTTAAAAAACTAAAGGCTCCAGACTGTCGGGACCAAAGTGGTTTTGTTTTGCTTTTCAGGGGAATCAATCACGGAATCCAACGTCTTCATCAGGCAACAGAATCTCACCCAAATGGTCATCATTTTCCTTCAATGAGAAAACCTTCTAAAGTTCTGAGTAATGCAATGCCATCTCTCTCTATACTATCAGGCTTCCAAGCTGGGGCATCCTTTCCCCTCCTGATTGGTTTATTTCATGAGGGGTTTTCCAGGCAAAACTGATTTTTCTATACCTGCCTGCAAATTTCTGAGTCTTAATTGCTTTGTTAACTTTATGCTTAAGCCCCAGTGAACATTCTTCATTAATATTTCAGGAAATAATATTTTTCTTGTGAGTGAGAGTGAATTAGAGGTCAGAAATACTTAAGTTTTTTTTCTCAGATTCATTACTGATTTATTTGGTAATTTGTTGTGTTCTAGAACCCTCTATATTTTAGTTTTCACTTACGATTAGATAAACATTATGATTATTTTATTTTTTAATAATATAATTTTGATAAAGGGTTTTATTGTACAGCTGGGAAAACATTAAAAAGAAATGAAATATAGCATCTTATTTTTCAAAACAAAGGATAATAAATCTTATCATGTGAATTCTACCAGTTTTCCTTTTCTAATATCTTTTGAATACATGCATATTCACCACCTGCCCTCCTCTCATTGTCTTTTAACAACTGTATGAGTAAAATAGTAACAAATCTTTGTAATTTGAATAGAAATGTTGGAAAGTCAGTCATTTTTGTCATACCCAGAAAAATTTTTCTTAATTGCTGATCTTCTAGATGGCTTTGATACCAAAGCACTAAAAATTGACACGCCTGTTGTCCTTGAAGTGGTACAAGTCAGAGACAGAAAGGACTCAGTCAATGCCCCAGAAGCCTCAGACACTAAAGACACAACCCGCCAGAGTAAAATTATGCCTGAGAAGGGATGATGACAGCACAGCAACCAGGGATACTTTCAAATTTCCACGAACTTTTTTTCTATTTTCTTTTTCTATTAGTGGAAATAAAACATTATGTATGACTTATGACTGTTACTCACAAATAGTGTTGGCAATTCCAAATTCTATTCCTGACTGAAGGAAAGTAGATTATTAAGCACTGGGTTAGAAGTCGATAGCACTGGTTTCTGGTCCTTAGACAGACACAAATTACTTATGTGGACTTAGGGAAGTCACTTGAATTTCTCTTGCTTCAGTTCCATGATTTGTAAACCTGACACATGGTTTACTACACTCTACTCTCAAGCCTTGTTAGGAAAATTTATTTCTAAACTACTTTAAAAATATAATATATGAACTTTCATTATGTATGTGTGCGCAACTGAACACACACACGGTAGAAAACAAAAAAAAATCTGATTTTACAAAGTCAAAACTAAATAAACTGTTATATTATTGGCACTGCTATTGTCAAGATTAAGCAATGGTTAATTTAAGTAAGATGTTATACCTTGATTATATATATATTCAAACACATAAAATACGGACTGAAACTGGGTTGCTATTTTTATTTTTTTATTTTTTATGTTTTAATTTAATTTAATTTAATTTTAAGTTCGGGGATACACGTGCAAGACGTGCAGGTTTGTTACTTAGATAAATGTGTGCCATGGTGGTTTGCTGCACCTATTAACCCATCACTGAGGTATTAAGTCCTGCACACATTAGCTATTTATCCTGATGCTCTCCCTTGACCCCCCGCCTCAACAGGCCCCAGTGTGTTGTTCCCCTCCCTGTGACCATGTGTTATTGTTCAGCTCCCACTTATGAATGAGAATATGTGGTGTTTGGTTTTCTGTTCCTGCATTAGTTTGCTGAGGATAATCACTTCCAGCTCCACCCATGTCCTTGCAAAGGACATGATCTTGTTCCTTTTTATGGCTGCATAGTATTCCATGGTGTATATGTACCATTTTCTTTATCCAGTCTGTCATTGATGGGCATTTGGGTTGATTTCATGTCTTTGCTATTGTGAATAGTGCTGCAATGAACATACGTGTGCACATATCTTTACAATAGAATGATTTATATTCCTTTGGGTATATACCCAGTAATGGGATTGTTGGTTTTAATGGGTATTTCTGGTTCTAGGTCTTTGAGGAATTGCCACACTGTCTCCCACTATGATTGAACTGATTTACATTCTCACCAATAGTATAAAAGCATTCCTATTTCTAAACAGATTCGCCAGCATCTGTTATTTCTTGACTTTTTAATAATCGCCATTCTGACTGGCATGAGATGGTATCTCATTGTGGTTTTGATTTGCACTCTTCTAATGATCAGTGATGTTGAGGGTTTTTTTTTTTTCATGTTTTTTGGCCACATAAATATCTTCTTTTGAGAAGTGTCTGTTCATGTCCTTTGCCCACTGTTTAATGTGCTTTTATTTTCTTGTAAATTTGTTTAAGTTCCTTGTAGATCTGGATATTAGACCTTTGTCGGGGATTCTTGTGAAAATTCAATAACATTCCTTTTGATTATTTAAGGCCACTAATTCTCTACAGGAAAAGTTGCATGCTGAAATTATAGCATTGAAATAGAACCACTAATATGATAAATTTCCAGAATATAATTTTACTTCCTCAGATTAGATAACTGCCAAAGTTGATCTTACCTACTAGGGAAGTTTGCCCACAGTAAGTAATCTGACTGTGCTATTGACATTCTGCCCTTACTGAGTTCCTTTTATTTCTTTATAAAGATGAGCATTCACTAGGAAATAAGTGGCAGTCTTAAGATAATTTCAGCCGAGTCTTTTATCAATTATTCACAATGTTAGGGACTACATGAGTGTATTAGTCTGTTCTCCAGCTGCTATAAAGACATACCTGAGACTAGGTAATTTATAAAGGCAAGAAGTTTAATGGGCTCACACTTCCACATGGTTGGGGAAGCCTTGAAATCATGGGGGAAGGCGAATAAGGAGCAAAGTCACATCTTACAGGGCAGCAGGCAAGACAGCTTGTGTAGGGGAACTCCCAATTATAAAACCATCAGATCTCGAGACCTATTCACTATCACGAGAACAGCATGGGAAAGACCCGCCTCCATGATTCAGTTACTTTCTACTGGGTCCCTCCTGTGACACATGGGAATTATGAGAGCTACAATTCAAGATGAGATTTGGGTGGGGACTCAGCCAAACCATATCAATGGGACTATTATAGATTATGGGATTAATTTAACATAGGTATGTAGAAAGGGTGCCAAAGTATAACAACATAATAAAAGGAATACAGTTTATAAAATACAAGTGTTTCTCATTCACATACTTGCTTACATCTCATAAAATGTTGTGGCCTACCTTGAATTTGTCCTTTCAGATAAAAGGACAGCTTTTCTTCAGCTTGTATGTTCTTGAGGATGTCACATAGCAATCTTCAAGAACAGTTGTTTTTTGACAGGTGCCGCTTGGAAAGGTGCTCACTCATCATGGCAGGAGAAATCATGAAGCAAAATGACAGCAAAGGTAATGCCTATGGAGAGCACTTTATAATCATTACACAATTTCCTCAGGGATAAGAGAGGACAATGAACACTGGACACAAATAACCAAGAGGAGCAAAGAAATTATCAGCTCAAGAAATAGAAATCTGAACAATCCTATGTTGGGTTTTACAATTACTGCTTTACCTCCACATAAATGCATTAAGGAAAATGCTACTAGAATTTTTGGATACATTCTACTTGAGATTAAATTTGTTTCTGAGAAGCATAAATGAATAATACTGCTTCTTGTGCATCTCCAACTTGGTCCTTACATTCTTTAACAAGCTGTCTCCTTGCCAGAGATGCTGTCCTGCCTGGGGAGACATCTAGCAGTAATCCACTTCTCCAAGTGAAAACTCACAAAGTATTTAGGAATCTAGTACATACTCAGTTCCACACCGCTGAAAGACACAAGTGTGGTTTCTGAGAGGCAGAGTATTTCTTGCTAGAGACAATGGATTTGCTTCAAAAGTAACAATACAATATAGACGTTTTCAGCGGACCACCTCTGATTTGTGACTATCATAGAAACTTTACCAAGATGTTTGTCATCTGAACACCAATAAGATTAACCATTGTAATAGCTCCTAAGATTTCTATCATGAATTTGACTGCACATATGTATTGTTCATCCCTAAATCCTGGACTAGCAAAGCGCGGCACCACCTCACTGTTTGGCACATGAATTAACCTAAACCTACCATATTCTGAACCAAAGGTTTAGATGTGTAAACCTAAACCCTAAATCTAGACCACAGATCAGAAAGTTACAGCCTACAGTACAAACCTGGCCTACTGCTAGTTTTTGTAAGTAAAGTGCCATGGAAACAGAATCTTGTCCAGTCATTTATATGATATCTCTTGATGTTTCTGAGCTACCACAGCAGAGGTGAGTAGTTAGGATAGCCTACAAAGCCTAAAATAATTCTTGTTGGGTACTTTACCTAAAAAGTTTGCTAACTCTCCAAATGCTCAGGGAAAACTTAGATATCTGAGCATGAGAGGGAACAACTGAATATGTTAATAGAATGAGAAAACCTTATCAAATTCCTAAATATTAGCAAAAAGAACAGTATTGCCACATGAGATTACCCTGAGAAGTATCTTTCTAAACAACTCTGAGCTTTAAGTCAATTTTTATATTGTATTTTCTCATTTCCCTACTATTTATTTAGAAACTACTATAGGCTGGTTCTGTAACTACAGAGATGACAACATATAGATCCTCAATGGCCTCAGGGGATAATGGTAACACAGATATATGAGTAAATACCTACAATGCAGTAGTGCAGTTTTCTAGCTACTGGAATGTATAAAGGGGAAAGTGCTGAATTACCATGGCAGAGAGAGCTGTGAATGAGAGAGAACTGTTCACATGGAATACACTAGACAACCTCAGATTTGCAAAACAGTAATGGTGTGAATGAAGTGATGGGTGATTCCTGGCAGAGGGAATAGCATAAGGAAAGAACATGCTGTGGTTCGGGAAAACAAAATAATTGGGGAGTATATTAGGCCATTCTTAGAATGCTATAAAGAAATACATGAGGCTTGGTAATTTATTTTACAAAGAGGTTTAATTGGCTCTCAGTTCTGCAGGCTGTACAAGCATGGTGCCGACATCTGATCAGCTTCCGAGGAGACTTCGGGGAGCTTTTACACATGGCAGAAGTGAAAGTGGAAGCAGACAGGTCATATCGTAAAAGCAGGAGCAAGAAAGAATTGGGGGAGAGGTGCCACATACGTTTAAATGACCAGATCTCACGAGAACTCACTCACTGTTGTGATGACAGCACCAGACCTTGAGGGATCCACCCCCATGACACAAACACCTCCACCAGGCCCCACCTCCAACAATGGAGATTATAATTCAACATGAGATTTCAGTGGGGACAAAATTCCCAACTACATCAGAGAGTAAGAGAGAGTAAAGAGAATGGCAAAAGTTGCTACTGGAGAAGAATAGCGGTATCAAACCAAAAAACATCTTACCTTATATGCTGAGAGGTTTGGACTGTATTCTAGAGCAATATTTCTAAACCTTCCATTGTATCATTAAAGTTATGTTTTTTTTAAAGGAAAGTGCTGTCATAATGCCATCTACATGGCAGAAAAATATTCTAGGGGCTGTTTGGAAAATGTAAATGGGAGATAAACACTTGAAGACAGGAGACCAGCTAGATAGTTTCTGGAAGAGCTAAAGGAAACAATAACAAGTCTCTGAATTATGGCAATATCCTTAGGGGAAGAAGCCATAGGTTTGAGAGATATTTCTTAGGCAAAACCAACACAGCCTATTAGACAAGATAGAGAAAGTGAGGTAGAGAAAGAGTCAACTGAAAATGATCTAAAGAAGAGCAACAGGTTATCAAGGATTCTTTTGTCCAAATAACCTTGTGTCCAGGAGTGTAAAATGCTGAGGGAATACGACCCTGATTAAACAGTTTTCACTAGAGGCAAATAGAAGCAAAGCCATTGTAATGGACCATCCAATGGACACAACAGGGAGGAAAGCTGAGATCCCAACATGGCAGCACAGGAGCCTGCAGGGACTTTGAAATGAAGGAGACAGATTTCAAAAAGAGGGCTGTGAATGGCATCAGAGAAATCCTTCTCCTAGTTTACCTAAAGTCAGGTTTCAGCATAGTTGAAGAATTCAGAAGAGGTAGAGCAGTAAACACTCCCTAAACTTTGTCCAATAACATATAGGTTACTCAAAAACAGTTTTCCAAGTGAAAAAAAAAATAGTGATGGTAAACACTAACAATTGGTACTTAATATGTGATCTTTTAATGTCAAACCATCAATGGTGGTAAAATTTTTAAATCGTTTACTTAAAAACTTTCCCTGAGGTGAAAAGCAATATTTAGTCACTTGATTAAATATGTCAACTACATAAATGTATTAAAAAATAAAGAGCAGCCAGTAACAACTGCTATTATTTTGTTATATTCCTTTTTATGCATAAACTAGTTTTTATCTAATGTTTTACTTTCCCATATTATAAAATACAGTTTTCCCATATCCTCCAGTTTAACATTCTTTTCCTTATCTTTCAAACTAAAATTGGCTCAAACATCAACTTACTTACAGTAGGAAATCTAATGAATGCTCCGTATACTTCTGGAAAATCTTTAAGAGTTTATCTTTTTCCAGAACAAACAGTTGCTGCTTCCAGTGAGTTACTGATGCCTTCTCTGAATTTTGCCACTCTTGGGCACATGGTTTATTCCATACTATCCTGCTCTAAACAGCAGCTGATAAATTTATTTACCAATTTACCAGCTCAAGACTGTGTGACTATATACTTTACTGAAGATCTAATACAATAGAAGGCAATTATATTGTTGGTCAGTACAATTAAAGATGTAAAATTGAATATTAGATGTTCCCCCTTCTTAAAGCCCTCTCAACCATCAAGGTATTTTATTAATCCAAAACCACTCTCTTCCTTGGAGGAATTCTACTGCCTGTCCTTAAAATAATATTTTTACTACCAATATAAGGATAAATAAATCCTATTTTCATAGCTGAAGAACATTTACACCATAGCATCAGAAAGAGATAAAGGAAAAGTGTAACCATAAGCCAGCAAGTCCAGTAATTGACATTTTCATGAGTGTTTTGGAAGTACCATAGAAAGACATTTAGCTCAGCCCAGGTGAGAAGGAGGATCACTAGCTGATCACCCCAAAGTTGAGTTTGATTAAATAAATAGGATTTATTTATCCAGAGAAGTGAAGAGGAGGTAAGAGGACTAGTAAGGCAGAAAGATCAGGGTAAGCAAAGACTCAAGAGCAACAGACAGCTTGATGTTTCCACGGAGCTAAAATCAGCTAGGTCACACTAGCATGGAGAGGTCTGGGAGAGGAAGAAAGTGGAGAGGTCACAGAAAGTCTACCATGTCATGTGAGGGTGTCTACGCCATTTGCTGAGAATGGGCAACCATTGAAAAGTTTTGAGAGAAAGCAACATGCTTGCACTCTAGCTGCCTCAACCTCATGGTGTATGGATTTGAGGAAGGCAGGACTGGAGGCAGATTTTGAAAGTGAAAGCAAGAGCTATTTCAGATGAGGGACACTCCTGAACTGGAGCAGCAGTGACATAAATAGAGAGAAGTCAAATTTAAAATAGCTGGGGATGTACAACTGACAATGCTTCGTGCATGAATGGGTATTCAGAAAAAAATTCCTCTAAGACAACTGATGGATGGGAGGAATAAATTTGACAACATAGTAGATGAATTTTCTTTCTTGGTCAGTAGCCTGCAAAACTGCCATGGAACAGACTTTTTTTTGCTTCCGTCTAGGAGACTGAGATCAATTTTATTTATTTATAATCCCCACAGGGCATTATGACATCCTTTTCAACCATTCTAAAAGTCATTTCTCACTTAGCGTTAGATTAAAAAAAAAGAAGAAGAACTTTTAGAAGTTGATATGAGCGGGGTAACCATGGATAGGGTATACGCTTTTCCTTGGACTTTCATTCTTAATCCTGACTATTCCTGTGATAGCACAAGGCATTCATGCTGCCAGGCATCCCAGGGATGACCCAACATAGTTAAAATACTTTTATTCTCTCCTGGCTTTTATCACCTCTAATGGGACCCTAACTTACATATTCTCTTTCATTCTTCATTATTTTTTCCAGGAGAAGATACGCCTGAAGCACTTTCTGTGCTCATACAATCTCTTCTTTCAACTTTATATCTCTCTGAGAAAGAACTTTTATAAACTAGGTTATGTAAGAATATCTCAGATGTAAATGCCGATAGAAAAGAGAGGTACAGCAACCTGGGAAAACAACCTTTAAAAATACCCACTGTAGCTTCTTTGTAAGCATGAAGCTGGTATCAGATTCCAGTGTAATTACTCAGCAAATGCCCTTTTGAGAAATGGAACTCCTCAAAACTTACCATCACATAAAAGAAAACTCAAAGTGAATAATACCCAGAAAAATGCAAATTAAGACAATAAGACATGACTGGCAAACGTTAGAAAAATAGAAAAAGTCAAATGTAGATGGGAATTTGCAGCTCTAGGAGGCATCTGCTCTGCTGGAAGTGTCAGCTAGGCAGCCATACTGGAATACAAGCTGGTATATGGACTTAGTAAATACACACTGACCCTATGACTCGGCTTGCATAAAATGTGTGCATATCCCCAACTCATACCACAGGCCACTCAGCTCTATATGAAGCACTGCTTGTGCCGGTAGGGAATCTAGAGGAACCTGGATGTGTAAAACTGTCAGTGGATCAGTAAAATGTGGAATGCAATTAGAAAAAGAAACATAGATGCACACGTTATTCAGATGAATATTGAGAACAGTATTTTCGTGAAAAATGTAGGTCAGAAAAGATGTATATCAACAATATTATTTACATAAACTAAAATACATTGCACATAAAGCAATGTATGTTTTGCAAGAACATATGTAATAAAGACAAATTAAACACACTAAGTACTTAGCTATGCAGAAGAAGTTGTAAAATTTGAATTGGGCCAGGAAATAAAGGAAAATAAACACTTTTATGTCTAAACGGTCATTTTTCTGATCTTTTGCATTTTTCTATCTTTGATTCCTGATTTCCCTTCACTTTTCTTTTTCTGTCTCTATTCTACCAACAGTTTCTTTCAAATTGAAAAATAAAACTTTGAAGAAAACATGTGCTCAAAATGTGGAAATAGGCCGGGTCCAGTGGGACACACCTGTAATCCCAGCACTGTCGGGGGCCAAGGCAGGCAGATCACTTGAGGTCAGGAGTTTGAGACCAGCCTGGCCAACATAGTGAAACCCCGTCTCTACTAAAAATACAAAAATTAGCTGGGCGTGGTGATGCACACCTATAATCCCAGCCACTTGGGAGGCTGAGGCAGGAGAATCAACCGAACCTGGGAGGCAGAGGTTGTAGTGAGCCGAGATCGAGCCACTGCACTCTAGCCTGGGCGACAGGGAAAGACTTGGTCTCGAACAAACAAAAAACCCCACAAAATGTGGAAGATAAGAAATAAGCTGGAATTCACAGAGTGTGGTCAGGATATATATGCTATAGCAATTGCAGAATGATGTTTGTTTTTTGTTTTAATGCTGCAAGTTTTTTCATCAACAATAAGGAAGTAGATATGCATTAGTCATTCAATTTTCAATGTTATGTGCACTAGTGCTACTTTCAAAACCATTTTGACCATAAAACCACCCAAGGTACTTGTCAAATGGAGAGTCCAAACACCCCTCCCAGTACCCTGATTATTCAGATCAAAAGGTGAAGAGTATGGCCAGAAATCTGTACTTTTAATAAATACCCTAGGCAATCATATGAGCAGGCAAATTGGTAAACACTGGCCAGGCCTATCCAAAATGTTCTTTTCCTTCCTAGGAGGAAGTATCCATTGGCTGCTTTATTGTGAACATAATAATGAAAATGAGAGCTACTGCTTATTGGATGCTGGTTATGTAACAGAGCACTCATTTTCTCATTGGTACATCCCAACAACTCTATGGAACAGGTAATTCCATCATTCACATCTTAAAAATGAGACTGCGTAGCTTACATGAATAAATATAATTTGGCCAATAACAAACTAATTAGTGGTAGAAATGGTCTTGAAGCTGAGTTTACCAGATGCCTAAGTGTATACTCTTAACCATGACAGCATATGATTATTTATTTTACAAGTGTATGGATGATTATAAGGTATGTATGAGGTAGTTTTTTGTTTATTTTTCTATGTATTACTAGTAAGCATTTGACAGAATAAGTATCTAGTAAGCATCTAGTTTTCATCAAAAGGCAGTTAACTTGAGACCCACTCACAAAGCATAACCCACACACAGTTTCAACTGCTTTGCCTGTGTTTGGTTACCACCTAAGCAAGGATGCATGTGATGTATCAGGGATTGCCCAGTTATCCTAGTAGTTCTCTCAAAGCCTTCTCTTTGCTCTGAGCTGTAATTATCTCTCAAAGCTAGTATTCAAAGTTGGTGGAGAAAGTGTCCTCTAGGAGCAAAAGGAGTATCATTGCTATAAGGCCACACGTAGACATTGCTGAGTGAAGATCTTGATAAAAACAAGGATTCTGTATTCCTAAGCAATTCTCTTGAGATTTCTGTACTTAGATCTTCTACAAAATTCCTTCAAAGATTCGAGCCAGTTATTAATGTGCTATTCTACATGCTGAAGAGAAGTTAGCTCAACTGATTGTACACAAACAGGAAATAAACAGCATTTAAAACTGTTATATTTTAACAAGTATTGCTGTGCAGAAAAAAAAAAAAGAGAGAGAGAGAGAGAGACAGTATCCTTATGGATTTTTTTCCTTTTTTTTTTTTTTTAATTTCAAGCAAAAAGATATTACATATAATACAATTTCTTTGTTTTGATTCACAGGTTATAAGCCATAAAATATGACTCAGAGAAAGTTGTTTGGAAATATTAGTAAAAGAAAAAATGAATACTATAGCACTCTAAGTGCAATTCAGAATTAAAGGACAGTATAGAAGACTACATCTAGGTTATAAATCAGCACTGTCAACAGCTTTTAAAAAAGATAATATTAACTTCCACATAGTTTTTTTGGCTTAAACATGCAGAAAACTCCTATTTTCATCCATGTCTTTGCCAATTGAAATGAACGAAAGAATATGAAGATAAGAAACCCTTCATGGACTCACTCAGGGAACTAAGAAGAAAGTCTGATCAATTAATATGAGATGTAATAGAGATAGAAACAAATTAAAAGTCTGACACTTATTCAAACACTTCTTTCTGAGAAAAGCACATGGTTGACATGGTGAGGGAAGGGTATGCCAGCACCCCTGTTTCACATCCCTGTATGGAAAAGTTATTTATCAACTTTCACCCATTTTCTTTACTATCAAATGATGGCCACCGAATCGATTCATTATTTCTTTAACATTGCAAACTGGTGATTTCTCATCCTATCATGCTTTCTATTATTTGCTAGGACTTTTCTGTATAGAACTTTCCCTTACCCATACTGGGTGTCATTTACCCTGAAATATATTTTACACGAGAAAGACAGGATCAGTGCTTATGGATTTCACTCTTACATTCAATATTCTGAGTAACAAGTTGATGCAAGCTCCAAAATATTCAGTGAGTGTTGTTTTTTGTGTCTATTTCCTTTTCATGATGTTTTAATATAAAATAGGTTTTAGTCAATTGAAGTAACTTTGAACCTCAGGTGGTCCCACCATAGGCCAGTGGGAACCCCTGAGAGCAGGTTCCAGTGTCCTTTTGGTGCAAGACCAACAGTGTCAGATCACTTATTTGCTTTCAAGCACAACAACCTGTCCCAGGATCAGTTTGTATATTTCCTATTTCAAACCCGATATAATGTGGATCCAGATTTTTCAGAAGCAGATTACACAGTTTGAAGGTCCTCATTAAGAAAAAAAGTGCAAAGCTGTGAATATAAAATAAGATACAAAAGTAAATATTTATATAGAATGGCAAAATAAATAACAACAAACAAACTATAACGTTTTAAAGTACACATCCTACAAATATCACAAAATCCAGTAAAAAGACATAATATTCTTACTAACTGTTGAAATATCTTTGTAACACTTTTTCTTACATTTTTGCCTGAATTCTCTTCATATGACAATAACTTTATAATATCTTCTAAGCAGAGAGTAGAAAGGTAAATCCTTCTTTCCTCTATAATGCTTCAATAAAAAGTGATTATTATTATGTTGGTGCAAAAGTTACTGTGGTTTTTGCCATTAAAGGTAATAATATTAAGTATTGGGAGAAACTATCAAGTTTCTTGCAGACTTACACTTTAATATTTGGAGGTATTTCCATAGTTAGCTTCTGGCTCTGTTTATCTGAAGCTTTTTTCTGCTTCACTATTCTCACACTGTTATGGGCAATAGAACATGTTCATATCCTCATATGACCTCAGCCTTGCCCCTCCTTCTTAGGATATTATATTGATTCCTGTAGAGGGGCGCATTCTATATCAGAACAGTTAACAGTAACATCAAGAGACCATTAACTACATAAGAATATATCCCTCCTCAAATTTTCCTTAGCATGATCTCTAAAATCCCCATGGCCAATTCAAAACTACCCAACCAAAGAAGAATTACGGCAAAGAGAAAATCAGAGTAAAAGTAATTGCAACTTAAAATATCATAGTTTTGAGTATTTTGCAAATATATATATATATGTGTGTGTGTGTGTGTGTGTGTGTGTGTGTGTATATATATATATATATATATATATATATATATATAACCATGTGACCACACTGGTAAGACCTCTCACGAATTTGGAAAGGGCCTATACAAGTGAAACACCCTGCAACCTCAGCTTCTTTAAAGACACTATAATTTCATCTCAACCTGGAATCAGCCATTTACACAAGGATTTCATTTCCTTTCATTGCTGGATACTCATTGCTACTGAGTTCTCATTGCTCCCAGACATTTTCACTAAAGTTAGAAATATGTATTTTTAAATATATGTACTTATATTGATGTTTCAATTCTAAATTAAAATTACATAGTTTTTACTTAAATGATTTTTTATACTTGTATGTCTCGTATCTTATGCTGAAAATCTTAATCTCCCAAAGATAATTTTCAAGATAACTCAGTTGCTTTATTCTATGACAGACATAATACAGATTCCAATGAACAATTACCAATAAGTTGAATTGAGTTTAAATAATGAATAGAATTGTATCAAGGTACAACCCAGAAACAAGTAGGAATCCTGAAGCATGCACAGTGTGTGTGAATTCTAGGGCTTAATGTAACCAGAATAAATCATATATTTGGGAGAGAATACATGACAGCAGATATGAACTTTTTTGAGTGCTAGTTAAGCAGCTTTTACATTATTGTGAATGCTCTTAAAAGCAGATACTTATTTTAATCAGGGGAATAAAATGAATCTGAATTTATTTAAAGTCTGGAATGAAAGAGAGAGCAGAGTAGCAAGAGACCAGCATGGTGTGAAGAATAAAATAGGCGAGAGGCTCAGTGACTGTATAAATTAGAAAGCCACCCCATCCCTGCAAATGCTTCTTCAGGCTCACTCTAACAATAATCCAGGAGACAATGAACTTCAGCTGCCAGAAAATAACTGGACTTATTCACAAACTTAGGTTATTAGGGAAAAATTGTCAGAAAGGAGAAAGGAGATAGAAATAGCAATTCTCATTTCATCTCACTCCTATTAGTCAATAAATATGTATTGAGCTTTTTCTATATGCCAGCAACTAGTGGAAATATAGCATTCAACAAGACAAACATTGTCCTTGCATTTTATGGAGCTTACCGTCTTTCAAGAAGAATAAATAAATGAACAAAATTGATGAGGTTCCAAAAGAAGCCTTTTAAATTACAAGTATGTTGGATAATTTTGATGTTGTGGTTGTTATAATACTATATTCCAGATGTTGCCCAGGCAAAATGAAACCATGAAAGTTTGGTTCCATCTGTCCTTTTTTCCGTATGTCTTCTCACCTCTCAAAGTTACATCCTGTCATTTACCCTGAAACTGATTACCCTCTGTCTTTCTTTTCGACCCAGTTTGATAAGCAATTAAAATGATCAGCTAGGAAACCCAATAAACTAATGCTTAATTCATATTCAGGTTAATTATGTCTTAGAGCTGATTCTGTGTGGTAAAAAAAAAAAAAAAAGTGTCTCCAGCTCTGTGATTTTACCCCCTTAGTATGATAGACTTTCACACCACGGAGTGCAGAATATGAGTTATTTTGAGTAAAGTGGTATGTTTTATTGCCCCTCAAAACAAAACATGAGACCATTTTCAACCTGTAAGGCGGGGCTCGCTGGATTACATAGTATGCTAAAGGGAAAAATCTGCCTTTATATCTTGTGTAGTTACTCCAAAGACACCTTGAGAAGGCACCTTTCTTCATGATTAGCTATTATTTTCTAACCGGGCCTACAAAAAAATTATGGAGACTTTTGCTTTGTAAAAATAAGTACATAAACTGAGCACAGTGGTTCTCAGCTGTAATCTCAGTGACTCTGGAGGCTGAGGTAGGAGGATTACTTGAGTCCAGGTATTCAACACTAGCCTGAGCGATATAGCTAGATCAACTCTCTGAAAAAAATTTAAAAATTAGCTGGGTGTAGTGGCATGTGCCTGTAGTCCCAGCTACTCAAAAGACTGAGGTGGGAGGATTGCTTGAGCCCAGGATTTCAAGGCTGTGGTGAGCTATAATTATACCACTGCACTCTAGCCTGGGTGACAGAGCAAGACCCCATGTCTAAAAAAATAATAATGATAGTAAGAATGTACATAAAAATTGAGTCTCAAGGTGTTGAAAGATAATTTCTTAAGGTCACATATTTGACATATCTTAAGATGAAAACCAGAACAAATAAGGAAATATGTACCAGATAGCTTTGAATTTCCTGTAAAACACACACAAAAAAGTTCTCTGGATAAATAGAATTTAGAGGCTTCAAGAGGAGAAAGTGTGGATTTGCTGTTCATAAAAAGGAGTAAGTAAGTAGGGTCACAACCCACATAAAACCTAAAAATTAAAGAACTGGTACATATTTTTCTGGTATATTTTTAGGGCTAAATATGTTGGACATTTCTGTTTTGGATTAGTACTTCAATAATTTGCAAGTTGGTTTTTTCCACTTTGCATTTTGTGATTTTTATCTTTTAAAAATAATTCTATAAATTTTATTCTACTAATTCATCTTAGCTAATTTTGTTAGTTTTCCTCAGCTGAACTTTGTGCTTCCATATTTTTTTCATTCCTTGTAGGTGGGAGTTTGAATCAATACAATCATTTTAAGTTGTATTTGGCAAATTTTATCTAAAGCCTTAAAATAATTCAGAAACATTAACTTTGTAATTCCACTTCTAGAATCTTCCCTTCACCTAGAAATAAATACAGATGTAGACAAAGACTGAGCTTCAAAAATATTTACCATGGATTTATAATAGTCAAATACAATGAACTGCTTAACTGTTTAACATGGAATGGATTAAATAAACTACTAATATCTATGCCTTAATGGATTGCTCTTCTTGAAATTTCTGCCCTCCCAAAGCGTGGCCTAGAATGTTCTCAAGGCATCACTTGAGTGTCTTTTCCTCTTAGAATCCTCTCCAACTCCTCCAGGAAGACTTGGTTGACTCCTCTTCTGTACTCATCTAACTGTCCAAACATTGGCAGTCACTCTGTGGTATGATTGTTTTTCTCTTTGCGTGCCTTTTCTCCCTTTTCTAGATTATGAGATCTTTGATAGTAGAAATCATGTCTCACTTATCTTTTTATCAATCTTACCTAGCAGAATGCCTAGCGTATTGTTGACATTAAAAAACCCTTTACTGGATAGCTGAATCAAGGAATGAGTGTCGGCTGAGCAATTTTGATGACATTGAGCAACAGCACAACAATGTTACAATTCAAAATGCTGCTGATTGCAACTTACAGCTTTTTAAACTCCGACTTAGTCAGACCTGATAAATGCTGATTATCTTTTCCTAATTACACAAGTAAAACAGGCTAGTTCTAGAAAAGTTAGAGGATAGATACATTGTAGATTTAAAAAATATATAAATTTCCCGTAATTCCAGAAGGATCATTCTTGATTCATTTCCTTCCAGCTTTTTTCCTGATTAAAAAAGGTAATTAGATCAAGGTAGATTAGATAAATAGGTAGATATAAATGGATAGACATAATTGCATAAATACATACAAAGAGACCATTTTTCTGTATTTTAATGATTTAAAAAAAAACCATGAAACATTCCAAGGTATTTTGGTCATCATGTTAAAATTTGCATATGCATATTTCACTTGAAAATATTTACAAAGAACTTTCTTTTTTTATTTTACACTTCAAGTCACACTCTAGAAATTTTCTCACTGTTTTTCTAAGGGAATTTTTTTAAGGTAGTTTGGTGACTAAATCAGACTTCATGTAATTTCCCAACTTTGTCTACAATCAGTTGGTTGAGTTCCCTGGGCTTGCTTTCTTGCAAAATGTTAGGGATGTCTTGACCTCATTAATAATCTACATAATAATGGGGGGTTTAAGGGTAGCAGGCAAAATTAAACTCATTTGTGTGCACTCATTGATAAATTATGTATTGCACTAAACTTTAACCAGAGTGTCAGTGGAGGCCCTGTTTAGCCTTTAGTTTGTAGTGTAACTGATGTAAACAGCCTAGGTAAATTGAAATTATCACCAAGATTTCCATGATTGCCGCATGATTTAGATGTTCAGGTTTCCTACTGCCTTCAACTGGAGTATTCCCAAGGCTATTGACATTTTTATCTGGTTTAGGCCAAGAACAAAATCCTGAGTTTTCGTTCATTGCCAAAATAAAGAAAATTATGCAAAGCATTTTTGATAGCTATATATTTCATTGAAAAATTGACAAGGAAAGTAATGGAGTGTGTTATGTTCTCCACTAACAGCTGGTGGTAAGAATGTGCTGGAAATTTAGGCAGAAGCCATATTACAGAGGCTAACATCTCATTACTATATTAGAATTGCCCAGGGGACTTAATCAAAAAACAAAACAAAAACAGGAGTCCTGGGCCCACTCCAGAGTTATTATCAAGAAAGAAGATCCTGGAGTCTGCATTTTAAAGATAAAAACCAGTTTATTCCTATGCACACTTTATCTTTAAGAAGCACTGAGCTAAGAACTGTTTGCCTTTAACCAAAGTCAAGAATAGGAAGGAGTGGGCTGTATTGGAGATAGAATGGATGAGCTGTTTTTAGGCATATTGAATTTGAGATATATGTTAGAAATCCCAGTATGGGTTCCCAGTGGGAATTTGAAAATATGACCATATAGCTTAAGAAAGCCTCAGAGTTTAGCACACATTTTGGAATCAGACGACCCATCCATCACATCAGTAGTAACTGAAACCTTGGGCACAGGTGCACCCATCCATGAAGAATGAGCAGAATGAGAAAAGATGAGAACTAGAGACCAAATCAAAGGTAGAGGAAGAAAACATTAGTCAGTCATGGCAACTGTAAAGTCCCTAGCACCAAGCAATCCTCTGAGGGGACCTGGAAGGCAACTGGAGATGTAGCTTTCTCTGCCTTTTATGAGTATATAACAAGGTGTGATATGGAGAGCACTGCAAAGACAGAAGCCAAGATCAAGAGCAAGGGGCTGCCTTTTAGAAGAAAGACTTTCGAGTAGCATCGCCAGATTCTGCAAATAAAAATACAGGAAGCACAATTAAATTTAAATACAAGATAAACAGTTATTTTTTGACATATGTACCAAATATTGTGTGGCACATACATTAAAAAAAATTATATGCTTTATGTGAAATTAAATTTAATTTAACTGAGTGTCCTGTATCATACCTGGCCACCCTATTCCTGTGTCTCCTTTACCTTTAACTCCCAGTCTGGACACACACTAACTGTGGTTTGAATGATTGTGCTTGAGATCTTAGTGAAAAGAAACTTCAAAATAATTTGGCAGAGGGGTCATTTGATAAATTGATTTGGGGTTAACTGACCAATGGCCTTGGAAACACCTATCACCTTCTAAAAAATTTTTTTAACATTCTTACTGACCAAGAGTTGAAAGCAAAAATTAAATACTCATATTTGTATTATAATTGTAAAGTGAGACTACATTTAATATGCCTCAAATCGTCTAACAGCAAAATCTCAGAGAAATGGCACAAAAAGACTCTGCTGTTTCTGACAGGATATTGGAAATAATCATAAGGAGTGTCTGGGCAGTGAAACAGGCACAGTAGGGGAGTTCAGCAGAGACTACTCAGACTGGAAGCTATTATCTTTTGTCAAAGAACTCTCGTGAACCTGCCACAAAGAAGAAATCCCTAGGCCGGTTCAGAAGGGAGTCAAAGGCAAATCTTCAGAACTCATGGGAATGTATACCAGAAATTGGATGGATCTCTTCCCTTTTAGACAGGAACACTTCTAGAGTTTTATGATTATGCTCCACATTGAATCTCTACCTTCAAGTCTGAACTTTAGAAAACCATAAATCAATTGATAGTAGTGTAGAAGGAGCACTCAACCCTACATTAATGATAATTTATAGAGACATGTTAGCATGGTAGCCTCTACACTACCCAGATTCCCTTTCAGGAATCAAGACCTTTTTTCCCAGCTGCTGAGAGTGATGCCAGAAGGCGCTCCTCAGCTGTTAGCCCTCTATGGGAATTGCCTCAGCTAAAGAAAACTGCTTTGACCAACATCTCATCTATTTCCGGAAGCAGCCCTCATCTGATCATCAGTCTCCTAGTGCTAACTCAAGACAACTCTTGGTCAATCTCAGCTTTTAAAACTCGCCGTGAAATTAGCTGAGGCCTTTGTCAGACTGCATCCCAGCTCACCTTCTCCCTCTAACAAATTCTGCTTCCTTCACCCCCCTTCACGGGTGTCAATCCCAAGAGCACTTCCTAATAAATGCACTGCCTACTAATCACTATCTTAGTCTGTATCCCAGAAAACCAAAACAGTGACAATATGGCCTTGGGAATAAGGCAATCCATGAATAATTTGAAGACACATGAAGACAGAAAAAAGGAATAAGTACACGACCAGGACTGAGGTGTCTCATTAGTTAGCTGTTTTCACCATTACTCTAGAGAGGATATATTGAGAGTTCATACCAGATCACACTGTAATGTTACCTTAGATCAGAATTTTACAGTTATGTATTTAAGTGACTAATGACCTTTAATTAAGAAATCACTATAAAGCAGATACAAAATAAACTGGTTGACTATTTCTTTTATTTCCTATAATAATGTTCTTGTCTCATTGTCTGTAACTAGTCTCATTGCCTGTAACTTACTTTAGAATACCTTAGTGTGGACAGCATAATATAAATACATATTAATCTACATGCTAGATGCTTTTAGTTAACATTTGAAGTACATTAATCAGGTATCCACACTGCAGGAATAATAAATAAGAATTTGAAAGACCCTAATTATGAGTCCACACTGCAGAGGTGAGAGACAACTTTTAGAACAAATCTTCACATTTTTCTATTAAATATGCAGTAAAGCTTTTGTTAATTAACATAAAAGATGTTCAAATATTTTTTCATTGGTATGTGTTTTTCAAAATATATATTTTTCTTCTAGAAATCCTTCTAGAATATTATATAGGCACCTCTATCCTTGATACAATTTGGAATAAGAATCTGAGAAGCCCAGCAGCTTAATACAGCTGACATAAAGTAAATATGTTGATTTTTAAAAATTTCTTACAAAAACTGTCTTGTCTCATCATAATTTACTTTAAAATAATGTTGAATAATATTAGTGATAGCATCTATGTCCTCTTTCTGGCTTTTTTTTTTTTTTTTTTTTTTTGAGACGGAGTCTGCCTCTGTTGCCCAGGCTGGAGTGCAGTGGAACTATCTCGGCTCACTGCAAGCTCTGCCTCCCGGGTTCACACCATTCTCCAGCCTCAGCCTCCTGAGTAGCTGGGATCACAGGCGCCTGCCACCACGCCCAGCTAATTTTTCTATTTTTAGTAGAGACGGGGTTACACCGTGTTAGCCAGGATGGTCTCGATCTCCTGACCTTGTGATCCACCCACCTCAGCCTCCCAAAGCGCTGGTATTACAGGCATGAGCCACTGTGCCCAGCCCTCTGGCTTTAATAGAATGGCTTTAGCATTTTAAAATGATGTCTGCTGGAATTTTGGTAAATAATACATAGAAAACTCCATTCTTTCTATGTTGCACCACTTGATGGAAAATTCTTTTGCCTGTTCTAGAAAGTTAGTAGGAGGCTTTGTAAGTAACTAAAAACATAGATTTAGTATCTGCTAAGTCAAGCCTCCTCATTATTCCTTTTTTTAAAAAGTTACTTTTGTTGATTCTTCTTAGATTTTGTTTTTAATTCTGTATGAACTTAATGATCATTTTATACAATGTTCCCCCACGATGGGATTCCATACATTATATTTATATATAATTTTTGAGAATTCATATTGTCATAATATTAAGTTTTCTCATTCAAGATGATGCCAATTTGCTGTACAGTAGTAATCACTTCACTATCATATGTATATCTAATATCATGTGTTACACCTTAAATATATACAATTTTAAAAGATGATATGTCTTGTCATTAGGCAAGATAGAGTCAGTTTTATTTAGGAATTAAGGACCTGAACCTTGGACCAGATCACTTGGATTCAATTCCTGGTTCTGATACATCCTATTTGTGTGACTCTGGGTAAGATACATTGTCTCTCCGTATTTTTGTTTCCTTTTTTTAATAATAGGAATGAATAATAATATCTACCTGATAAGAACCTATTTATATCAAATAATAAGTATAAAATTTGCAAGCCTCAAGTAACCTCAAAGTGAAAAATATACGACAGATATGCAAAAAATAAAAAAAAATAAATTAAATCATACCACCAGAGAAAATCACCTTCACTAAAAGGAAGACAAGAAGGAAGGAAGAGAAGACCACAAAAAAACAAACAGAAAATAAATAACAAAATGGCAGGAGTTAAGTCCCTACTTATCAATAATAACATTGATTGTAAACGAACTAAACCATCCAATCAAAAGACATAAAGTGGCTGAGTGGATTAAAGAACAAGACCCAATGATCTGTTGCCTACAACAAACACACTTCACCTATAAAGATACACATAGACTGAAAGTATGGGATGGAAAAAGACATTTCATGCCAATAGAAATAGCTATACTTAGACAAAATAGATTTCAGGGCAAAAACTATAAGATGAGAAAAAGAAGGTCATTATATAATGATAAAGAAGCCAGCCCAGAAAGAGGATATAATGATTGTAAATATATATGTACCCAACACTGGAGCACCTAGATATATAAAGCAAATATTATTAGAGCTAAAGAGAGAATTAGAACTCAATAGGATAATAACTGGAGTTGTCAACACCCTACTTTCAGCATTGCACAAATCTCCCAGACAGAAGCTCAACAAAAAACATCTAACTTAATCTGTACTTTACAAGAAATGGACCTAGTAGATATTTACAGAATATTTCGTCCAATAGCTGTAGAATAACATTCTTCACCTCAGCACATGGATCATTCTCAAGGATAGACCATATGCTAGGTCAAAAAAGAAGTCTAAAAAATGTTAAAAAAAACTTGTAATAATAATAAGTGTAAAGCCTGCCTTTACAATGTAAATACTATGTGTGTGCTCTTATTGTTATTATTTTATGTCATGTATTTCAATAAAATGTCTTATCCTTTCTTTATATTGCACTATTATTTTCAAATTTATTGATAAATATCTTACAGCTTTCATCGAAATTGTGAGTTTTCCCCTTTCTATTATTAGTGATTGTTAATACAGATTTTTTACCTTTTTAATGATAATGCGTCTATCCTTTTTTCCAAATTCCTTTAATAATTCTATGTAATTTTTGCTAGATTCTATGGAATTTTACTTGTGTAATTATAACAAAAAAAAGAGAATGAAGAAAAGAAAGAAAAAGAGAAAAAGTAAACTAATTTTAACACTTTTTCCTTGTTTATTTATAGTGATTGTTTCAAATACCCAAAATAATAGAATTAGTGAGAGCACCCATGTCCTTTTTCTGGCTGCATTTTAGAATAATGCTTGGTATATGAATTTTGGTTAAAAAAATGTATATTATATTTTAGAAGTTTACTTTTCTTCCTATTGCTTAGAGATTTAATTAATAATGGTTACTAACTGCTATTAAATGCTTTTTGACCATTTTTATTATGGCTTTATAATTATCTCCTACAGCATTTTGATTGAAATGAAGTATATTATTATTTTTCTTGATAACTGAATTTCTGAAATAGGCTCTACCTGGTATAGTCTTTTGATACACTGCTAGATTCTGCTTCCAAATATTTAATTTAGAATTTTTGCATCTGCATTTATGAGTAGGATTAAGCTAAAGTTTTTGTTTTTCATACTATCTTTATCAGATTTCATATTAAGGTTTTATTGAAGAAACCATGTGAAGATCTTTATAATATACATTCTTAATCCAAATGAGTTAAGTTATCTGGTAATATGTGAAAAGTGGTTTTATTTGGAAGAAATACTTTTGATATTTACTTAGGAGAAAAATAATTGTGAAGGCCACCTCTATAGTATTTCAAGTCTCTATTTTATTCAAAATAGTTTTATATTTTATTCAATATTCATTATTTGGAGGTATTATTTAACCAAAACAAAATAAAAATTACCCAACTTATCACGAATACAGTAGACAGATCCTGGCTCCAGTTTTTGACCATTGTTCCTGCAAGAGGGATATTCACATAAGCTTGTCTGGACATTCTTATGGGACCCTAAAACAGAGAAATCAAGAATTTCAGGCATTTCCGTGAAGATGACAGTGAGCATCAGTTATAAGTTTGAAAAAGTAGTGACTTATCAACTGCCAAGCTCTTTACAAGACTGAATGAAACAGGGGAAATATAATAGTTCCTTAAGACAATTGATATTTTTATAGCTTCATGAATTCAATTTTTAAACATTCTTACCTATTATAAGTGGTAAGAGCTTCCTTGGTTACACCACATAGAATGGGACTTAGGAAGTGACCATTCACTAAGTTCCTAAAAGGAACTCTCACATTGACATAAATTGCATGCGAATTCACACTTGGGATCTAGGTCATGTATATCTTCCTTACTCTCAAATGATCATGCAGAAGTTTCAGCCCTGTAAGGCTGAAACAGCAAGGGAAGCCTGAGAAAAAAATCTGTAAATCCTCTGGTCTGTTAGATAAAATATCCTCACCCATAACAAAATTATTCCAAGAAATCATGGATTTGATAAGCTAGTTATACTTTTGAAAAATAAATATAGAGCTATTAAATTAAAACTTTAAACAGGTAAATGACTGATGATTTATTTAACATGCCAATTTAAGAAATTATTTCATGATGGATAGATACATGTACAGTATTGAAAATGATCTATCTGCTAAAAATTCCAGTGCACAATTTTTTTTTCTGAACAACAAACTTATCTATTTAACCGACTATCTGCTAGCTCTACATGTATGACTCTTAGGGAGCATAAAGCTTAATGTATCCAAAACCACACAATGGTGCTACTGCAAATTTTCTCCATGTCTATCCTTCTGCATCTTTTTCTTCAAGCCACAAACTTGAGATATATTTTTGATTCCTTCTCCTCTCTTACTGCTCATGATCAATTCCTGAGTCCTCTCTATTTTGCTTCTCAAATATTTATTTCATCTTTCCACTTCTCTTAATATCCAGTGCTACCTCCTTAATTCAAACTTCTGCAATCTTTTATATGGACAAAAATCTAATTGTTTCTCCTAAGTACTCTGCAAAAATCATATTTATCAATTTCTATTTCTTCCCTATAAATAAATTTCATCAATTTTATGACAAAGATCAAAAGACTTGTTGCAATCAAAAAATATGTAGATTACAGGACGTATCTCTAGCATCATTTCCTCTACTCTCTCTCTCTGGGCCTCCAGGCTCCAGCCACAATGACCTTTTTTTCAGTTCCTTGAATATGTCAATATCTATTCTGCCTTAAGATTTTGGTACATGTTGCTGCCTTTACAGGCTTGCTATTCCAATATCACTTTACTTTATTGGGATTAGGTATTTTACTTTTATAGCTCTTTATCAAATATCTTGTTCATTATAATCTTTTTGAGGATATATATAATGTTGTGTTCATCATTACATTCCCATGCCAAAGATTGCCAGAATTAGCAAATCATTACAGAATACATATTTATTTTTCTTCCCCAAAGCTTATGAAAGTTCCTCATAGCCTAGATTTAAAATGGCTAATTGCTACCTCTTAATGTTACCAAGTACAAAGGGTTTTTCTGAATGGTTACATCCTACCCTGCATGGGACATACTTGTGCTAAAAGAATTATCCATTGCTCATTTGAAATGGACATTTAACTGAGCACTGTATTTTATCAGGCAACCCTAGTCATCATACCAAGTCTATGCCTAGAACATTATAGATGCACTATATATATGTACTGAATAAATGAATTTAGGAACATATTCTATATTTTAAGATTCATTATCCTTAAGTCATTGTTTTTATTATCCATAATATATCATATAAAGAATGATGGCAGAGATGGTTAAGAAGAGCTATGAAAGGGGCAGAATTTTCTAGTAATTATAGTCAATTTTTACAGATGTTCAGAGTTAGCAAATCAAGTAGTAGTACACCTTTATGAATGTCACCTGTATGAATTCTAATCACATCAGTATGGACCACGCATAATTTAATTGTAAACCTAATTTGGCAACTAACAACATCTAAACTTCCTTTTTTATTGTTGATATAAACAAAGGAAACAATTTCTAATGCCGGGTACTACTTTTTGAGCTAAATTGTTTCGTGAGCTTGAGCATGGAATTGTCAGTGAGACCATAAGTCAAACTCAAGTTGTTATTCAAATGTAGAATTTTCTAAATGGAAATTGTTTACTGCTATTCAAATTTCTGAAAATTACTTCTTGAACATGTACTCCTTAATGCACTGACTCTACCTATATCCACAAATGATAATGAGACAACTTACAATAAAAGCATGAATATAAAAACAAAATAATATCAGATTAAAAGAAAGAAGGTGTGCTAGTTGTTTTCAGTTTGTTCCCATGTCCATAGCTGCCCTTCAATGTCCTGCTTTGGGCCCTGTGATTGGGTGAGGGAGCAGTTAACCTCTAAGAACTACATCATTCAGTCCATTGCGCTCTATTTATTACCTATTTTAGGCTGGGAGGCACCATCAAGAGATAAGAGGATAGGAGAGAGACAATGAGGTATTTAGACTTTCCTCTCCCTTCCTATCACAGTGTGATTTTCATAGAACTACATCCTTCTACAGCAAAACTCCTGTAGAGTGACCACCATTCCATAAGAACAGCTCTAAAACAGGCACCTGGTTTCTTTACCCTGCCCCTTTAGGCTTGATGATGGTAATGGCTACCTGTTCTTTGTCACCCTGTGTGTTTCAACATCCCTTGTTGATTGTCAACTAAAAACAAATCCAGGCTTAGATAAGGAGAAACTTTATTAGAAAAGTCTATTGCAATAAGGAAGATGTTCTGATGGGAAGAATATGCAAGATTCTCTAAGGTCAGGCAGAAGTAAGTTGCTTCTATGGTCGGGGGTGTGTAAACAAGGCTAGAAAGAATCCACTATGGAGAAATGGAATGTGCTGGAGATGTCATCAGATAGCTGAGCAGGAATTATCTTTCACTGGGCTGTTAAGGAGGAGTTGTTCCATATTCCATTCTGATGCAAACTCAAGCTAAATGTGAGCAACAGTTAAGGGACTTGCCTTGTGCAGAGAGAGAGAACTTTGGCTACAGTTTGGTCAAGTCAGTTAGAAGGTATTTTGTCCAGACAGATCAGTGGGTAGCAATAGTTCAAGTTTTAATTATGAGTAAAATGTCCTTCCATGATGGGGGAAAAGACTTTTAGTTCAAAATTTTGAGTAAAATTGGTTATCTTGTTTATGCATTTTAATTCCAAATAAGATTCATCTTTTTCCCCCAAAATACTAATTGCTGTCTAAAAATTGTGTTAAAGAGGATTACAGCATGGCTCCTCTGGTTCTAATCTTTCTTTTTTAGATAGAAATTACTGGATGTTTTTGAATGCCCTTGGTTGTGAAGAACTGACTCACTTTTATATCTCAAAAACTAAGATTGAAGAAAATTTATAGATAGAGCCGACCTTATCATGCTTAAATAAGAAGAACACTACTATATTAAAAGTGGCACCTTTCAGAAAAGAGCAGATTCACACTTGTTCCAGTCTAAAAAAAAAATGTCTATTATATGTGAGAAGGAGATAAGCACAAAGGCAGTTAACATTTTGAAGCAGCATCATGTAGAAGGAACTTTTTCAAAGGCAAAATTCTAGTTCCTGATCTGGTACTTGTTAACCATGGAAACATGAGCCAGTTCACTTAAAGACTCTGATGCTCTGTTTTATTTTGTGGAAAACACTGAAGATAATAATATATGCTCTACCAACTGCTTGCAGTTCTTGTAAATATAAAAAAGAGATAATGGAATTGAAAGACTCTAATAACCTGTAAAATTGGAATGTCAATGTAATATGTTATTATAGATACTTAAGAGTATTCCACCAAGAAGTGAAAAGAGTTAGCTAAGGATACATGACCCCATATAGTTCTGATTTGACTGAAATATATACAATTTCACCTGTGTTTGAAATCTTCAAGGGTGAGGATTAGATCATTGTATCTTATTGAAGTTTGAATGCAGACTTCAATCTTGAATTTTTAGATTTTTAAAAATGAAACTTCCCCCTTCTTAAAACTCAATGTTTCACAAAACTTACTGAAATCAAGGAATTTTAATAAATATATAATATAAATAATATTGGCTGGGTGCGGTGGCTCACACCTGTAATCCCAGCACTTTGGGAGGCCAAGGCAGGTGGATCACGAGGTCAGGAGATTGAGACCATCCTGGCTAACACGGTGAAACCCCATCTCTACTAAACAAAATACAAAAAATTAGCTGGGTGTGGTGGCAGGCACCTGTAGTCCCAGCTACTTGGGAGGCTGAAGCAGGAGAATCGCATGAACCCAGGAGGTGGAGCTTGCAGTGGGCCAAGATCACGCCACTGCGCTCCAGCCTGGGTGAAAGAGCAAGACTCTGTCTCAAAAAAAAAAAAAAAATAATAATAATAATATTAAAACCTATATATAGAGGTACAATCATAATATAAACCACATAAAAATAAAGGTCATTTTTTATTAAATTATCTCGTTGGGGGTAATTGTAGATTCACATGTAATTGTAAGAAATAATAGAGAGAGACGTGTGCACTCTACCCGATTTTCCCCAATGGTTAAATCTAATAAAACTGTACTACAATATCACAACCAGGATGTTAGCATTGTTACAGTCTTGGTACAGAGCATTTCCATCACCACAAACAAGGATCTCCCACATACTGTCCTTTTGTAGTCACATCTAGTTCCTCCTCATCCCCAGCCTTAACCCTTGGCAACCACTGATCTGTTCTCTATTTCTATATTTTATTTCAAGAATGTTACATAAATTACATTAACATATAAGTTACATTGTATATAAATTAGAGTATGCAATCTTTTAGAATTGGCATCTGGATTACTTCCAGTTTGGAGCTATTATAAATAAATCTATGATAAATATTTGTATTCAGGTTTTTGAATAAACTTAAGTTTTCATTTCTTGGGATAAATTTTCTGTCAGAGCTCTTGGGTGACCAGTTGTGCATTAGTTCATTCTCATGCTGCTGTAAGGACCTACCCAAGACTGGGTAATTTATAAAGGAAAGAGGTTTAATTGACTCACAGTTCCGCATTGCTGGGGAAGCCTCAGGAAACTTACAATCATGGTGGAAGGGGAAATAAACATGTCCTTCTTCACATGATGGCAGGGAGTAGAAGTGCAGAGTGAAGTGGCAGGGTGGGGAGAAGGGAAAGCCCTTGCAAAACCATCAGATTCATGAGAACTTACTTACTATCACGAGAACAGCATGGAGGTAACTGCCACCACGATTCAGTTACTTCCCACCAGGTCCTTCCCACAACATGTAGGGATTATGGGAACTACAGTTCAAGATGAGATTTGGATGGGGACACAGACAAATCATATCAAGGTGCATTATCAATGAGCAGTACTGTTTTGCAAAGAAATCTTTTTTTTCTGAAAGTTAGGTCTCAAAAGTGAGCTTAAAATGCTCAATCAACATGCTTTAAACAGAACAGCTGTCATTGAGGCTTTGTTGTTCCATTTATACAGCATAGAGAGAGAAGGTTTGGTATTATTCTTAAGAGATAGAAGACTTTTGCAATTGTAAATGAACACTGGCTTTAATTGAAAGTCACCAGCTGCATTAGCTCCAACAAGAGAGTCAGCTTGTCCTTTGAAGATTTTTTTAATATACTTTAATTTCTAGGGTACAGGTGCACAACGTGCAGGTTTGTTACATATGTATACATATGCCATGTTGGTGTGCTGCACCCATTAACTCTTCATTTACATTAGGTATATCTCCTAATGCTATCCCTCCCCCCTCCCCCGACTCCACAACAGGCCCCGGTGTGTGATGTTCCCCTTCCAGTGTCCATGTGTTCTTATTGTTCAATTCCCACCTATGAGTGAGAACATGCAGTGTTTGGTTTTTTGTCCTTGCGATAGTTTGCTGAGAATGATGGTTTCCAGCTTCATCCATGTCCCTACAAAAGACATGAACTCATCCTTTTTTATGGTTGCATAGTATTCCCTGGTAATATATGTGCCACATTTTCTTAATCCAGTCTATCATTGATGTACATTTCGGTTGGTTCCAAGTCTTTGCTATTGTGAATAGTGCCACAATAAACATACGTGTGCATGTGTCTTTATAGCAGCATGATTTATAATCCTTTGGGTATATACCCAGTAATGGGATGGCTGGGTCAAATGGTATTTCTAGTTCTAGATCCTTGAGGAATCGCCACACTGTCTTCCACAATGGTTGAACCAGTTTACAGTCCCACCAACAGAGTAAACATGTTCCTATTTCTCCACATCCTCTCCAGCACCTGTCGTTTCCTGACTTTTTAATGATCACCATTCTAACTGGTGTGAGATGGTATCTCATTGTGATTTTGATTTGCATTTCTCTGATGGCCAGTGATGATGAGCATTTTTTCGCGTGTGTTTTGGCTGCATAAATGTCTTCTTTTGAGAAGTGTCTGTTCATATCCTTCACCCACTTGTTGATGGGGCTGTTTGTTTTTTTCTTGTAAATTTGTCTGAGTTCTTTGTAGATTCTGGATATTAGCCCTTTGTCAGATGAGTAGGTTGCAAACATTTTCTTCCATTCTGTAGGTTGCTTTTCACTCTGATGGTAGTTTCTTTTGCTGTGCAGAAGACCTTTAGATCCCATTTGTCAATTGGATCCCATTTGTCAATTTTGGCTTCTGTTGCCATTGCTTTTGGTGTTTTAGACATGAAGTCCTTGCCCATGCCTATGTCCTGAATGGTACTGCCTAGGTTTTCTTCTAGGGTTTTTATGGTTTTAGGTCTAACATTTAAGTCTTTAATCCATCTTGAGTTAATTTTTGTATAAGGTGTAAGGAAGGGATCCAGTTTCAGCTTTCTACATATGGCTAGCCAGTTTTCCCAGTACCATTTATTAAATAGGGAATCCTTTCCCCATTTCTTGTTTTTATCAGGTTTGTCAAAGATCAGATGGTTGTAGATGTGTGGTATTATTTCTGAGGGCTCTGTTCTGTTCCATTGGTCTATATCTCTGTTTTGGTACCAGTACCATGCTGTCTTGGTTACTGTAGCCTTGTAGTATAGTTTGAAGTCAGGTAGCATGATGCCTCCAGCTTTGTTCTTTTGGCTTAGGATTGTCTTGGCAATGTGGGCTCTTTTTTGGTTCCATATGAACTCTAAAGTGGTTTTTTCCAATTCTGTGAAGAAAATCATTGGTAGTTTGATGGGGATGGCATTGAATCTATAAATTACCTTGGGCACTATGGCCATTTTCATGATATTGATTCTTCCTATCCATGAGCATGGAATGTTTTCCATTTGTTTGTGTCCTCTTTTATTTTGTTGAGCAGTGGTTTGCAGTTCTCCTTGAAGAGGTCCTTCACATCCCTTGTAAGTTGGATTCCTAGGTATTTTATTCTCTTTGAAGCAATTGTGAATGGGAGTTCACTCATGATTTGACTCTGTATCTGTTATTGGTGTATAAGAATGCTTGTGATTTTTGCACATTGATTTTGTATCCTGAGATTTTGCTGAAGTTGCTTATCAGCTTAAGGAGATTTTGGGCTGAGACGATGGGGTTTTCTAAATATACAATCATGTCATCTGCAAAGAGAGACAACTTGACTTCCTCTTTTCCTAATTGAATACTTTTTATTTCTTTCTCCTGCCTGATTGCCCTGGCCAGAACTTCCAACACTATGTTGAATAGGAGTGGTGAGAGAGGGCATCCCTGTCTTGTGCCAGTTTTCAAAGGGAATGCTTCCAGTTTTTGCCCATTCAGTATGATATTGGCTGTGGGTTTGTCATAGATAGCTCTTGTTATTTTAAGATACGTCCCATCAATACCTAATTTATTGAGAGTTTTTAGCATGAAGGGCTGTTGAATTTTGTCAAAGGCCTTTTCTGCATCTATTGAGATAATCATGTGATTTTTGTCTTTGGTTCTGTTTATATTCTGGATTATGTTTATTGATTTGCATATGCTGAACCAGCCTTGCATCCCAGGAATGAAGTCCACTTGATTATGGTGGATAAGCCTTTTGATGTGCTGCTGGAGAAGAAAAGAGAGAAGAATCAAATAGATGCAATAAAAAATGATAAAGGGGATATCACCACCGATCCCACAGAAATACAAACTATCATCAGAGAATACTGTAAACACCTCTATGCAAATAAACTAGAAAATCTAGAAGAAATGGATAAATTCCTTGACACATACACCCTCCCAAGACTAAACCAGGGAGAATTTGAATCCCTGAATAGACCAATAACAGGCTCTGAAATTGAGGCAATAATTAATAGCTTACCAGCCAAAAAAAAGTCCAGGACCAGACGGATTCACAGCCGAAATCTACCAGAGGTACAAGGAGGAGCTGCTACCATTCCTTCTGAAACTATTCTAAGCAATAGAAAAAGAGGGAATCCTCCCTAACTCATTTTCTGAGGCCAGCATCATCCTGATACCAAAGACTGGCAGAGACACAACAAAAAAAGAGAATTTTAGACCAATATCCCTGATGAACATCGATGCGAAAATCCTCGATAAAAGTCCTTTGGCCAGGCATTGACTTCTCCTCTCTATCTATGAAAGTCCGAGATGGGACCTTCTTCGAATAAAAGACAGTTTTGTCTATGTTGAAAATATATTTAGTGTAGCCGCCTTCATCAATGATCTCAGCTAGATTTTTCAGATAACTTGCTGTAGCTTTTATACCAGCATTTGCTGCTTCACCTTGTACTTTGATGTTATGGAGATGGCTTCATTGCTTAAGCCTCATGAACCAATTTCTGTTAGCCTCTAACTATTTTTCTACAGCTTAGCCTTCATAGAGTTGAAGAGAGCTAGGGCCTTGCTCTGGATTAGGCTTTGCCTTAAGGGAATGTTGTAGTTACACATTTCAGCAATAAGATTTGCTTTCTTATCATTTGTGTGCTTATTGGGATAGCACTTTTAGTTTCCTTCAAGAACTACTCCTCTGCATCCACAGCTTGGCTGTTTGGCCCAAGAAGCATTGCTTTCAGCCTATCTTGGCTTTTTACACGCCTTCCTCATTAAATTTAATCATTTCTAACTATTGATTTTAAATAAGACGTGATTCTTCTTTGTACTTACCGGCCATTGTAGAGTTATTATTTGGCCTCATTTCAATATCGTGGTCCTTCTCCAAGCAGAGGGAGAGAGATGATGGAAGGACTACTTAGTGGAGCAGTCAGAACACACAAAACATTTATCAATTAAGTTTGTCGTCTTATATGCACACAGTTCATGACACCCCCAAAACAATTACAATAGTAACATCAAAGATCACTGATCACAGATCACCTTAACAAATACAGTAATAATGAAAATGTTTGAAATATTGTGAGAATTACCAAAATGTGACAGACACATAGTGAACAAATGCTGTTGAAAAAATGGCATTGAAAGTTTTGCTTAATGCAGAGTTGCCACAAATCTTCAATTTGTGAAAACGCAGTATCTGCAAGGTGTGAAAAAATGAAGCACAATAAAGTGATGTATGCCTCTATAAAGTCACCTGTAGTGTTTCTGTAGATATTCTGTAAGTTGGGAAATTTTCCTCTATTTCTATTTTTCCTGAAAGTTTTTATTATGAATAGTTACTGAATTTTGTCAAATGCTTTTTCTGCATCTATTATTATGAGTATGTGTTTTTTCATCTTCATCCTGTTTATACAGTGGATTACATTGATTGATTTTCTAATATTGAACCAGTCTTGCATATCTTGAATTAACTCCACTTGGTAATGGTATGTTGTTCTTTAATACATTGTTGAATTCTATTTAGTAATATTTTGTTAGGAATTGTTGCATCTATATTTATTAGGGTTATTGGTTTGTAGTTTTCTTTCCTTTTCTTCTTCCCTTTATCTGGTTTGGTATCAAAGTAATTCTAGCTTTACATAACATATTGTGAAGTATTCATTTCTCTTCAAATTTCTGGAAAAAATATGTAAAATTGATCTTGTTTCTTACATGTTTTTTTTTTAATTCTTCAGTGGAACTATTTAGACCTTGTTGTGGAATTGAGAATTTCAAAATTCTAAATTCCGTTTTTGTAATAGTTATTTTAACTTATTTAAATTATCTGTCTCAAAATGAGTGACTTGTTATAACTTGCATTTTTAAAGAATTAGTCCATGTTATAGATCTTTATTATTATTTTTCTGTTGTAAGTTTCATTTGTTTGTGTTCTAATGTTTCTGTTTTCGTATCTTTCCTTCTGATTGCTTTGGGTTTATTTTGAACATTTTTTTCTAGATTCTTAAGGTGGAAATTTTTATTATTGACTTGAAATATTTTCCTTTTTAATGTACTGCATTTAATGCTAGAAATTTCCCTTTTAGCATTGCTTTAGTTGCTTCTCACAAATTTTGATATGTTCTTTCTTTTAATTTTCATTCAGTTTAATGTATTTTTAAAATTTTTTCTTGAGATTTTCTCTTTGAACCACGGGCTATCGAAGTGTTGGCCAGGCATGATGGCTCACTCCTGTAATTCCAGCACTTTGTGAGACTGAAGCAGGAGCATTACTCGAGCCCAAGAGTTCAAGAACAGCCAGGGCAACACAATGAAACCCCATTTCTACAAATAATAAAATATTGGCCAAGTGTGGTGGCATATTCCTGTAGTCCCAGCTACTCAGAAGGCTGAGGCAGGAGAATCGCTTGAGCCCAGGAGGTCAAGGCTGCAGTAAGCCGTGATCATGCTGCTGCACTCTAGCCTGGGCAACAGAGCAAGACACTGTCTCCAAAATAAACATATAAATAAATAATGTTGTTTAGTTTCATGCATTTGGATATTTTCTTGTTATCCTGTTGTTGATTCTAGTTAGATTCCATTGTGACTGGAAAACATGCTCTGTATGATTTCAATTCTTTAAAATTTGTTGAGGTTTGGTTATGGCACAGGATATTGTCTGTCTTGATTTATGTCTGTGGGCATATAAAAAAAAACTGTATTGTGCTTTTGTTGAGTAAAGTGTCCCAAATATACGTTGATTAGAGTCTTTTGTTTGATGACATTTCTGAGTTCTTCCATATCCTTGCTGGTTTTCTAACTAGTTCTATTAAATTGTTGAGAAAGAAACGTTGAAGTATCTATATAATTGTGTATTTTCCATTTAACCTTTCAGTTTTACTAGTTCTTTCAGTTTTGTTTCACAGAACTATAAATGTGGAAGTGTTTATTTCTCCTTTCTGTTTTATCAGAATTAGCTTCAAATGCTTTGATCTCTCTTATTTAGTGCATCCACATTTAGAATGGCTATGTCTCCTTAGTAACTTGGCTCTTTTATCAATTTACAATGTCTTTCTCTAACTCTGGTAACTTCCTTTGCTACTGTATCTCATATTTATAAAGTTGTTTGTGATTTCTTTTGACTAATGTTTGTATGTTTTTTCCTCTCTTTTACTCTTAGCCTGCTTATAACATTATATTTGAATTTAGTTTCTTTTAGATAGCACATAGTTGTGTCATGTTTTTAATTAACTTTTCCAATCTGTATTTTAATTGTTATATTCAAAGCATTTGCATTTTATGTAGTTATTAATATAGTAGGGATAAAATCTGCCATTTTATTTTGTTTTCTGTTTGTTCTCTATTTTTGCTCTTGCCTTCTTTATTCTGCCTTCTAGTGGTTTACATGATCATTTTTTAGACTTTCATTTTCATATAGTGTTTTGTATTGTATCTCTTTATATAGTTTTTCAGTGATTGTTCTAAGTAATACATTATGTGTACATCATTCACCATCTACTGCTGGCTTCATTTTACCAGTTCAAGTGATGTGGCATTTCCCTTTATGTCCTTTTACCCTTCTGTTTATAATTATCTTAAATGTATTTCCTCTACATGCATTTAGAACCTTCTGTTTATAACCTAATTATCTAAAATATTTCCTCTACATGCATTTAGACCCACATTATAATTCTTTATGGAGCCATTAAGCATAATTTAGATAATTAAGAGAAAGAAAGTACATTGTATTTACCCATATTTTTGCTTATCATGATCTTTCTTCCTTTCTGATGTATCAAGATTTCTTTATCATTTTTTTTTTTCCTGTTTAGAGAACATCTTCAGCCATTTTTTCAGAGTAGGTTTGCTGCCAGCAAATTTTCATGGCTTTTCTTCATCTGAAAAGGTTGATTTCTCCCTTCGTTGCTGAATAATATTTTCATTGTATTTAGAATTCTGGGTGGACAGAACTTTTCCTTCAGCATTCGATAAATGCTATTTCACACCTTCTGGGCTCCATGTTTCAGATGACACATCTGTTGATATTTGACTTGTTTTCCATATATGGAAAGTGTCATTTCTCTCTTACTGTTTTAAAAATTTTTCCCTTTGTTTTCAGTTTTTACAAGGTTTACTGTGATGTGTCTAGTTGTGGATTTTTTATGGTTCATTGCGTTCCTATTCCTTCAGCTTCCTCTTTCTGTATGTTTATACATTTTGTCAAATTTGGGAAGTTTCGGTCATTATTTCTTTTAACATTTTTTCAGCTTCGCCCCTTTTCTTTTTTCTGGAATCCCATAAAATTATTATTTTTGTTATACTCCCACAGATTCTAGCAGGCTGTGCTCATTTTTTTCCAATTTATTTTCGCTGTCTGTTGTTTATATTCGGTAATTTCTATGGTTCTAATTTCAAGTTAACTGATTGTTTTCTCTTTTCTCTCCATTTTGCTATTGAGTCCGTCCAGTGAGTTTTTATTTCTGTGATTATATTTCCAGTTTTAATATTTCCACTTTTTTTTTTTTTTTTACAATTTACCTTAATTTGCTGAGGCTTTCTATGTTTTCTTTGTTTCAAGTGTGTTCATAATTGTTCATTAAAGGATTTTGATGGTAGTTTTAAGATCTTTGTCAGATAATTCTAACATCTCTGTCATCTTAGTGTTGGCATCTATTGATGAACATTTTTCATTCAATTTGCAATTTTCCTGGTTCTTGGTACAATGAGTAATTTTCAGTTGAAACCTGGACATTTTCAGTATTATGCTGTGATATTCTGGATCTTATTTAAATCTCCTTTAGCTGAATTCTTCTGACCCTGCCCTGGCAGGACAAAGTGAAGGTGACGCAAAGCAGGTGAGCCCCAAAACTAGGGCTTAGCATAGGAAGATTCTTGGCTTTGTCCAGGAAAGAATTTAAGGGTGGGCCAGTGGTGTTATATAGCAACTTTTATTGAAGCAGCAGTATACAGTAGTACTAGAGGTACTGCTCCTCAGACAGCAGGGCTATCTATGTCATAGGCAGTGTACCCAGAGCAGTAGCTCAGAGACAGTCCTGTAGTCATATTGATGCCCACTTTTAATTGTATACAAATTAAGGGGCAGATTTTGCAGAAATTTCTAAAAACAGTGTGGTAACTTCTGGGTTGTTAGGTTGCTGCCATGGAAATGGGTGGTAACTTTGGCATGCTGCCATGGAAATGGTTAACTGACATGGCACGTTGGTGGGTGTGTCTTTTGGAAAGATGTTTCTGCCCCATCTCTGTTTCAGTTAGTCCTCAATTTGGTCTGATGTCTGAGCTCTGCTTCTGGAGTCAAGCCCCACCTCTGGAGTTGAGTCCTGCCTCCCACTTCTTTCCCTGCTCAGAGATTATATACTCTTCCTTAACCTTAAGTGGGCTCCAGAAAGGTGGAGGTCCATCTTTTCTAACTGCTTCCTCCTGAGTTTATGGGTGTAGGCCTGGCCTAGCACTAGAGGAATAAAATTCTCTGGATTCCTGATCTAAGGGGCCCACAGGCAGGACACTTCCATTCTCTAGGTCAGTAGGTGAGACGAGCTGGAAGCCTGGTGCCAGCATTGTCTTTACCCGGAACTGTTGTAATATAGAGGACACAAATTTTACTAAGATGTTAAACAAGCCAGGGCCAAAATTTAGTAACAACATGATAGCTATCAAAGGTCCTAGGAGAGGTAAAACAAGCTGAGACTTGGGAAAGCACTTTCGATAGTCAACCAGATATAGTTGGGGTCAGTAACCAGGTAACATACTCATACATCTTTTTTTGTTTGTTTGTTTGTTTTTGAGATGGAGTCTCGCTCTGTCGCCTAGGCTGAAGTGCAGTGGTGCATTCTCAGCTCACTGCAGCCTCCTCCTCATGGATTCAAGCAATTCTTTTGAATGCTAACCTGAACTTGTCCAGAGTTGTTAATGTAAGTGCAGCAGGTTTTATTAATAATTGCACAGAGTCCACCTTGCTTAGCTGGTAAATAATCCAATGCTAGTCTGCTATTGAGAACTACTTTTGCCAAAGAGCCCAGGGACTCTTGAATTCTCTTTAGTGCCTGACCTGTGTTAGTGTAGGGTTTCAGTTCTTTGGGGTTGACTCTTGGTAAGCAAACCTGCCCCAGGTTTCCACTAGTCCTATTGTCACTCCAATTTCTGCCCGAATAAGTACCATTGCTCATTTAGTTCTGGTGTTCTTGGGTCTTACAGGTTATAGAGTGTGACCCCTGGATGGCCCAGGGCAGCCAATGTGCAAACTCTGTTCCAAGTTTTTGTTTGTTTGTTTGTTTTTGAGACAAAATCTCACTCTGTCGCCCAGGCTGGAGTGCAACGGCATGATGTTGGCTCACTCTGCAACCTCCGTCTCCCAGGTTCAAGCAATTCTCCTGCCTCAGCCTCCCAAGTAGCTGGGATTTTAGGCATGTGCCACTACGCCCAGCTAATTTTTTGTATTTTTAATAGAGATGGGTTTTTGCCATGTTGACCAGGCTGTTTTTGAACTCTTGACCTCAAATGATCCACCCACCTTGGCCTCTCAAAGTGCTGGAATGTTCCAAGTTTTTGATATACAAGGGAAAGCTACTCCTAAAAGAACAAGCGGTTGCCTGAAAAGTCAGAAGTGGTTATGGAGTGTGATGTCTATCCTTTGCTGCCAAGTTGGATCTACAGAGATACTTTTATCCTGTTCTAATGGCAGTGGTTGAACAATCTTTGTTTTCCAAAGGGGGATAGTACTCCTGCCTCCCCAGACTGGGCAATTGTTTTGTCCCTGTATGTTCTGATCCAGCAGAAAGCACCATGCTTACAAGTAGAATCCCATTTACCTTGCTATGGCCTTGGCAACTTGGTAACTAAACTTGGATCAGAACATCACAGGAAAACTTCCACTTATGTGTCATTAACACAACAGGAGGTTGAAAAGATAGAATTACTAGTGCACTGGATACAATTAGTGCAAAAGACAGAATTATTAGTGCACCCAACTTTCCAGGTCCAGGTAATAGTTGTGGGGGGTTTCAGATGGAATCTGTTAAGTAAGGGAGGTTTCCACTTAAGAAGTAGGGTTTTGGGTGCTTGGGATCACTAGGGTTAGTTAGAAGGTCTGGGGAGATGGCCATGAGATTTTCTGGAAGACACAACTGTCTATCCTGAAGATGTTGATGACAAATCCAGCAACCATGAGGATGATTCCTTGATGCTATAATTTTTGAAATATTTACTATAGAGTTTTGTTCCCATCAACACTGGATCAGGGTAATTTGGAGAGCAAACAGGATTAACAGTGGCAGCATGGTGTCTGGTTGGGCCTTAGCCCAACAGGACAAAAAAAGATGTTTCCCAGGAGAAGGCAGCTGGCTAATATAATAGAAAAGAAATATAGTCAGGAAGAAGAGAAAAAAGAATGCTCCTGTTCCCATCCACAGCATCATGTTACCACTTCTGGCTGAGAGGTGATTATTTTCAGTAGGGAGCAGAGCTCTTTCGAAAGTTTATAGATCTAGTTCGTAATGTCCCCCAACCTTGTGCCTGTAACTCACAAGAAGCACATTTAATCGTTGATAGTTGTACTCAATTATTATTTCCTGAAGTTTAACAGCAGTGAGGATACTCAACCACACTTGAGAGGGGCCTGTCCATTTTGGTTTAGTTGATCCTTGGGGGATTCTTCTTTTTAAGTTTTTAGTAAATCTAAGTCTCCTGGTTGAACAGGGGAACTATTTTTTTTTCTTTGTGGGGAAAAGCAATATTTTATTTTTGTATTGGAGGGCCTTTTGAACCTGGCCTAAATTCCAAAGTGGAGGGAGAGTGTTTGTGTAGCTAATTACTACAAGCCAAGACCACAGCAGCTCAACACATCTGTTGAGACAGTCAGTTTTACAACCCCATTTCCTAGCTCTTAGTTTTTGGCTCTTACACAGCTCCAAAGGGGTTCAAGGGCCAAGGAATGCCCACCCACCTCCACTCTCATTTGGCCCAGAACATCCAACTGGCTGTAAGTCCCCTAACTCCAAGTCCCCCACCCATGGGAGGCCCACCGAGGGACACGGGGCAGGAAGCACACCACCCCAGCGTTGGCACAAGACAAAATAAAAGCTTGGCCACTGACACTGCCTCCAGCTCATCCTGACAAAAATGGAGAATACAAACCAAAAAATCAAAATCCATAGCCCCTTCCCCCACCCAACAGACTGAATAGATGCCCCCTCCTAACCAAAGGGAAGGGAGTTGGGCAGGCACTCACCAGCCCACAAAACCCTTCTAAGCAATATAAGAGTCAAAAAACAAAAGCCAAAAGAAGGTTACACTTAAAGAAAATCCGAGAGCATAGAATTAAGCTATACTGGGGAAGAATGCTGCTCCCACAGACCTCTAAGACAAAACACTTCAGCATCAGGTCATAACAACAGTCGGAACTGGAGGAGGAAACCCACAGAAGCTGACAATAAATGCAAAGGAGAGAGTTACATGAATCTGAGAAGCTTTCAAAAGAAATAGATTACAGAATTGAGGAACAAAATTTCTGGTATTTTATCAAATAAATACCTGGAGAAAATCTGGTTCCAAAATACAGACCATTTTTCAGAAAGCCTACCACAAACAATTTTTCTTTAATCATAGCAAGTTTAATCATATGCAAAATTTGTTTTGTACATACCCCTTTATCAACCTTATTACAATGTACACAGACCATCTACATTATGCGTGAACTTACTGACTTGACCTCTGGTACCTCTTTTTTAAATAACCAGCTATATCGCTCTAAGACAAGAATTTACTATACAAAATCCCACCTCATACAAAATCACTCCTTCTTTTTTTCTTTTCATAACACTTATTACATCTCTCATTTTTCTAGTTATTGGTTTTATTATATTTTGAACTTCCTTTTTAATAACTTCTGAATTTGATAAAAATTATTATTTTTCTCAATAAAGAATACATGTCTTTGGCACATTTTATATAAACCTAGGAAGCAAGAGATTTTGAACTGCCCACCAGGTATTAGCATCCTATAGATGAGAACCATTCCACCATTTGAAGACATTAAACCAAACAAAAAGCTCACTAAGCCTCTATTCCATTCACAGGCCTTTAACTTTTCACTTTTAACAATTTTATCTACACCACCTCCAAGAACCAAGATACCATGCAAAGCTAGTCACCATTTGAAGCCATTTTAACAATTTTAAAGCTTATGACTTCGGTAATTTATCTAGGTAAAAATTTTAAAGTTAAATTTTAGAAGACACAGCATTTTCTTCAAACTATTAAGCTTAAATTAGTCTTATTTAATTTAGGAATACTCTTGTATTTATAAGACAATTCTATAGCACGTTACACATAACACTCATCATAATCCCTATATACACACACCTAAACAAAAACTTTAAATAAAATGACCTATACAAGACAACAGGATTCAAGTTATTTACAAAATTGGGACCCATTCTCCTGGCCAAATTTTGTTTGCCTGACAGATATGGAAGACAAAAAGAGGCAGGGAAAGGAATCCCATAACATCAAATAAGAGAGAAGGAGCAAATTGCTTTGCTCAAGGGTCCCGAAGCCACTGGAGGGCTCACCCAGCAGTGGAGACACCAAAGAAAAATATTTGGGCAGGTGCTTCTCTGCCACTGCTGGAAGCTGTCTGTCTTTTCGATCAAGGGTCCAAGTGTCAAGGGTCCAAAACCCCCCCCAGTAAACTTACTTGAGCAAGGAAGCTCTTTGGGGCTAGTGGAAGAACGTTAGTTCTAGAATTGATGAGGAGTTTTTTTTTGTCTCTCACCTGGGACAGTTAAGATATTCTCATAATCACTGGCCCTTTTGCTTATTGTAGGCACGTTGATTCTAGCCCAGGAATCAGCAAGTCTGGGGCTCTTCTCTGCGCATCCCAGTTGCCGATCTCATGACACTTTCTCAGGGTGGGTAATTCTGAGGTGGCAGGGTTCTTAAAGGAACTGTTAACCATTATGCATTTTGGCTATCTCTCTTTTTTTTTTTCCACCTTTTTTTTCACCTGTCTCTATTATTGTAAACTTTAAAGGCTGTGTTTAAGAGTTGGCTCAAAGGGATTTGAGGTCCCATTGCTGCTGTTTGTAGCTTTCCCCTAATATCAGGGACAGATTGAGTAATAAAATGTATGCCCAGGAGAACTTGCCCTTTTGTGGAGTCTGGGGTCTGCTTTAGCATTTTTTTGAGTACCTCAACCAAATGATCCTGAAACAGAGCAGGATTTTCATTCTTTCCCTGAGTTATTTCTCTAACCTTGTCATAATTCACTGGCTCAACCACACACTTTTTCCTCCACATTTTTCCCATGGCACAGCAAGCAGATGACAACACTTGCAAGTCATGACAAGTTCCATTAAAGAACATGATAAACTTAACAAACGCCTCTATAAACTTTTCTAGATCTTCTGAAAACTGGCCAATTTTTTCTTTGTGTAAAGCAAATTAGGCCAGAAAATGGCACACATACATTAAGTATTCCTGCATTTTGACCAGCTACTTCCAGCAACAGACACAGGTTTGACTTTAGGGGCTGCTATGGGGCCCCACTCCTGGTGGTACCAGTTGTGCTTACTTTCTTGGGCAGTAGGGGTCGGGGCAGGGAGTATAAGCTGGGGCTAGGAGGATAAGTGGGGAGGGGTGTCTGATGATTTTGGGGTGGAATCCTTCATTAGAAAACTGACAAGAAACCCCTCAAAGTTTGGGGACTGAGGAGGTTTCAGGGAGGGTGTAGGTTTTCTAGTGGGAGCAGCTAGGAATGGATCCCTTATGCATGGCTTTCTGATGCCTGCATGTAACATGAGCCAGTAAAGGGCCATAAAAGCCTATAATAAGGAACATCTTCCCATTTTTCTTCTTTTTTACAGAATAAGTTCAATTGTAAAACATCATTATAATGTATAGAATCATGTTTAAACCAAATCTGTTAGTTTTCTAATTTGTATTGAACCCAAACAGTGTTGCAATACAAAATATGGTTTCTTTTTCTGTAAGCTGAATTGGAATGTGCTCCAGTAACCTAAAAGACATCCTACTGGAGAGTCTTCTAGGATGCTCATCATTGTCCCCATGACTAAAAGGATTTTAACTAGATACAGAAGTTTTTCTAAGTCTAGCGAGATGGAAAGCAACTGGGCCCTTGTTATTTTTCCCTTTTAGATTCCCACTTCCTGCAGGAAAGGTGTAAGTAGGCAGCAAAACATTACAAAAGCAGATTACAAGCTACAGTTGGGCAATAAAATGTTGAGCCTAAATTTCACACAGAGCAAGTATTGGGCAGAGAGAGGGACTAAATAAATGGTGACTGTGGAAGGAAGGAAGGGAAGGAGCTAAACAGCATTGCCCAAGAAGAGACCTCAGAGGCCTTGACTTGCTGGAGAACCTACCCAGCAATGGAGACACTGGAAAAAATATTCAAGTAGCCACTTGTCCAGCATTGTAGGTAGTCTTCTATCAGGCCAGGGGCCCAGGAACTCTCAGTCCCTTCATCCAAGAGGAGCTTGAGCAAGTCAGTTATAAGGCAGAACGCAGGAAGGGGCCGGCAACTGGGTATTAGAAAAATAATAACTTCCCACTTCAGGGCAGAAAAAGATGAGACCAATATTCCCCTAGGAGAGGGGGTATAACCCCCAATCCTAGAGGGAATGCCAATGCCAAAAACCCCAGAGCATCTGTGGGGAGGCCAATAATACCAGTGCTGAAAACACAGATTGCTCGAGTCTCAGCCAATGAGGGTCCCATCGCCAAATGCCAAAACCCCAGGGGACCTGGGGGTGGACAACAGTGAACCCAAGACCAAGCTGGGGTCACAGAACAACATGACTCTGGCATCCTGGAGTAATACAACAGGAGACCTCTCACAACCAAGTGTTCTGCCTTAAACAATTGCCCAAACACAGTCAACAGAAAGTCAAAAGCAAATATAAGACAGCAAACAACATACATTTTAGGACTGAAAATAAAACCACTGATGTAACAATAAAATGGAATCAGAAGAGGAAGGACTGGGTGAAGAGGTGACAAGGACATGCTTTGAGGCACTCAAATGACAGGGGACTTTTAACTTACCCCTTAGCCAAAGGCTTTTATTCCCAAGCTTACCCAATATCATGGGGGAGGAGGCAGAGGGGACACTCACCCATTCACAGGCATCAAAATGGCACTGACCATTCTTCCATGTGGGAGTCAGGTGAGGGACTATACAGGTTGGGTGGGCTCAGCTGCCAGGTTGATGAGCCATCAAAGGGACCATTAGCCCATTGGCCTGCCAGTTGGAGCTGCAGGTCCCAAACAAGCAGCAGCGCTATGGCCACTTGCCCATCGGCTCAGCTCTGCTGCTTGCCATAAAAATGATGGCTCTGAAAAGAGCCTTTGGTTAGTTGTACAGCACTGTTGCATTAGCAGATCTTTATTGGCATAGCCTCAGTATTACAGCTCTTGCAGCCTTAATTACAGACTGCTTTGCAATCTCTCACCATCTCTCTACTCATCCTCTCTCCAATTGCCATCTCCCACCACCTCTCACTAATCAACGCCTTTCCACTGATTGCCACTGTCTTGATCCCTCCATTGGTCAACAGATGATGCAGAGCAGATGAGCACCAAAATTGGGGCTTAGCCCAGGAGGGTACTTGGCTTCGCTCAGGAAGAAATTCAAGGGCAAGCTGATGGTATTAGACAGGAACTTTTACTGAAGTGACAGTGTCCAGCAGGAGCAGAGGCACTGCCATTGTGGAGCAGGGCTGCTCTGTAGGCGATGTACTCACAGGAGTGCTTGGAGGCAGTTCTGCAGTCATATTTATATCCATTTTTAATTATATGCAAATTAATGGGCAGATTATGCAGAAATTTCTAGAAAAAGGGTGGTAATTTCTGGGTTAGGTTGCTTCTGGTTGTTAGGTTGCTGCCATAGAAATGGGTGGTCACTTACAGGTGCTGCTATGAAAATGGTAAACTGACACAGCACACTGGCATTAGTGTCTTATGAAAAGGTGTTTCCACCCCTTTCCTGTTTTAGCTAGTTCTCAACTTGGTCCAGTGTTCAAGTCCAGCCTCCAGAGTGGAGTCCTGCCTCTGGAGTCACCTCCTTCTTACTACTTCAAAAGGGGTTGTGGGGCACTGCCTTGGTCCTTGCCAAGTGTGTGTAAGGCCAAGTTCCCCACTCTGCCTTAGTTGGCCCCCAAGGGGGCAGTTCCTGCTTTTTGCTGTGGGGGTGTGGAAGTCCAGACTTTCCGTGTGGTCTCCACTGACACTGATGGAGGATGGAATGTCATTACCTGCCAGTGGAGATGAAAGTCCAGCTTCCCTACTCAGCCATTTCTGACACCACCTCAGCGGGAAGCTTGAGGTGCCTTATTACAGTCTTCAGCTCCCCACTTAACTTTTGCTAGGCGGAAGGGACAAAGTCACCCAGGTTTTTCTGTGATACTTGCCCAGAGTAGAGAGGTTACTGTCCAAAAACGTTTTATCATTTTAGGCTGCTCCTATCTAGGTCCTTTGGCTAGAGAGAGTAGGCTTTTGGGGGATCTGTTTTTGTCTGCACTCATTGGCTCTCTGGGTTGCTACCTTTTTCAAGTCCAAGTGTTAGACAGATGAGGCCAAAAGAAAACCTGGGATATTTACCACTGTTTTGCTTATTGCATTCCCAGGTCCCTCACTGCTCTGCCTTCTTTTCTTTATGTTTCAGAGTCTTCTTATGTTGCTTTATATATAATGTTCAGGAATTGTAGTTATACTAAGTGGAAAGGACAGGAACAAGGTACCTCATACAAATCATATTAATAATCTGAATAAAGATGTTGTATTAGTCTGTTTTCACACTGCTGGTAAACACATACTCGAGACTGGGAAGAAAAATAGGTTTAATTGGACTTACAGTTCCACATGGCTGGGAAGGTCTCAGAATCACAGCGGGAGGTGAAAGGCACTTCTTACATGGCAGCAGCAAGAGAAAATGAGGAATATGCAAAAGTGGAAACCCCTGATAAAACCATCAGATCTCATTAGACTTATTTACTACCAAAAGAACAGTATGGGGAAACCACCCTCATGATTCAAATTATCTTCCGCTAGGTCTATCCCACAACATGTGGAAGTTATGGGAGTACAATTCAAGATGAGATTTGGATGGGGACACAGAACCAAGCCATATCATTCCAGCCCTGGCCTGCTCAAATCTCATGTCCTCACATTTTAAAACCAATCATGGCTTCTCAATAGTCCCCAAAAGTCTTAACTCATTTCAGCATTCACTCAAAAGTCCACAGTCCAAAGTCTTATCTGAGACAAGGTGAGTCCCTTCCACCTATGAGCTTGTAAAATCAAAAGCAAGTTAGTTACTTCCTAGATACAATGGGAGTAAAGGCATTGGGTAAATACAGCCATTCCAAATGTTGGGAAATCGGTCAAAACAAAGGGGCTACTGGCACCATGCAAGTCTGAAATCAAACAGAGGGGGTCAAATCTTAAAGCTTCAAATGATCTCCTTTGACACCTTTGCCTTGCATCTGGGTCACGCTGAGGCAAGGGTTTGGTTCCCATGGTCTTGAGCAGCTCCACCCCTGTGGCTTTGCAGGTTACAGCCTCCCTCTCGGCTGTTTTCACAGGCTGGTATTGAGTCTCTGCAGCTTTTCCAGGTGCACAGTGCAAGCTGTCAGTGGATCTACAGTTCTGGGTTTTGGCAAATGGTGGCCTTCTCCTCATAGCTCCACTAGGCGGTACCCCAGTAAGGACTCTGTGTGAGGGCTCCCACCCCACATTTCCCTTCCACACTGCCCTAGCAGAGATTCTTCATATGTGCCCACCCCCACCCCCACACCCCTTGCAGCAAGCTTCTGCTAGGGCATCCAGGCATTTCCATACATCTTCTGAAATCTAGATGGAGGTTCTCATACATCAATTCTTGACTTCTGTGCACTTGCAGGCTCAACACCACAAGGAAGCTGCCAAGGCTTGGGGCTTGCACCCTCTGAAGCCATGGCCCGAGCTCTACATTGGCCCCTTTTAGCCACAGCTGGAGCAGCTGAGACACAGGGCATCAAGTCCGTAGGCTGAACACAGCATGAGGACCTGGGCCTGGCCCACTAAACCATTTTCTTCTAGGCCAACAGTTCAATGATGGGAGGGGCTGTGGTGAAGACCTCTGACATATCCTGGAGACATTTTCCCTATTGTCTTGGGGATTAACATTCAGCTCCTCATTACTTATGTAAATTTCTGCAGCTGGCTTGAGTTTCCCCTCAGAGAATGGGTTTTTCTTTTTTATCACATTGTCAGGCTGCAAATTTTCCAAACTTTATGTTCTGTTTCCTTTTTAAAACTGAATGCTTTTAACAGCACCCAAGTCACCTCTTGAATGCTTTGTTGCTTAGAAATTTCTTCCGCCAGATACCCTACATCATCTCTCTCAAGTTCAAAGTTCTACAAATCTCTAGGGCAGGGCAAAATGCTGCCAGTCTCTTTGCTAAAACATAACAAGAGTCATCTTTGCTCCAGTTCCCAACAAGTTCCTCATCTCCCTCTGAGACCACCTCAGCCTGGACCTTATTGTCCATATCGCTATCAGGCTTTTGGTCAAAGCAATTCAACAAGTGTCTAGGAGGTGCCAAACTTTCCCACATTTTTCTGTCTTCTCTAAGCCCTCCAAACTGTTCCAACCTCTGCCTGTTACCCAGTTCCAAAGTCGCTTCCACATTTTCAGGTATCTTTTCAGTAATGCCCCACTCTTCTGGTACCAACTTACTATATTAGTCCATTTTCATGCTGCTGATAAAGACACACCCAAGAGTGGGAAGAAAAAGAGGTTTAATTGGACTTACAGCTCCACATGTCTGGGTATGCCTCAGAATGGTGGCAGGAGGTGAAAAGCACTTCTTACATGGCAGCAGCAAAAGAAAATGAGGAAGATGCAAAAGCGAAAACCCCTGAAAAAGCCATCAAATCTCATGAGACTTATTCACTACCACAAGAATAGTATGGGGGAAATCACCACCATGATTCAAATTATCTCCCACTAAGTCCTCCCACAACACGTGGGAATTGTGAGAATACAATTCAAGATGAGATTTGGGTGGGGACACAGAGCCAAACCATATTCAGATGTACAGCCATTATATAATGACATTAAACATTGCCGTTTTAAATGTTTTGTAAATACTACATGCAATTTGAACCATCTCACAAAATGAAGATTTTTGGGGTAGTTTAGTCCAAGAAGCAAAGTTCCAGGGATTTCAAGGCTCAAGAATCTGCATTTCAAAAGGCTAAATCTGTGTGACAGGAGTGACAGGCCCAGCCCAGCGTGGGCCACATTGCTCTTATCGGCTGTCCCTCAGGGTCTATCAGTGAAACTTTCTCACTTGATCACATTAAAAGAGAATAATCAGCCATATCTTGAACTAGTCTGTAAAGAAGTTGCATGCGCTTCAAAGCAGGAAAAGAAGTATGTGTGCTAGAATTAAGTGTCTCAAATTTGAAATACGAGGGTATAATGTGATACTTTTTCTTTAATTATTTTTGTTTTGCCACTCTTATGTAACAACGTTTTCATATTTTATATTCCAAGATGCATCTCACATAGGAACTCACTGAAATACATTATCCCCATTTGCCATCCTAATGAACAAACGTACATATAGCCAAAGGATACAGGCAGCAATCTTTTCTCTTGTCTCCTCTGCAGCAAGGTTACCTGCCTCCGGCTTGAATATATAAACTGCTTTAAAACACACACGTACACACACACAAATACATACACACTTTACAAAAGCGCTAGCTGAAGTAATTTTTACTTTTTAATTATTTCAAAAGTTCAAAAAGAAATAATAAATTATTTTTAGGGACTAATTACTAGGGAAAAAAGATTTTTAAAAAATCAGAAATACGTAAAATTATAAGTGCCACAATTAAACTTTTTCAATTAGGACAATTAGTACACTGAAAGGGTAATTGATTATTCTAGTAAGAAAGGAAAGATAGGAAGGATCATTGGCTGTGCACCTCCCATGAGCCCAGAAGATTGAGGAACTCTATTTCACATTCACTCCCTCATTTAATTTTCACAAGACCCATGCGGTAAGCATTATCCCAGATTTACAGATGGAGAACACTGAGGTTTGAGTTCATGTAAATAAGTTGGCTGAACTGTATTCAAACCCTGTTTTGTCTGATAGCATTGCTTATACTCTCTCTGCTCCATCTCCAGAAAACATTACATTACTGCAAACTCAAATTCAAATTATGAAGTGGGGTATATGGGGATGTTCTTTGTTCTTTCCTGATGGCCTCTCTTACTGCTACAATCATCATCTACCACTCAAACAAGAAGTACAATTTCAAGCTTAATGCTGGGGGAAAGAAAAAAACACTGAGATTAAAAATTATATCCCAGTTCAATGAAATATTTAATCATAGAAGGTTAAAAGAAACAGGATATTTGTGTTGGTGAAAATGTATTAGAAAACAAGGATAAATATTTGATTAGCTTCTCTAGCCCGTCTTTCCTCACGATGTGTCTTCCCATTTTCTATAGTTATAAGAGTTGCCTATCACAAAATGAACAGACTGGTTCTGAAGAAAACGTATCCAAATGAGGGGAAAACATCCCCCACAAAACCCCAACTCTTTTCTCCTAGGGGATGCAAAATAATAAGGTAGTCTTTCCCTACAGTTTTCAAATTTTTTATTGGTAGGCGATAATTGTTCTCCATGTGAGAAATGCAGATAGTAAGCCAGAGAGAATAAAGAGTTTTCCTGGAGTTGTATACTATGTCATTGATGGGTAAAATACTTCTATTTCTGAATTCCAGCTTCTTTCTCACTGGAAAACTCTTCTGTGGAACACATTAGGTTGAAAGATATTGACTAGATTTGGCCTGATGTATCAAAAAAAGTTTTTCAATACGGTTCTCAAATAGTCAGGTTGGAGAAAGCATTACTAAAGTTAAAAAATATATAATAATCACTATTATAACATTTATTATGTATCAGCCAGTGTAAGGCCCTGTATGTTTCTATATGTCATGTATTCACATGCAAAATAAAAAGATATTTAATGAGTAATTTGACAATATTGAAAACAATACATTAAAAAGCCTATTTTATTTAATCATAAAAATTCCTAAATTAACTTAGATTGAATTATAAACACAGATTTTCCTAGTATTCATCAAATTAAAAAAATTACTCTAGTTTTGGATATTTCTATGCTGCTGTAGTGAGTAGGCACAGTATCTCAAGGAAATAGCAAATTGATGTTAACAGCTAGCTTACCTTACAAAGTGAAAATTATTGAACATCTTCCAATTTCTCCTGCCAACTCATCTTGTATGTGTATGTATGTGTAGGTATGCACTCATACATACACAGGTAGATAAGACATGATGGCTCAAGGATCTAGTAAGAAACACAATGGCAATCCAACTAGAGCCATATATAACCATTACATACATATATTAAACAAATAGTTATTCTGTATCATATCACAAAGCACTTATCATTTCATTTTTCTTTTTTTGTGTGTCTCAATATCCCTATCAAAGTGACTCTTCTAACTTAGGATGAAAGCAAGGCCAGCACTACCACTTTTCTGTCCCCTTTTAGGTCACCAAACACTGCTTCAATTTAGTAATTATAAAAACAAGTTTCATTTAATAGTCAAAAGTACTAAAATTCATTTAATGTTATAATTTTTTATCCCCATTGTGGGCCCAGGATAATCAGGAAGCCTGCAGCTGGAGAAAGGGCACAGTTATGGGCTCCTTGTCTTTTCCCACATGGTGGTTGACTCATTCTTTTCCAAATACTCAACAGTGGTTTCTGCTCATTCAGGGAGAGTGCTGAGATGAGTGGGTGGATGTTAGGGTACCTAGAAGTCTGTGAGATTGGAGAAGAATGGACGGGCAGGTGATTTCTCACTTGAGCAATAGTTTCACAATCTAGCCTCACTGCTCTCAGAAATTAGTAACACATTTGAGTGTACTCTTTTTCTTCTGAGTGTTTAGTGGGTTCCTTGTGTTTCACCCCATTTCTGCCCATCTGTCACACGTGGTCTCTGGGAGCTAAAGTAAATTTCCTGCCCTTGTGTAAAAAATTCTGAGATAAAGTAAACATTCTTTAGCTACTTGCTCTCAATAAGATAAAATAATTAAAACAGTTTACTTATGAAGGCTAACAGCTCACACAGCAGGACTACACCAATATACAGTTTGCCTATCAAAATTTGTTTTATGATCCTCTTCTTCCTCTGTTTTCCAATCCATAGCTATTACACATGTTCAATCCTAGGTATATCCTGCCTTAAAATCATTCAGCCAGGCTCTTAGCTCCATCTGCACCCTGCCCCAAATTTCTCTTTTTAAGATAATATTAAGACTGTCAATAAGGTGTCCTCTCTTGCTACAATAAGTTTAATAAACTCAGCTTTGCTTTTTCAGCGAGGTTTTCTAAAGATCCCTGGAGTGGAGACACCGAATTCCAACATCCCCTTGGCCCAGCTAATGCCCCTCATAACCTGGAGTACTTTCAGCTTCTCTTGACTGAAGTCTTTCAGTCATTCCAAGCAACCAGGTTGCACAGAACCTAAAACAATAACATAAACTTTTTTCAGTTGTGCATGACGTTTATTGCATAAGAAACTTTTTTGTTGGTGGTGGTGTGTGTGGGGAGGCTGAAAAAAGCAACAGTGTGCAGAGCAATCTTTAACATCTGAATGCTCTAGGTAGAAGTGCCTATTTTCCCCAAAACAATAAAAGAGAAGTGTGAAGCTCTCTAGTCTCTTCAAAGTCCACTTCATAAGGCTTGGGGTTAGGGACTAACAGAGCAATACACATTCTCCCACTTAGGATTTCACAACCCAGATGTTTTCAAAGAAATAGTCCTCAAAAATCCTTCTTTAATTTGTAACACATAAACTCTTATATCCTCAATATAAGTGAGAACTTCAAGAGGCCTCTAAATAGCTCTGACTATCTATGTTGTGTATATTTTACAGGGCAGTCTGTTTCACAACTCACGGACTATAGATAACAAAGTTATTTATAATCTTAGAGACTTGGCCAAAGCATTCATTTTAATGTAGATGCTAAGCTCATTTTCCTTGAAGATATGTAGCCCCTTCATCAATAATAAAATAGTTTAGTTTTGTATCTGGAAGACCCAGGTAAAGACCAAATTTTCTACTCTCCTTTGCAGCTAGTTGTGACTATGTGTCTAAGTTCTAACCAATGAAATTTGAGTGGAAACAATGTATACGTCTTCCTTATTACCTATGGAGAGTGAATTTCTTATCCTTCAATTCTTTTTTTTCCTTCACAAGAGCTAGAACATGGACATGTCCTGACCCAGTTATAACCACACTGATGAGGAAAGCGTCCTACAGAATGGAGAAATAAGAGTATGAAAAAAAATATTGGGTCTACAAAGAACCAGATCAAGTAGAACTTCCAAATTCCAGATTGCTAACCATTGAAAGAAAAAAATCTTTTTTTTCTGTGCAAACTAACCAATAAACTTCTAATTACACATAAAATAACAGAGTTAAATCTTAATGACAGTGATGTCAGAAGGTGGAGAATTAATGTATAGGGAGCACTTACAAATGATTGACAATAAACTAAGCAGTTAATAAAAGTTTATTTAAAACAAATCATATACAGTTTGTGGAAGAGAAAAGCTTGATTCTGATTCAAGGACTACAGCAACTCCTCTGAAGTTATTTATAATTTAGAAATAAGGGTTATAAAAATCCTTATTTTTGTCATTTATTATATGATAAAATTTTACAGGATAGTGAAGTGGCTCCACTCCAAAAATCTGGAACTTAATTCTCCAAATTACGGGAGAGTTCAGGGTAGTGAATTATCAGCATCATTCTTATCCCTTTCACATTGACTTTCTAGGCTACAGGCTTTTTCTGATTTTGTTTCTTCTTTTTCCCTCATTTATTTCACCCAGCATTTATTTAAAAAGATTAGGAACAGAAGGTTTACAGTGTGACTTGTCCTATTTCTTTTTTGTTTTGTTTTGTTTTTTGAGACGGAGTCTTGCTTCTTCACCAGACTGGAGTGAGTGGCGCGATCTTGGCTCACTGCAACCTCTGCCTCCTGGGTTCAAGCGATTCTCCTTCCTCTGCCTCGCAAGTAGCTGGGACTACAGGCACCCGCCACCATGCTTGGCTAATTTTTTGTATTTTTAGTAGAGACGGGGTTTCACCGTGTTAGCCAGGATGGTCTCAATCTCCTGACCTCATGATCCGCCTGCCTCAGCCTCCCAAAGTGCTGGGATTACAGGCATGAGCCACTGCGCCTGGCTGACTTGTCCTATTTCTAATTCACCTTTATGGTATTGTCACAAACATAGGTTGTGGAAATAATATCCAAGTGACCACATGCTAGCAAAAGTAAAAGAAAAAAGAATCTAAAACTTTGGTATTGCTTTTCAAGTCTATGAAACTTAAGTGCTCAACTTGAACCGAAACTCAGATTCAAATTGTATGAGAAGAAAATTTTTTTTTCCTCTTTTCTCTCAGGTTCTTTGCCTGAGGTCCTAAACACTAGGCTGAAGAAATACAGAGTGATAGGAGAGAAGGCATACAAATTTTATTTGATATAATTGACATGACACAGGAGACTTCTTAGAAAAGTGATGACCCAAAGAAGCAGAGAGGGCTTAAAGCTTATATACCATTTTAACAAATAACAATAAATTGTGGAGATGTGACAAAACAAAGGAAAAAGGTGTGTGGCTTCCAAGTGCAGCAAACTATGGGAAGGTAAATATAGGGGGAAACTAATGGAAAATAAGGGCTATCTTAACAAGATTTTGTGTGTCTGCAGGTTCGTCTTGGCACTGATTTTCTGCTTTCTTTTAGCAATAAAACTTCCCTTGGAGAGGGGATTTATGGCACTCCTTATTTCTCAGAAGTCTGCTTTTACCCAGCTAAGGGAAGGTCTGGGAAGGTTTCTTTGTGAATCTGTAGAATCTCAAATGTCTTCAGCTCAAAATAATTATTCTGCCCCCCCCCCCCAAAAAAGCATATATTAAAACAGTATATTCTGATTCCCTTTAGGACATATCTCAGAATATCTTCAGATAAACCAGAGAGACAGGTGTACCAGGTATCAATTTGCTCCAGAATTTTTGGCTGAAAGAAAATTTGAAAGTGGGGTTGTTTGAGGAGTCCCTGGTAAGGAATGAAAGTGAGCAGTGAAGAAGGGACAAGTGGGCGGTACAATATCTGTTAAAGACCCTGATTGATCTGGCTCAAATCAAAATCTGGAATATGACCTTATGGAATAAAAAGTACAGACAAAAGTTGGAGGAGCTGTTTTCCTGGAGAAGTTGTAGAACATTGAAACACATACAATGCTGCTTGAATGACCAGACAACAAGACACAGAGTGAAGAAAACAAACCCCTATCACATTGTGGACTCTCAGGAGTACAACGCAGCTTTGCCATCCCAAAGGTTTTATATAAGTCAGAGTTTATCAAAGACACAGAATCAATAGGATACATAATATACAGAGAAAGAGAGAGATTTATAAAAGTTGAATCGCATGGTTACACAGGCTGAGAAGTCCTATGGTCTACTGTTTGCAAACTGGAGAAACAGGAAATCTGGTTAATATAATTCAGTCAAAGTTGGAAGGCCTGAGAATCAGGTGGCTGATGGTGTAATTCCTGATCTGAGTCCAAAAGCCTGAAAAACAGAAGGACTGATGTCCAAGGACAGGAGTGGATAAATGTCTCAGCTCAAGCAGAGATAAAAAATTTGCCCTTTCTCTGACTTTTTGTTCAGTTCAGGCCCTTACTGGATTGGATACCTGTTTACACTGGTGAATGAGGGTCCTTTACCAGTGATCCAGGCATCTCTTAACCCAGTCAAGTTGACACATATAACTAACCATTACAGACTTCTAGCCTGAAGACTTGAAACTGTACAAATAGCTTCTGGAGATCTAATGTAGAGCATGATGACTATAGGTAACAATACCATACTTTGCAAGAGGACAGGTCCCCAAATGATCTTCGGTGACCAGATCTTCCCCTTTGTGCTTGCAATTCTTGGGTAGAACGTACTAAGACTGCAATATCCTGAGATAAGGAGGAACTGTCCATGACAGCCTAGGCTTTGTCCTTGTCCCTTCTAGAATAGGATGTCCTGTAATGCTTGAGCTCAGTAATCTTAGTGACCCTTGCACACCCACGTGAGTATAAAAGACAGAGTAGAGTGCTTTTGGGGTTGCTCAGCTATGGTGTAAAATGGGTCATGTGCTGGTGATACTTCATCCATTCTGTGCAGCTTTTCTGAGCTTTGGGGGACTTGGTCACCATGGATCCCAGCCTTCTGTTGATTCTTTCTGCCTATTTATGAATAATGAAGTTGCTTGTTCTCACTTGTGTGAGTGTTCTGTCTCACTGATCTCATAAATCCCATAGTTAAGTTTGTGCAAAACCTTCTGCCAGATCTAGGAAGCTTAGTAGAAATTAGCAGTGTTTTTAAAGTTCTCCCCTGGGATTGGTAACCAGTGCATGGTATACTCCTCTCAGGGACTGATAATGGTGAACAATATCCTACATAATATACTGAAAACTTGAAATTGCTAACAGGGTAAATCTTGTGTTCTCATTTCCAAAAAAAGTAATTATGTGAGGTGATAGATATGTTAATTATCTTGATTTTGGTGATTATTTCATAATATATACCTCTATCAAATCAACAATTTGTATACCTTAAATATATACAATGAAAACAACGTCAGTATTTCTTAAAGACAAGAGCTTCTCAAGAAATGAACACAACACCATTATCATACAGATAAACAGAAATCAGTCCTTAGTTTTTAATCAATTTATTTTTAAATGAAATATCTATTTATTATTCAAATTCTCTCAACTGTATCAAGATTGTCTCTTGTTTTACATTCCACTTGATACAGAATTTTAATAAATGTCACACTTTGCAAAAAGAAAAGAACTAAATATCAAGCATTTTTAAAGAATTCCAATGCCCACTTCATTTTATTCTTTAGGTTGGTCCACATGGATATTGTATCTAATTCAGAATATAGAAGTAGGGAGGTTGGTTTACACTAAGTAAATGAGAAATTTTTGGAAAGTGGTTGGCACATTCATTATGACAAAGGAATTCAAATATTATTAAAATATTAGTAACCCTATTAGAACTACGTATGGGGACACTGGAAATACCAGTCAGTGCCACAGCAGCAAGTTGCAGTTGGGTTATAAGCAATATAATCTCTGAAGTAGCAAATTGAGCTCTGGCAAAAGCTGCAATTATTATTTGCATAGTTTTCTAATATATACTCAGGTGCCAATGTGTCTTAGGTAGTATTTGGCTTTCCTCTTTGGTTTTGGTATAGAAGAGATTTTGATAAATGCTGCAGAGCATATCTTAGCAAATGAGTCAGAAATGAAACAATGAATTTGAGTGGAGCAGGGACCACAGTAGAAAAATATGTTTCTAAGACAATGAATGACAGTTTGATACTAGAAAGTTAATAAACAGGCCTTAGATCATAACTAAGAAGGTCTCAAATCCTTCTTTGTGTCAGTGACAGCACCAACTTCTGTTCAGGTTGCTTCCCGCTTCCTTTTATATTCTTCATCTGGCATAAATGTAAAAATGTGTCCTCTCTCACTTTTTGTTTTTAGGGATACATTGCTAAAATTACATTCTTAGCTGCATTTTCTGTAACTTTTCATTTCAGCAAATTCACAGCATTGATATTAACAAATATAAGATTTGAAATCTGCCTTTTGAACCTATGACCTGAAATTATATTTTTAGGTAGCTAGATTGCATCAGTATAAATAACATTAAAATTTTACGAACTACCAGACCTTTTTTTATCATTTGTTATCTCACAATTACTCATTTTTAAAATTAGGTCTAGAAAATTATATTTAGCTGGCACTGTTGAATCCCTTTTCCTTTTTACCAAAGAATCTCGTGTGCAAACAAAGAAATTTTATTTCCAAATTATCTAAGTGGTATACTTCATGTTCATCTATGCACTGTTCTGTAGCTTTGAAGCACCATACTTCTAAATAACAAAAATAGAATATGGTTTCTAATAATCCATGTGGCAAAAAATCTAAGGGGTTGAACAAATACAATGACTGTGCTAAGCAAAGTATTTGAAACACTTCCGCTTAGTCAGAAAATGTCTATCCATTTGAGTATCACCTTTCTGTTATACACATATATTAGGACTTTTTTCCCTGGGATTTCAGAATAAGTAATGAGAAGGCATCAGGTGATCAGTGATGGAAAAAGTCATCATGGTGGGTGATATGGTTTGGATCTGTGTTCCCAGCCAAGTCTCATGTTCAATTTTAATCCCCAGTTTTGGAGGTGGGGCCTGTTGGGACGTGACCAGATCATGCGGGCCGTTTCTCATGGTTTAGCGCCATCCCCCTTGGTGCTGTTGTTGCAATAGTGAACTCTCATGAGATCTAGTTGTTTAAAAGTGCGTTGCACCTCCCCTCATCCTTTTTCCTCCTGCTCTGGCCATGTGAGGTGCTCCCTCCTCCTTTGCCTTCTGCCATGATTCTAACTTTCCTGAGGCCTCTCCAGAAGTCGAGCAGATGCCAGCATCTTGCTGCCTGTACAGCCTGTGGAACCATGAGCCAGCTAAACCTCTTTTCTTTATAAATTACCAATGGACTAATACACTGTGCATCCCAGAGCCATCACGACAAGACATATCTAACAATACCCCTACTGTTTCAGAAAGCATGTGTTGGCCATATGTACAACAGCTTACTTCAGGGACATCTAAAAGGCAGCACAGAGCTCCTGATGACTTCTAAATAACAGAAAGACCATGAATTATGCTGTGGTTATCTTTTACTGCACAAAAAATTACCCTAAAATGTAGTCGCTTAAAATGACAATAATATTATATTATTTCACATAGGTCTTTTGGGTCAGGAATTCAGCAGCGGGGGTTCGAGCTCAATGTCTCTCATGATATTGCAGACTTGTTAGGGCTGCAGTCATCTGAAGTCTGAGTGAAACTACAGAATTTACTTCCTAGACGGCTCACTCACATGGCCAGGGAGTTGATGCTGGCTGTTGTCTGTGGGCTTCAGTTTCTATCCCCTTGGGCTCTTTTACATGGCTACTTGAGTGTCTTTATGGTATGGTTATTGCCTTCCCCCCAATACACGTGATCTAGGAGACCAAGGAAGAAGTTATGAGGCCTTTTATGATCTTGCCTTAGAAGTCATACAATGTCACATTCACTGTGGTCACACCAACTATCTCTGATTCATTATGGGAGGGAAATAAAGGTGTGAATATCAGCAGGAGAGAATCATTGGAGGCTACAAAGAAGGCTGGCTAAGATTATCTAAAGATTTTTATACCTCATAATTTTTTAATTTAAATTTTAAGTTTTTAACTGTGAAAATGTAGAGTTGTTTAAAATGATAAAAATTTGTGCCACATGTACTCTTTTCCATAAATTAGAAGGAATATATCTTCTAATGTCTGCCCTACTCATCCCTTTACTGGCAAAAAAGAAAGAGACAGCTACAAATTAAAAACGTATAGATCACACAGCACATAGTGTTCTGCAACACGCACTTAAATTATATTTAGGGAGATAATTTAACAGCATTACAGAAAGTTTGATAAATCCTAAAATAGTCACCACTCATAATGCTATGTAACACAGTGCTGCGTTTTTCTGTGCTTGCAATAGTTATTTATATACATAAATATATTATTTACATGATGATAGTAATAATGTACATATAATTTTACATCCTAACTTTTTGCTTAAAATTCACATAATATTTCCATGTTCCACAATTATTATATTAGCTGCATAAAACTCAGATGACAATGGCAAAATTTGGTGTAGCCATATTAAGGGAATACTTGGATTGATTTAAATTATTATTCATAGGAATTCATTTGACCACCAACTATCTCACTAGTGTCTCCTCTAACAACATAGAATATCTATCTAATGTACAACAGTTTTATATATATACTTTGATTGTGGGCCAGGTGTGGTGGCTCAAGCCTGTAATCCCAGCACTTTAGGAGGCCGAGACGGGCGGATCATGAGGTCAGGAGCTCAAGACCAGCCTGGCCAAACCCTTTCTCTGCTAAAAATACAAAACTTTGCCAGGCCTGGTGGCCAGCACCTGTAATCCCCACTACTCAGGAGGTTGAGGCAGGAGAATCACTTGAAACCAGAAGGTGGAGGTTGCAGTGTGCGAGATTGCGCCACTGCACTCCAGCCTGGGCAAAAGAGCGAAACTCCAACTCAAAAAAAAAAAAAAAATGCTTTTATTGCATTTAAATAGTAATCTTAGTAATCTAACAGATAATACTCTGATCATGTTGTAATATAATTTTCTAAAATTGTTACTCCTCAATAAGCTTTCTTATTTCCAGTTGTTGAAAACTTCATAAAATATGGCAATATTTGCTTAATCGTATTCATACATATTTTTATGCAAATGATAGTTTTAGGTCTCAGATATTTTCTTAACTTGCTGAGTGATAATCATAAGGGATTCTCAATTTAATTGGGAAGACAAACAGCACATGCTATACACAAGTGACAGAGACAAGAGACTTGATGTCAGCAGGGAAGAAGTAGTGTAATAAGGAAGAAAACTCCCAACTTGATCTAATTTAGAGCCCAGAAGAGCTTTAGGAATGTCTCAGAATTAATTTTTCTATTTATCCAGAGTGAAAGGAGACAAATAAGGTTAAGAAAAATAAAATGTAAATGAACAGATTTTTCTTTTGTCCTAAGCAATATTCTAACCAGTTTCCTAATAACCGAAGGCTTATAAAGGCAAATTTAGCATTAAAATATTTTATATTTCTTTCACATGTAAAGAAGAAAAGATGATCTGAAGCTGCATATTTAACTTTCAATTATAAGATAATGTTTAAATTAAAATACAAATGGCTAATCATCAAAACATGTCAAACTTGAAAATTAGATATTGAAATTAACATGATGTATTATCATTACTGGTTTATATGCCTTTCTTCTCCTAATAACCTGGGAATTCCATCAAAGGAAGATTAATCTTGTATTCCTGTCACCAAAAACACTGTCTGACACATAAATACTTAAGAAATGCTTGCTAAATTGCTTTTTTAAATTGTCTCCTAATTTGAATGAAAGTAGGAATTCTCAGCTGACTGAATATAAAATTTGACTTTTTCTCCTAAACTACTACTTTATTCTTTTAATTTTAACATCTTGAATGTTCTGACTTTGGTTGCTGACAAGTTTAGTCATCTCCTGTAATTGATTATGTTACAGGATGTTTCTGTTACTACTTTCCATAATTAATTCAAAAGTATATCAAGCTTAACATTCAAGAAAACATATATATGTGTGTGTGTGTGTGTGTGTGTGTGTATGTGTATATATATCCGTAAACATATATACGTTTGCTTAACATTCACATAATATATATGCATAAGCATATATATACACATATATATGCACACACACACACATATGTTTTCTTGAACATTAGGCTTGATATAATTTCAAGTTAATTATGGAAAGCAATACCAGAAACATCCTGTAACATATTCAATGTGTGTGTGTATATATATATATATAAACATATATATACACACGTATGTATGTGTATATATACACATACTTGTATATGTATAAAGTATACATACATACACACCTATAGATATGTGGATGAATGCGTTAGGAGCTTTCATAAAGTGAAATGAAAACCACCCTCTCTCACATCTTTAATCTCACTCTGAAGTCAATCTGTTTTAAATGTTTATGGTTTTAGTTATTTAGGTGGCTACCTCCACTTCTCTCAATAATATACTTTTATTGCTTTTATCAGATGTGTTAACTTTATACTACATTTATTAATTTCTAATCATGAAGTATTAGAAAGGGATTTATTATATATGCATTTCTCCTCGCACTGTTTCAGAGTTACATACTATTTTTAGTTCTTTTACTAATGACCTTTGGAACTTTAACTGATAGGCCTATATTCTATTTCTCGTTTCTTTAACTTCAGTTAGTATCTTGACTCCCTGTTGGGAGAAAAAGTCTTCCATAGGTTTCTCATGCTACACATCCTATTCTGTTTACCCAGCAGGCAAAGTCCTGACCGCTGTTTACTAGGATTGTACTTACAGGGAGCGAACTTGACAGTGAGGTGATGTCTCCTTTTGGGGCAAAGAGCAGCCTTGCTTAATACCTGCTATGAAAGATGTGGAATCACCAAGCTCAGTATTCCTCACTGATGATGCAATCTCACTGTGTATGCATCATCATGCCAGATCCATTGTGATGGTTGATTTTTGGTGTCAACTTGACTGGATTAAGAAATCATCAGATAACTGGTATTGTTTATTCTCATTGCATCAGTAGGCACCAAGCCCATCCCTCTTCTACTGACAGGGAAACCTAGGTGGTTTTACTTTAAATTTGAATAATTAGGCTTTCCCAGGTGTTTCTGTGAGGGTGTTTCCAGAAGAGATCGGCGTATGAATCACGGACTGAGTGGGGAAGATCCACCATCTATGTGGGCAGGCCCCATCCAATAGACTGGAGGTCTAGATGGAACAAAAAGGTGCAGGAAGGATGAATTCTCACCATGTCTTTTCTGGAGCCAGATCACCTTTTTCTTGATCCAGAACAGCCTTTTTCTCTTTCCCTTGAATTCAGAATTCTAGACTCTGTGGGTTTTGACTCCAGAACTCACACAACCCATTCCTGGGACTTTCAGGACTTTGGCCTCAGGCTGAGGAATACATTCCATGGTCTTCCTTGGTTCTGAGGCTTTCAGACTTGAACTGAGCCATGCAATGGCTTTCCTGATTTTCCAGCTTGCAGATGGCCTATTATGGGACTTAACAGTCTCCATAATCAATTAAGCCAACACCCCTAATAAAATCCTTTTTCATACATCTCTCTCTCTTGTGGAAGAGAGATGTATGAAAAGGGATCATCATCCATCTGTCCTTCTGTAGAACCCTGACTAATACATTCATCCACATGTCACTTTGAGGGAAAGGAAAACTGTCCCAAACATAATACTCACACTGTTTGCTGTGCTGTGAGTAATAAATCTTTTGTCTCTGATCCAGGAGTCTTGGGTCTTCTGCCAGCATCTGTGAAACAGTAACAAGCTAACTTCACTTGTAAGTAGGGTAAAATCTAATCATAAACCCAACATTTCCATCTCCTTAAAATAATGTGAGATGAAACTAATCTCTCTGTCCTTTCTTAAGCCGCTTTCAAATCAAATCTAGCCTCAGGCAATTATGTTCTAACTTTTACATTATCAAGGGTTTTAACATTTACTTCCCATTCTAAAATTTTAATTAAATTTTTTGTCCTTAGTCCTAAATTGACTATGTAAAGTCCAATAAACAGTTTACATTATTAATAACAATTATACATTTAGTGTTCTAGAATTTTATGTCTTTCTCCATGGGTCCAAGATCCCACTCCCTGAACCACCCTAAAGAGACTATTAATTGAATCAAGAGCCCCTTCAGGATGAAGAATTGATACTCCTCTGAAGGAAATCTATTACTTCCCTGATTTTTTTTTTTTTTTTTTTGCATTTTTCTGTGTTCTCTCTTCCTGTACTCCTTTGAGTTAGATGTTGTAGTGACCACTCACCTCTTAATCTATTTTTGACTTCTTGGTTTTTGCCCTACAGTCTTAAAAATTTGCTTATATTCTATATTTTCAATTGAACTTTAAATTTATTTAGCATTATTTTTAATTTATAACAACTCTTTCTTGTTCTAATTGAAGCTTTTATAAAATGTCTTCTCTTTCTAAAATTCTTTTTCTCTTAAGGTAGGTTTCATTTTATTTTAAAGTTTTTCTCTTTCATATTGATTTTTCTTGATACATCTGTGGTTTGGGATGTACTGTGGGATGCCACCAGTCCATTTCAGGACTGAAGGATTTATTCCCCCAGCTGCTGTGATGGTTGTCACCTGAACACTCACTCAGTTGTCTCACTGGTTAGACTGCTTCAGCGAGGGGGTTCCACCTGGCCAAAGGTTATGTGTTTTTCCCAGGGCAGCTCACATCCTATGTTTGGTCAACAATGGAACATAAAGCCTCCAGAGTCCTTGCCCTGAAAGTTTCAAAGTGTCATCCCGGCCTCAGAGTTCCCTGCAGGGTCAGCAGTGTCCTTATATCACAGCCTAACTTCACCCTGTACCAAACTTTGCTTTCCTTTTCTTACCCTACAGGTGTTGATCTCAAGAGCACTCCCTCATAAGCTTCCTGCACAATACTCTGTCTCAGAGTTGGATTCAGGAGAAATCCAACCTCCAACATGTGATTGTTGGTTCACTCATAGTTTAAGAATTAAAATTGGGAGTCAGTACGAGCTCACGCTGCCATTACATAAAAGAGTAGGCATGTCTATAATTGTCTACCCCGAATGGGAAACATTTCCGGGAGATTTGTGGGGAATGTCGCCGGCTGGCTTCAGCTTAGGGTAAGTGGGCTCGGAGACTACTTTTAGATGTGTAAACCCTGGCATGCCAGAAAAAGTAGGGCTCTGCTTTTGAGCACAATAACTACTATAAAGGTCTTAACTCTCCTCCAAATTATTTTTAGATAATGTGTTATTGTTTGTTTGTGATATGCTTGGTAGTATATCCCTGGGAGATAGAAGAATCAATCAATATTTCCATATAAAGAAAGTCAATTGTTTTTCAACTTTTTTATTTCTTTATTTTTTTGAAGGAGAGTCTCATTTTGTTGCCCAGGCTAGAGTACAGTAGCGTGATCACAGCTCACTGCAGCCTCGGCCTCCTTTCACCTCAGCCTCCTGAGTAGCTGGGTCCACAGGTGCATATCACCACACCCAGCTAATTTTGTCTATGTGTGTATTTTTGGTAGAAACATGGTTTTGCCATGTTGGCCAGCCTGGTAAACTCAAATTTTTATCTCTTTCTATACCACGATTATTTCCTAAAGTTTTTCCATGTTTCTCCCTGCTACTGGAGACCCTTCTAGAATATTCTAGGAGCTGGTGTCCTCTGATGTGTTTTCTCCAGTAACACTCTCCCATGTTCTTTGTAATTTCCAGAAACATGTTGAAATATTCCATTTCCTGATGGTGACCTCTTCCTATACTATTCATTGTATTTAGCTTATATTTCTATATTTTTATATCAGTGAGCTCTACAAATGGATTAGACGTGAAAAAGCACCCAGTCTTTTATCCTAAACTGAAACCACTCTCTCAATTTAAACTCAAATTACTGTACTTCAATGAGATTTCATATTTTTTCCATAAATCTTATGGCATATATAGAATGTGGTGGCACTAGCAGGATCCAGAAAATCAGGAGGCTTGAATTCAAGTAGCATTGGGCAAATCACTTCACTAGGTCTCTTTTTTCTTTGCCCAAAATGTTCATTCAAGGAAAATTATTTAAAATTTAGAGTATACTTTTAAATATATGTGATGATTCCAAACTTAGATACAAAACTATGGTGAAAAGAATAAACAACAAAGTCAAACCTTAAGCTTTCATAACAACTGAAAACTAATATTCTATTTCAGTGCTTATTGTGGACACCAGATTTGAATGCCATTTAGAGGCCTCCTAGGAGTATTTAGTTCTAAGAGCTTTACTATGTAAATTGCGATTGGCCAGTTTTCTGGGAAAATCACTCCTGTGTGTTGGTCCTTTAAATTATCTCTGTACTTTGCTTTGCTTTGTGTGTCCATGAGCCAGTTATTAATGTGTCCCCAGGAACTTAAACTTTCTTTAACAGCATCTGTTTTTTATTCGCAAGTGAATTTATGCATTCACATATGATTTGGTGCAGAAGAGGGGCATTCCACAAGCTTCATTTGCTCTTGATTTGGGCACCTCAAATATGTTCTGGCCAGATTCCCTATTACATGGCAAATAAGCTTATTTTTATGAATATGAGTCATCTGCAATTTATTGAACATAACATGGAAACAAATTATTTTTTAAAATGAGCAAAATTGGATCACAGGTCAGATATGAATAAAGTCTTTACAGTCTTCCTGGGAACATTTTTGTCATTTAATAATTGAAATGTCTAGTATAATTCTAGCCTTTTAAATGTTATTCATCTATATTGAATCTACGGGGGAAAAACAGTGCAAAATTTCTGTTCCAGTATATTTGCTGCCAATATTAAAGCTTTAGATTTTTACTGTGAATAGACAAGATTTCCACATAACTAGAAATAGAAATAGACGGTGTTATAAAATTCCATCAACAGGAACTTGTTTATGAGCTGATAGGGACTAATAATGACCTCTTAACAGTGTGACAGCAATAAGCATTTTGGGCTTTCAAATTTCCTTCATAGGAACATCTTTGCATATTCATTTCAATTGAATGTGAAAATTATTTTTCTGCAATAGTCAAGTAGGAAATATGTAGAAACATTCAGTGCCTTCATTTTAAGGAAACTACGAAACACAGATAATCTTAAAAATGTAGAACTGAATGAGAACTTCCTGGTCATCTACTTCCAGATCTCCTATCGAAAGTCCATGATGGATACTCAAAATCATTTCTAACTTTGATGTTTGAAAGTAAATTTTATGTCTAAATAGAATTTGCATTTTTACAATTTATTTAGTTTCTTTAATTATGCCATTGATTGTGGAGCCAAAAGTAGGTTTGGAAACTGGCTCCATGACTTAGTAAGTATGTGACCCTGGGTGAGGTCATTATTCACACTGTGCTCAGTTTTCTCATCTGTAAAACAGAGATACTGATGACGCCTACCTCACAGAGTTAATGTAGAAGTTAAAAGACTTCTTACACATTAAGTACTTACAGAATGCTGATACATAGCATGCAATAAGTGTTTGCTATAATAACAATAATTATTTCTATCATGGCAAATAAAGAGCACATTTTTTCATTTACTTTAATTTTCATTTATTAAATCACTTTGACTTTTTCATTTCAAAATTAGTACTCTGATATCTGTAACTTTCAGTGAAATCCTAGTAATTTCCAAATATTTAATCATGTTAATTTTATGCAAAATAATGTTCATTTAGTGAATTCTACATGTCAAAGCTTATGTAAAATAATATGGGGAAGGTAATGACTAATATGGAGCTCCCTGCCCTCAAAGAGCTTATCAGTTAGCAGACTGCTACCCACATAAAGAGAGATCAATGGAGTATATGGACAGTTCCTTAAGAGCATAGAGAAGAAAGGGGTAAAATTCCACTACATTGAATAGAAAAGGAAGGTGACATTTGAGATGGATCTTGAAGGATGTGAAAGATTTCAAGAGATAGAGAAAAAAGGAAGACCATTCATAAAGGATTAAAGAAATGAGAAAATGCATAAAATAAAAAGCAACATTGCACTGAGGTGAAGGCACAGCATCTGGTGGTTTAATCAAAATTGTATTCAGAAATATTTAAGAGAGAAAAGATCTCATGGTCACAAGATTCTTATTATTTTAATGCAATTCATGTATGTACATTATAAGACTAGTTTGGGCACTACCTGTTATAATTTATATACAATTATTAAATTAAACTTTTATAAATTAAACAAAAAGAAAACTACAAAACTAGTAAAATTTCTATCAAGTATACAAGTGCAATGTAAGAAATGGTGTCGCATGATCTAGTAAAACACTGCTCAAAGTGTAAAAATTTAGAGCACAGGTCCTTCTGAATTTGTCCTGTCTATGTATTACCATATGCCTTGTGAAAACTCAATGCTTCTGTTATTCTTCTATACCAAAACAACCTGGGCACCCTTGATCATAGGGCACACAGAGACATCATTTGGCAATCATTGATGCTATTACATTCTATACATATTAACCTAATTTCTCTTTTTTTATGTCCTCATAACATTTAAAGTAGTCCTACATGATGCCAATATAGTCGTAGCACAAATGCAAATAAAGCATGAAAATAATACAAGAATTGATCCTAAATATGATTACATATACATATATACAGAGGGAAAGGAAGTAGAAGCCCCAACGGCCAGGAGCTGGGAGTTGGCCTAGCACTTACCGCTAGGCTATGGATTCTCTTATTGAACATAAATGATTTCACAGAATACCAGTATCGGAAAAGGCTCTCTGTGACCATGGTGGAACAAGACAAAAAAAAAGACCCCTTCATAATCATAACTGAACACAGATAATATAAAATAAACACATATTAAAAAACACAAAAATGATCAATATGACCCTCTCACAACTAACATTAATGACTTCTATTTCCTCACCAGAGTTTTAGCTTCTCTCCATTCCTCCTGCATCTCAGATAAAACTTAAGATACCAAATCACAGAATTGTGCTCACTTTCTGGAAACACCCAATCCAAAGCTTCCCTAGATGCCTCCCAAAAGTCTGACACACGTCTAACCCTAACCCTCATCCTCCCAACATTCCCTTACCATTTTCCATGTTGTGTGGTCTCACCTATTGCAAGAAACACCAATAAACAGAACTTTGTTCAACAACAGATGTGTTTGTTCCTGATGGTCTGTGACTAGTGTCCATCGAACATGTAGATGGATAGGTATAAAGATAAGTAAGACAGATATACAATATACTTCCATATATCTACACATACATTTGTTTTCATACAAAGATTTTAGTTCTCTTAAAACTTTGAATAACAGAGGGCAAGAATATAAATACTTAAGAGATGTTGGTTTGACATCATGTCACTGATGGACTTAAAGATCAATGGACAGGCAACCCTTAAAGAGAAGGGGCAGAACCAAGTGTCAGAAAAGTTAATGCCTTATTTACACTATTCATGCAAAGTTTGTTTCCCAATACTTTTCTATAAGTATTTTCATTTCTATTTTAACTCTTCCTTTTTTTTATAAGTCATTTCAACATTTAGGCTACAGAATGCTTCCTACACAAAGTATTAAAGTCTTTTTTTTATTTTTTAACCAAAAGAGATGTGCTAGTATTTTATGGAAAATATGATTTGTGTGACATTTTTTGGCAGGAAGCATAACACTACCCCAGTATGAAAAAGAGATGTAGACATAATCCTCTTTCATTTAAGAACACCAAAATAAGCACAGAACTTTGAAAGATGCTTGATTCATGGAAATCATAGATATTTTACCAGCTATTAGTCATAGGTGGTAAATGAATCCTGTTCCATACTTGATGATATAACAGTAGCAGTCCATTAACAATTCACATTCTACTGTCGAATATAATGACCCAGAGCTTTTTTTTCAACTCTTTGCATTCATTGGCTATCATTCTGATTGCTATAAATTGTCTTAATTATTCTATGTATATTAATATTTTTTGAAGTACTAAATTTGAAATTTAAAATCTGCTACTATATAAAAGATCTAAATAAAATTATAAGCCAGGAGAGAATGATGTTTAAAGTTTGCGGTTGTGTTAAGATAATCAATGTTAACAATTTGGAAAGTACATCATACTTTTTACAATGAGTTGGATTTACAAGAGACCTACTAAGTGGTCAAAGGCTAAGTGCCAGAAAGTGGGATCCAGGACATGGGTAAGCACTCACAAACAAGAGTCTGAAGAAATATCATCAAACCCAAAATATTCATTTGTTAGAAAAAAAAGAAGACAAAATATTCTATTTGCCAAAAATCAGTGCAAATACAAAGATTCAATATTCTTACTTCAAACAGAATATGGATTGATGATTACAAAGATTCAAGTGTCAGACAGTCAGTAAATTCAGATGAGCTTTTGTATGTCAGAGGTCTGGTATTGGGCAATGGAGGCAAAACTAAGGGTTCAAGGAGAGGAGGCATCTTATTAGCAAGATCGGCACGACAGTAACGATGCTAAACCAGAAATACACTGGTTCTAGATATTTCATAGTCACCTTGGTCTCTCAGTCAGAACAGCTTTCAAACTCTAGTTAGGACTAAATCTATGTCTGGAGGATGAAAGTGGTCTTGAGTATGAGAAACAGGGAGTAAAGGGGCAGAGACAGGCACAGCTATAAAATACAATGAGGAATTTTTATTAAAATAACTATTACAATCATACACACATTAAATCTTCATTATAAAAGTATTCCATCTCAGGTGGAAACAACAAAGATTAATTTGTAATTTTGTAATTCAGAATTAGAGGATTTTACTCACATGTCTGTTAATTAAAATTACCAGTTTACCTGCCTGGCTTCATTCCAAAGTAAGTTGGTATATTATTAACTAAATACCACAGGTTTTCTCTGTCTCATATCTTCTAATAGCAGTGACACAAATTTGGAAAAGACTAATTAGCTGAGGCATTAACATATACCTCAGAAGAATAAACTTACCACTTCATTTTCTCAGCCATATGGCTGAGAGATCACACTTGGCATGACCTTTCCAGCAGCGAGGTCAGAATTTCATTTATAAATAGATAATTGGAAATGCATCCATCTGAGCTTCCATGGTGCTAAAGAACTTAAGGTTTTTAGAGAGCTATTTAAAGACCAAAAGGATACAAACTGTCTTCTCTCAACACCATATGAGCAGGCCTGGGGGATTCTGAAATATTTCAGTAAAAATTACATGAAGTTATGTGTTTTTTGTGAGTGAGTGTATGTGCCTTTGTATTTATACTTCTAAACATGAAAACAAGTTGTAGAAAAATGAGTTGAAATATTTGTTTATAAATACCTTATCACAAATGAATTTCGCAAAAACTCAAGTGGTTTTTGAAGCAATGAAAATATTTGCCCTTATTTTTGGGTGTTCCAAAAATTTACCTACTTCCTTAGGTTTGCCCTCAATCGATGATTCTCAGTCCTGGTCACATATTGGAATCACCTTGAAGATTCTATTAAAATGCTCATGTTGTGATTTACTCTAATGATTTAGATTTAATGAGGCTAGGGTAAGACCCTGGTACTGTTATTTTTTCAGACACTCCCCACGTGATTGTAATGTGTGGTCAAGGTTGAAAACTAGTCTAAATGATAGGTGTGGTAAGCACAGAGATGTACTCCAATCCCAGATCTCCCTCTGAGGAAGGACTTTCTGTCCAGCTGCAATAACTGAGATCAGCAGACAGCCTCGAGCTGTTGGCTCCTTTAGGATTTGCCTCAACTCCTAAGAACCACCTTGCCTGAGGTTATGTCTTTCCCACAACAACCCACCACAGTGACTGAGCAAAGTGACCATATAAAGGCCTTGTTATAGGAGAAAAACAATGGAAGACACTCCGATGGGCAAAATTTGCTCCAGAGCTAATCTAGTTGACCAAGTTTTGTCAAATCTGTGTCAAAGTTTGACTTCTCCTTCTGCCCAATTCTGTTCCCTTCTCTTTCTTACCTTTTGCAGATGTGACAGCCATCTTACACCCCAAACTCCATCTCGGTCCCTGCTTAAGGAGAATCCAGTCAGCGACAACACACTCACAGTATACTCACAGCTGGTAGTGGAGACCTTTTTATTTGCCTCTCATTTTTCCCTTAACGGTTAAACATGTGGGCTTTGAAATTAAAATGTCTGGATTCATATCCCACTTCTCTGCAACTTTGGTACCAGTTATGTACCTCCCTGTGCCTCACTTTTCTCATTTGTGAAACGTAGGTAATTATTGTTCTTTATTTGTAGGATAATTGGGAGAACTACAAAAGATAACCTAAGCAAAGTGCTTAACACAGTGTCAAGCATTTATTAAATGCTTTGTAAATATTAGCCATTTCCTTGGGAAATCAATTCTATGTCAATTGGATGGGATTATTCTCAACCGACTCTTAGATTCAGAGAAGGACATGTGACTCAAGTAAACCATTCAAAGTTTCCATTAGAGGTGGGATTTTTTTTTTTACTGCTTGAAGTGTTTTTGTTTTGTTCTGTGTTTCATTTTCCCATATGGTAGAATCTGTTCCTGGGGCAGGGTGAATAATAATCCCAAAGATACCTAAGTCTTCATCCCTGGAGCCTTTGGATGTTATCTTATACGACAAAAATAACTTTGCATATGTGATTGAATTAAGCATCTTGAATTTGAGATGTTATCCTGAATTATCCAAATGGGCCCTAAATGCAATCACAAATGGCCTCATAAGAGGGAGGTTGAGGAAGATAACCTGACTACAGAGAGAAAGAAAGCTATGTGACAATAGAAGCAGATCTGAGTGATGCACTTTGAAGATGGAGGAAGGGGGCACAAGCCAAGGAAAGCCAGCAGATGCTAGAAAATTGAAAAGGCACAAACTGGAATCTCCCCTCAGAGGTTCCAAAAGGGACAAGCCTACTAACACCTTCCCAGTGAAACTGATTTCACACTCTTCTGACCCACAGAACTGTGGGAGAATACATTTGTGTTATTTTAAGGCATTAAATTTGTTATAGCAGCTATGAGAAACCAGTATAATTTCTGACCATATAAACATCCTAACTTTTTGAGAGAGTTCATCATCGCCTGGAAATTGTTAGAAAGCAAGGTCCCACCTCCCTCCATGGATGGCAAGAGAAGTCTTTATTCTGTGAACCAAATGCCTGAAATATTCAGAGGTATTGATAGTATACCAAGAGACTTATATCAGCTAGCTTAAGCAGATATGAAGTTAATTGAAAGACTACCAAGAAATGCATAAAAATATGTTGGTAGGATTTAGTTCATATAAACTGATTTGTCTACCACCCAGGTGAGAACCTAATGCACAGCAGCAGGCAACAAATTTGAACCTCTTATCTAAGAACAACCAGATGCCTGAGGACAGGCTCACGCCTTCAATACCTTCCACCTTCGAGGGAAACAACCTGTCATCACTAGAAGATAAATTGATTCTGTTTTGGATTTTATCATTTAGCAAGCCATACTAGTTGTAGCCTTATTGTTTAACTACTACACCATCATTTTATGCTAACAGCATCGCTTATGACCAGGAAATCATTGTACAGCAAAAGAAGTAAGTAGTTGGGATGATATTCCAAAGAATCACTGGCTTTAAGTGAGAATCAAATAAAATTAGCTGGCTTTATAGAAAAAAGAAATGACATGTGGAAGCCTCAATGAAAGTGCTAGCTTGTAGGGAACACTTTGCTCACCAAGGGTTGCATTTAACCAAAAGCTGGTAATTCCACCTCACTGTGTTGAGCCTGTTCTTCCAAAGCGAGCAAAAGCAGCAAGGAGATTATATTGCATTTGAGTTACAGTTATTGACAATGAAATAGAAAACACATTGCTACTTCACAATGGAAATTCAGAGATTTCTTGGATTTGATGTTCAGTAGTAACAACTGATAGAAAACTATGAAAACCTTATAAAAGTAAGTTCACTGAGGGCCCCCAGATCACCCCACTTAACAAATAATTTAACACCAAGCAACTCAGTTCTTAGCTCAAGTAAAAGGAATTGTGAAGCACATTGTAGAAAAGAATTTATACATGCCAGTTCTAACCCCCAAATAAAGAAACAAGGACTGTAACTTCTACCTACTTTTTCTTCCTTCTTTTATGTGTCATTTATGCATTTAAATACTTAAATTCATCTTCTCTTCCTCTCTACTAAAAATGTAGACTATAATGGGTATTTGTCAATTTTTGAAACACAGCATCTGAAAGTATTTTCTATATGAATGGAATTCTCATTATTTATTTATTTATTTAATTTAAATTCTTTTTTTTTTTTTTGAGACGGAATCTCACTCTGTTGCCCAGGCTGGAGTGCAGTGGCACAATCTCAGCTCACTGCAAGCTCCACCTCCTGGGTTCACACCATTCTCCTGCCTCAGCCTCCTGAGTAGCTGGGACTACAGGCATCTGCCACCATGCCCGGCTACTTTTTGTATTTTTAGTAGAACCGGCGTTTCACCGCATTAGCCAGGATGGTCTCAATCTCCTGACCTCGTGATCCGCCCACCTCGGCCTCCCAAAGTGCTGGGATTACACACGTGAGCCACTGCGCCCGGCCCTCTCATTATTTAGACCTTGTTTAGAAGCAGGACCCATTCATTATAAAAGCAGAAGAGGGCACAGAACCTCCTTATCTGCTCTCCGGCAATTAAAACATAAGTATAAGACCTATAGTACTCTACTCTGATACTGCTATTCAGGAATACATAGAAAGCTTTGTGAGTTTAGTTCAGAAAATAAGAGTTACTTTGGACCAGTTTTCTATCGTCCAACACTAGTAGTACCAGCAGGAGGGAGTGACTAGTGCCTTCAAAGCAGCATCTTGATCCATCCTGTGCTGTGATTTGGGATTCTCGCTTCTATAACATATGCCGATTTTTCCAGCCCATTTCCTAGACCTCTCATTAATTTGGTGGACTACTGAATATTCATTTAATAATTTTTCTTATTTACATAAGTTATGAATTAAGCTTCCGTTTTGTAACCAAGAATCTTGATTGATTCATACAATTTTATAATTTAGCAAGATTTAATCTCAGGTTGGCAAAATGGCTACCTTTTGCCATTATGTCTGAGAAAGATTATGTCTGAGAAATGGAGGAAGAGTAAAAGAGAGAGTAAAAAAGAGAAAGCTGAAAACATTATGGGCCTCAGATCTTCCAGTGCCTGAAGCCATCTGCCAATGGATTTTTTAATTCAATTATATGAGCCAATAAATCCCTCTATGCACCCCTTTCCTTTTTTTTTCATTTATTTTTTTCTGCTTAGGCTACATCCAGTTCCATTTCTGTCACTTGAAACTGTAAGAATCTTGAACAGTACATAGGTGTTTCTGGGAAGCATAGCACAGATTTTAGAGTTATAAGGACTCCATGTGTTGCCTGCAGCTAATACACCAGGTCCTGAGTAACTGTATCCAGAAAAAATCTCTTCCACCAGAAAAATGAGGAAAAGTTTGTTTCTGGTAATTTGAGTGTCCTATGTTAGGGTAAAAGGTGAGTATTTTTTCTCAGAATTATCAGAAACATGTCCAAGGCCAGGCGTGGTGGCTCATGCCTGTAATCCCAGCACTTTGGGAGACCGAGGCGGGCGGATCACGAGGTCAGGAGATCAGACCATCCTGGCTAACATGGTGAAACCCCGTCTCTACTAAAAATACAAAAAATTAGCCGGGTGTGGTGGCGGGCGCCTGTAGTCCCAGCTACTCGGGAGGCTGAGGCAGGAGAATGGCGTGAACCTGGGAGGCGGAGCTTGCAGTGATGGCGCCACTGCACTCCAGCCTGGGCGACGAGCGAGACTCCATCACAAAAAAAAAAAAAAAAAAAAAAAAAAAAAAAAAAAGTCCGAGAAAATAAACTGAAGAAACACATCCAATTAAATGCTTCATCAGATCTAAGAGTCCAAGGTAAGTATCCAAAGCCAACATGAGTAAGACATACAGGAAAAATAAGAGTAAGAAACTGTGGGCTCAAATGAAAGAAGCTCAAATGGGAGTTTGTTGGTACCAATTCTGGAGCCAAGTTCTCCATTTGCTCCCACAAATGTTTTGCAAGGATGTTGAATGTCCCTGTAAAGGGACTGAGAGAGTTGGACTAAAAAGTAAACTCACCACAAAAATGTTGATTCTCACTGACTCTTTACAAGTTGTTTTCCATCAAATTATTAAATAATTGACGTTATTGGTAATTGTGTTGAAATCTCCTGCTAAAACAGATTGGATTAAAAATTTAAATTCAACAATTCTCAGCAGCAATCCTTCTAAATACCTCCAAACCTTTTGGCTCTCATCTGTCATCTGGCTCTTCAATCCTCTTCCATGCAGACCTTTTTACATTATGAATTGTCTTCTATATAGCGTTACTTCTTCCCTCTCAGGTTTTCTGTTTTATATTTCAGTCCTGCTCAGCAAAAGGATAGTCCACCCTAACAAAAAGAGGAAAAGAAAAAAGAAAGGAAGAGGAGTTAATAGTTTTTATTCTGTTACTTATATTTTGGGGGAAAATTGCTTATGTTGTCACTGAAATATATCTATATATACACCATATACATATACATATACATACACAGCCTTTTCAAGGCTGGGCTGTAAATATTCACAAGGAATGAGCAATGTGTTGCACCTGGCTTTCATAAAATCATCCTTGTAGAGCAGATTGAGCTCCTGGAGCCAGGGTAAGGGGCCAGTGGGACATTCCTAGATGTCTACAGAGAGGAAGTAATGTATTAATTCTTATATCTCCCCCAACACCTATCACAGCACTTCATGAGTATAAAAAATAATAATTTTTAATGAATGAAATTAAGGAGGTGTAGTACTTAGCAACTGGAAAATGTTTGAAAACTCAGGTATAGGTTTTCAATGAGGAGTAGACATATATATTAAAATTTTAATTATATTCTTACTTGACGATCATCTAATATTAAGCCCTTTTTTTCTGGCCATCTTCTGAGTTATGATATTTATTAGGTGTTAACATGTTTTTAAGAAAAGAGGTATTTTTCATTCTTCATGAGATCATATTGAATTCCTTTGAATCTCTTACCAGTTGTCATATACAGCCCTATGTCACATGTTTAGTCTTTTTGTTGGCTGTCACAGTCAACTTTAATTGGATTTTGAACAAACGACATTTAAACTTGTGCTTTATTTATCCTGGCTGACTATAGCTAAGTTAAGGTTTTAAAGGGGTCACAGCAGTGATTCTCAACTTGCAGCAATTTTGACCCTCAGGAGATATTTGTCAAAGTCTGTATACATTCTTTTTTTTATGTTCGCAACTAGGGACTGGGGTGCTACTGGCATCTGAGGTCAAGGATGCTGCTAAACATCCTACAATGCACAGGAAAGCCACTACAGCTAAGAATTATCTAGTTGAAAGTGTGGACAATGCTGAGGTTCAGAAACCCTGGGTTAGGGTGAGGAAGGATAAACAATTATTGTCCTGTTGTGATGAAAAATATTTCCTAGTATAATGGTAAAAGTGATTCAGCTATTCAACCTTTTCCTGTGTGTGTTCTCTTGACTCACTATACTAATTTCTATTTAGTTCCAAGGTGGATTTTGGCATACTAATTCTAATTAACCAAGTATGACTGCGTGTAATTAAAACATTGGAAAGATACAGGCAGCTCCTAAATAAAAATAAGGAGAATCTTCCTTCAAATACAAAAGATGAGATTTAATGCTTCAACTGATAGAGTGGGGAGAGGTGGAGAGAGAGAACAGAGTAGGAGCATTTCTTAGAGAGGAGCATGTTCTCTTTATGTCATTAGGAAATAAAACTCATCTGCTTAACAAAACTAAATGATTCAAAGAATAAAACACATTACCAAGGTCAATAATTGTGACACCATGGTACAGTTCAATTCATCACTGTACCCTCTTAGATACTATATATATATTTAAATATATATTTATATATAATATATTATAAATATAATATATATTTATTATGTTATATAAATATATTTATATTTATAATATATTACATAGATTTATATATTATATATTTATTATATAATATATAGATTTATACATAAATATATATAACATATGTATTTATATATATATATATATTTTTTTTTTTTTTTTTTTGGATACGGAGTTTTGCTCTTGTCACCCAGGTTGGAGTGCAGTGGCACGATCTCGGCTCACTGCAACCTCCGCCTCCTGGGTTCAAGCGATTCTCCTGCCTCAGCCTCCTGAGCAGGTGTATATATGTTTATTAAGCAGTACTGTCATACCAAGAACGGCATACCAACTAACATTTCCCACACGTGTCCCTCTATCTAAATGCATATGGCCAGCATACAAAGAAGTCTGCTCTCTTACTGTGAAAATGGATGGAAATTTAAACATACTCTTACATTCTAATTTTCCATTCTAGAAGTAGCCCAGGCTGAATAACATTATAATGTGGAAATAAGCATGTTATCAGCAAATATATAGGCCCGTAAGATAAACATGTTTTGCCACAATAGGAATCAGTATGCCCATATTCATCAAACAGCCAAATTAGTTTTATTAGATATTAATTATTTCCATGCCTAGAAATGTTTGAGGAATCATAAGTGGTTTAAAGAATTTACAAGGTAGCATACATGTAAAGATCAAAGTATATGGTGTACTATGTCCTCTCCAATTAAAGAAAAGTATAAAGTTTGCTTTGAATACAGATGTTATAAATTTGGAGCCTCAGTTGCACACCACCAGATTTTTAAAAAAATAGATTTTGTTAATTCAGTGCACTTATAGTCAAACATCTCATTGAGAGATGTCTTCTTAAAACCCTACACTTATTTAGTCTTCAAATACCTATTAGGATGAACCATGTGAAACTGCCATTTATCTAGGTCAGACTCTGTCCAATATCAACCATTTCATTGGTTTCATCTACACTTCGATGTCACTCTTAATCTCCTTCTAATTCTGCTTTTGTCATTATATAATTTGATGTTAACAAATAGGCTATTAATTACAAATAGGACTATTGTATATTCTTATATATTGGCCAGATATTTCCTTTTGTTATTATAAGTAGGAGATGGGTGGTGTTGAAGATTGTGATATGTGAGAAAAAGTGAGCAAAGACCTATTACCTGTTTTGACATTTGTGTAAGTAAATGCCTCTCTGAGCTACTACGATCTATTTTTTAGATGAGTTTATGATAAGCGACTGAAATTTATTATATTTAATTGAAAATTGGCTTAATCAAACCCTTAAATTGTTTCTAATGTGTACTATATTACTGTATTTTTATTTGTGTTTATTATAAAGTTTTGAAGATATATTAATTTAGTTCTATCTCTGAAGTCTATAGCATTTTATTCTTTATCTTCTATAATGTATTTGATTTTCTAACTGTATCCTGTTTACTCATTCACAGATCATTTTCTACTCCTAGATTGCAAGTATTTGAGGATAGGAGGACATCCTCCAACACCAAATAACAAAATGCATAGGTGTCAAAAATATTTTTAATTAATAAGAGAAGTGAAGGAATTTTTAAATATTAAAAATGTTTTTAATTAATAAAAAAGTGAATGAATTAACTACTTTTAAAGACAAGAGACTAAGGCTTTTACATCCTATTTGATAGTTTGCATGTTTATCCCCTCCAAATCTCATGCTGAAAAGCAATCCCTAGTATTGAAGATGGGGTCCAGTGGAAGTGTTTGAATCATACAGGTGGTCCTTCATGAATGGCTTGGTGCCATCCCCATGGTAATAAGTGAGTTCTCACTCTATTAGTTCACATGAGAGCTGATTGTTAAAAAGAGTTTGGGACTCCTCTCCTCTCTCTCTTGCTTCCTCTCTCACTATGTGACACACCAGGTCCCCTCTCTTCTGCTATGACTAAAAGCTTCCCAAGGCCTCACCAGAAGCCAAGCAGATGTGAGTGCAATGCTTGTACAGACTGCAGAATGATAAGGCAAATAAACCTCCTTTCTTTATAAATAATAATTTGATGTTACCAGTCTTAGGTATTTCTTTATAGCAATGAAAAATAGACTCACACATTATTTTTTGACACTCACTTAGGATTTTAACCCCTATGGACTTATTTATGGATTTATTCTTTTGAGAAAAAGCAATGGACAAAAGTGTAAAGAATCACTTCAGTATGTGTGATTTTTAAAGACTGCATTTATTATGGACAATACTGGGATATACTTAAAACTTGATAGAGAAAATGTTATATCAAGGGGAAGTTTTCTCACTCCCCCTCCCCACTTCACCCTCCCACATTAAAATCCAAAAGAACAGAGATGTTAAATTAAGACAAAAGCTCTAAGGTAACCAAGTACAAAGTCAAGAACTTGTCCTTTGTGAATAAAAATGACCAGCTCTCCAGGAGACGTATAAAAAGACTGCAGATGTATTAGTGGCTAACAAGCTGCATTTTGTCATAAGTACAGAATCTCTTTTAAGTTATAATTCTCATTGGATTTAAAATGATTTTCCTGATGTCTATTACCTGAAATTGAGAAAAAAATTCTAGGAAAAAAATGAACACTATGAATAATCCCATTACCCAACAAGAGACACTGCTAACACATAGCTATAAATCCTTCTTACCTTTTTACTATACAAACAAATACACAGCTGTAAAAAATACAGAGAGAAATACATGTAGAGAGAATGAGGGAGTTGGCAAGTGTGATTGCAGTAGAACCAAAATCAAAGAGCAAGAGATGTTTCTTTTTTCTAAGATGGCGGATTAGAAGCTTTTACCATGACTCAGTCTGAAAATAGCAAGTTAGTGCACAAAGATCCATGCTGTGAGCTTTAATTCAAGAAGAAAAATGGGAATCTATCAGAACCATGAAAAACACCCAGGGAGGCTATTGTGGGCAATCAGCCCCCATGATCTGCATCAGCATCTCGCTGATAAAAGTGAGTGAAGCTCCAGTATGTGAGAAAGGGAGAAAGCATCCCTGTGTTACTCACCTTTCCACTGGGGATCTGAGCAACCCAAGCCGAGAGAGAGCACTTTGCTTCTCCCAAGCCCTGGAGTTAACTTGGGGAAAGGCTTGAAGATGCTGTGAAGGAAAGACACTGGGAAATGCTGCAGACATTCTCCTACACCTGGGGCTGAGAGCAGGACACCATTTTTAATCTGGGTACATACAAAGTCAGCCATTCTTTGGTGACCCAACAGTGTGGTCACACAGGTGTTTCAGGCCCAGGCCAGAGACTGGAGTGCCTGCTCTAGGGCAAGGTAGGGGCCTTCACAGACAGAACTATGGAAAGTCCCCTCAACAATAGGCACTGGAATTGTCTTCTTCCCTATCGCAGGCCTGGGGAAGGAGGAGAGCTGCTACAGGTGCAGTTTTTCCTGGGCAGCTAGACTTACAGCCAAGGCCAGCATGTATTCCATCTGCATGTGCCATTTCTGGGTGCCCCTAATACTCCCCTAATATCATGGTGCAGCAGGGCCCTCTCTGCTCCATGATCAGGCAGAAATTTAGGCATTTGGGACTCCTGGTTGCCTGGACCAGCAGCCTGAGCTGTCCCACCCTGCTAGACATAGATCTTAGTGCAGGAGGGCCTCCTTAACTCCACCCCGCAAGCAGATCTCCAGGCATTTGGAGTGCCAATTCCCCTGGTTCAAGAGCCTGAACTGCCCCACAGCACTTAGACATAGATTGGTGCAGCAGGGTCCTTTCTGCCCCATGCACAGGCAGATTTCCTGGCATTCAGAGCACCCATTCACCTCTTTCAGCAGCCTGAGCCACCCCACTCTTTCTGTGCAGAGATCCTGATGCTACATGTCCACGAAGATCTCCAGGTATTCACAGAAACTGCCAGCTTGATCCAGAAGCCTGAGTTGCCCCACTCCTCCTGTGTAGGGATCCTGGTGCAGGGGGACCTCCCTGCTCCATGCCCGGCAGATCTCCAGGCATTTGGAGCATCATTCACCTGGATCAACAGTCTGACCCACCCGACTCTTTCTGTGCAGAGATTCTGGTACAAGGACACACTCTATACTTCACACCCGAGAAGCTCACCAGGCATTCAGAGCACCCATTCATCTGGCTCAGCAGCCTGAGCCATCTCACCTTTCCTGAATATAGATTGTGGAGCAGCAAGACCCTCTCAGTTCCATGCAAAGCTAGATTTCCAGGAATTCAGGACACTTGCTTCCCTGGTACAGCAGCCTGAGTTCACTCCACCCCTCCTATGCAGAGACCTTAGTGCAGGGGTGCTTCGTCTGCTCCATGCCCAGGCAGATCTCCAAAAATCTGGAGCATCCACTCTCCTGGATTATGAATTTAGGCGACACCCCCAGCCCCATGCAGAGAACTTGGAGTTGAGGAGGTTGCCCAGCTCCACACCCAGGAACACCTTTGTGTTCCTAGTGACTACCCACTGGATTCTCCACTGGCACTGGTGCTTATGCTTACCATCAAGGCACCTGCTTAGTCTTGTGCCACCATTCCCCCCTCCCAAGGACTGAGCAGGGAGCTCAGACAACTGTAAATTCTACAAATCATTAAATTGTCTGAAGCAAAAGGGAGCTTCTGTCATTAAACAAGGATCAAGTACTTACCCAGCCATGTTGGCATCAGACAACTCTTACCTATAAGTGCTATCTATGGGCTGGCAGGATAAACTGCACAGTTTAGTATGAAACCTGCTGAAAGAAGTAATAGAGTAGTAGATGCAAAGACAAAAGAGCCTACCCAGCATTCTCTACAGTCACATCCCCTAAGTAGGGGGGAAAGAAAAATGGATATAAAATAATAAAAATAATAAACAATAATAATAATAACATTATAGGAAAAGAAATAAAAGATTGTACCCACACAAAAATAATTACAAAAATTAGAAGTGTCAGCATCTCCAGAAGAGAAGAAGCCAGCGCAAGAATTCTAGAACCATGACAAGGTTGAAAATCAACACAAATAAACTTCTGTAGCAATACAGAAAATGAAGGAAGAGATAAACATCTTAAAAAGAAATAAATCTCAGCTCCTGAAATTGAAAAACTCACTTAAGGAATTTCAGAATATAATTTAGAGCTTTATCAATAGATTGTACTAAGCAGAAGAAAGAATTTAAGAGCTAGAAAAACAGTCTTTTGAACTAACCCATTCTGACAAACATTTTTCTTAAAAAATTGAAAAATAGTGAGCAAAGACTTTAAAGAAATATAAGATTATGTAAAGCAACCAAGCTTATGGATTACTGCCATTCCTGAGAGAGAAGAAAAAGCAAACAATCTGGAATATATATTTGAGGAAATAATTTGAGAAAAAATTTCTAGTCATGCTTGACAAGTAGACATCCAGATATAAGAAATCCAGGGAACACCTGCAAGATATTATACAAAACAAACATCACCAAGTGATATAGTTACCAGATTGTCTAAGGTCAATGCTAAGAAAAAAATCTTAAGGCCACTAGAGAAAAATGGAAGATCACATACAAAGGGAACCCCACCAGGCCAAGGGCAGATTTCACAACAAAAACCTTACAAGCCAGAAGAAATTGGGGACCTATATTCAGTCTTCTTAAAGAAAAGTAATTCCAACCAAGAATTTCACAATCCCACCTAACTAAACTTCATAAGGGAAAGGAAAATAAAATATTTTCCAAACAACCAAGCATTAAGGGAATTTGCCACTACTAGACCAGCCTTACAAGAGCTTCTAAAGGGAGTTCTCAACATGGAAACAAAAGAATGATACCTGCTAGCACAAAAACACACTTAAGTACATAAACCACAAACCCTATAAAGCAAAAACACCATATAAACTACAAAGCAAACAGATAACGACTTCATGATAGGATCAAAATCTCACATGTCAATATTAAACTTGAGTGTAAATGGACTAAATGCCCCACATACAAGGCACAAAGTGTCAGGATAAATTAAAAAACAAGAACCATCTATCTGCTGTCTTAAAGAGACCCATCTCACACGTAATGACATCCATAGGCTCAAACTAAAGGGTTGAGAAAGATCTACCATACAAATGGAAACAAATAAAAAAGCAAGGATCACTATTCTAATATTGGAAAAAAAAACAGACTTTAAACTAACAACAGTAAAAAAGGACAAAGAAGGGCATTACGTAATAATAAAGGGTTGAATCCAACAGGAAGAGTTAACTATCCTAAACATATACACTCCCAAAGTTGGAGTAACCAGATTCATAAAACAAGCAGTACTGTACCTACAAAAGATTTACACAACTACACAATAACAGTGGGCTATTTCAACACACCACTCACAGCATTAGACAAATCATCAAGGCAGAAAACTAACAAAGAAATTCTGGGCTTGACACTTAACCAATTGGACCTAATAAACATGACAGAATACTCTACCCATGAAGCAGAATATGCGTTTATCTCATCTGCATACAGAACATACTCCAAGATCAACAACATGCTCAGACATAAGGCAACTCTGAATAAATTTTAAAAAATTGAAAATTTTACCAACAATACTCTTGGACCACAATGGAACTAAAACGGGAATTAATACCAAGAAGATCTCTCAAAACCGCATATGTACTTGTAAATTAAACAACTTGCTCCAAAATGACTTTGGGTTGAACAATAAAATCAAGGCAGAAATAAAAAAAAATGCTTCAAATAAGTGAAAACAGAGACACACATACCAAAGTTTCTGGAATGCAGCAAAAGCAGTGTTAAGTGGAAAGTTTATAGTCCTAAATGCCTACTGAAAAAGTTAGAAAGATCTCAAATGAATGATCTAGCATTACATCTAGAGTAACTAGAAAAATAAGAACAAACTAACTCCAAACCTAGGAAAAGAAAAGAAATAGGTAAATTTAGAGCAGAAATTAAAAAAAAAAAACTAAGGCCAAAAATTCCATATGAAGTATCAGTGAAACCAAAAGGTGTTTGTTTGAAAGGATAAAAAAGATTAATAGATGCTAGCTAGAATAACAACGAAAAAAAGATCCAAATAAGTACAATCAGAAACAATAAAGGTGATATTACAACCAATTCCACAGAAACACAAAGGAGTCTCAGAGACTATTATCAACATCTCTACATGCAAAAACTAGAAAATTGAGAGGAAATGGAAAAATTCCTGAAAACACACAATTTCCCAAAATTTAATAAGGAAGAAATTGAAACACTGAACAGACCAATATAAAGTTCTTAAATTAAATCAGTAATTTTAAAATCTACCAAGCAAAAAAAGCCCTGGAAAAGATGGATTCACAGCCAAATCCTACCAGATGAACAAAGAAGAGCTTGTATCATGAAATAGTTTCTACTGAAACTATTTCAAAAACATCAAGGAGGAGGGATTCTTACTTAATTTATTATATGAAGCAAGTATTACCTTGACACTAGAACTTGGCAAAGACATAACAACAAAAAAGAAAATTACAGGCCGATATCCCTGATGAATATAGATGCAGAAACCCTCAACAAAATTCAACAGAATTCAACAGCATATAAAAAGTTAACTCATCATGATCATGTAAGCTTTATTCCTGGGATGCAAGGTTGGTTCATCATATAAAAATCAATAAATGTGATTCACCACACAAACAGAATTAAAAACAACTCATTTGATCATCTCAATAGACACAGAAAAAGCTTTCATTAAAATCCAATATCCCTTCATGATAAAAATATTCAACAGACTGGGTATACATCAAAGGAACATACATCAAAATAATAAGAGCCATCTATAGCAAGCCCAGAGCCAACATCGTACTGAGCAGGCAAAAACTGGAAGCATTCACTTTGAGAACTGGAACAAGGCAAGGATGCCCACTGTCACCACTCCTATTCAACATAGCATTGGAAATGCTAGCTAGAGCAATCAGGCAGGAGAAAAAAAATGAAGGGCATCTAAACAGCAAAAGGAGTCAAACTATCTCTCTTCGCAGACAATAAGATTCTATACTTACAAATCCCTAAAGACTCCACCAAAATGCTCCTGAAACTGATAAATGTCTCCAGCAAAGTTTCAGGATACTAAATCAATGTACAAAAATTAGTAGTATTTTTTATACACCATTAACATTCAAGCTGAGAGCCAAATCAAGAATGCAATCACACTTACAATTGCAGCCACCAATAAAATAAAATACCTAGGAATACAGCTAATCAAGGAGGTAAAAGATATCTACAAAGAGAACTACAAAGCACTACTAAAAGAAATCATAGATGACACAAACAAATGGAAAAGCATTTCATGCTTATGAATTGGAAGAATCAATATCATTAAAATGGCCGTACTGCCCAAAGCAATCTATAGATTCAGTACTATTCCTGTTAAACTACCAATGTCATTTTTCACAGAATTGTAAGAAAATTTTATTCTAAAATTCATATGCAACCAAAAATAATCCAAATAGCCAAGGCAATCCTAAGCAAAAAGTAGAAAGTCAGAGGCATCAAATTACTTGACTTCAAACTATATACCAGAGGTGTCCAATCTTTTGGCTTCCCTGGGCCACATTGGAAGAAGAATTGTCTTGGGCTACGCATAAAATACACTAACACTAACAATAGCTGATGAGCTTAAAAAAAATAAAAAATTTTTAAAAAATCTCATGTTTTAACAAAGTTAACGAATTTGTGTTGAGCTGCATTTAAAGCCATCCTGGGCCACATGCAGCCTGCAGGCCACAGGTTGGACAAGCTTGAACTATACTGTGAGGCACTGCAAACAAAAGACCGTTGTACCAGTGCAAAAATAGACACATAGACCAATGGAACAGAATACAGAACCCAGAAATAAAGCCATACATCTATATCCATCTAATCTTTGACCAAGCCAACAAAAATAAGCAAAAGAGAAATGACACCTTATTCACTAAATGGTGCTGGCATAACTGACTAGCCATATGCAGAAGGATAAAATGGGATTTTTCACCATATACAAAAATTAACTCCAGATGGATTAAAGATTTACATGTAGGACCACTAACTGTAGGAATCCTACACGGAAACTTAGGAAACACCATTCTGGACATCAGCCTTGGGAAATAAATTATGACTAAGTCCTGAAAAGCAATTGCAACAAAAACAAAAATTGACAAGTGGGACCTAATTAAACTAAAGAGCTTCTCCACAGCAAAGGAAACCATTAACGGAATGGGAGAAAATATTCACAAACTGCATCTAACATAGGTCTAATATCCAGAATCTATAAGGAACTTAATTGAACAAGCAAAATACAAATAACCCCATTTAAAAATAGGCAAAAGACATGAACAGGCACTCCTCAAAAGAAGACATACAAGTGGCCAACAAACATATGAAAAATTACTCCTCATAGCTAGTCATCAGGGAAATTCTAATCAAAACCACAATGAGATGCCATCTCACATCAGTCAGAATGACAATTATTAAAAACTCAAAAAACAATAGATGGTGGTGAGGCTGTGGGAAAAAAAGGGAACACTTGTACACTATTGGTGGGAATATACATTAGTTCAACCCATGTGGAAAGCAGTTTGGAGATTTCTCAAAGACTTGAAACTACCATTCAACCCAACAATCTCATTCCTGATTATATATCCAAAAGAAAGCAGGTTGTTCCACCAAAAAGACATATGTCCTAAATGTCCATTGCAGCAGTATTCATGATAGCAAAGTCATGAAATCCACCTACATGACCATCATTGGTGGACTGGATAAAGAAAATGTGGGACATATACACAATAGAATACTATGCTTCCATTAAGAAACAATGAAATCATATCCAATTGAAATCATATCCTTTGCAGCAACATGAATGCAGCTGCAAGCCATTATCCTAAGCGAATTTATGCAGGAACAGACAACAAAATACTGCATGTTCTCACTTATAAGGGGAACTAAACATTGGGTACTTGTGGACATAAACATGGCAACAATAGACACTGGGGACTACTAGATGGGTCAGGGAAGGCAGGAGGCAAGTGTTGAAAAACTGTTGGGTACTATGATCAGGACCTGGGTGTACCCTAAACCTCAGCATCAAGCAATATACTCAGGTAACAAACCTGCACATTTGCCTCCTGAATCTAAAATAAAATTTGAAAAAGAAAAACGGAAGTGACACAGGAGCCAGCTGAAAGAGCTCTCAATGGCCTAAGCTGGAATGATTTGAACAACAAAATTAATAAAGTACTATTGGGTTATAGCTGAAATAATAAAATAAATGTTCATGATTTCATCTTCATATGAATAAATGATTGAATAAATAAATAAATGGGGGAGAAGAGATGAATCATCTTTCCTGCAGAAAAATTCCAAATCATTTCTGTAGCCCCCTCAAGGAGAGGGATCATCGATCCTTAAGCGTGGGCTGCGTATAGTGACTTCCTTCCAAAGAGGACAGTGTGCAAAGGGAGTAAAAGAGGAACTTTATGATAGAGAAACCTGACAAACACACCTCAGCCAGGTGACCAAGGTCAACATCAACAGTGAAAAGTCCTGCTGATAGTGTGTGACCTTGATAAAAAGTGATGAGAATGGCCCTTCACCTCTGTGGTCTTCCTCCCAAGAACCCAAAGTAACTCCAGTTTAATAATGAGAAAAACGTTAGACAAATCCCAATTGAGGAACATTCTTTAAAAAATATCTGACCAGTGCCTGTCAAAAATGTCAAAGTCATAAACACAAGGTAAGTCTGATAAACAGTCACAGCCACAGGGAGCCTAAGTGGATGTGGCATTTAAATATAATGTGGTGCCCTGAGTGAGATCCTGGAACATATAAAGAGCATTAGGTAAAAACTAAGGAAATATGAATACAGTATAGACTTTTAATAATCAAAAAAAAGAGCAAGAGCACAAGAAATTTTTTAATGCAAAATCAGAATAGTCTCCTACCACAGGCCTAGGTTATACTTTTTCCATTTAGCATCATATTTTAAGCATTCCTTTTGCTACTGAAATGTTTCTGAATGGTTTCAGTATATTTCTTTCTATCCATATCTCATACTTGATTTAGTCACTTTTTCATTGTTGAATGTATAGATTGTTTCTAATTATTTTAATATTGCTTTTGTTACAGTGAATGCTTTATATAGAAAACTTGTTTGCATTATAATTATTTACATAATAACATTTCCAAAAGGCAGAGTAAATGGATTACAGCATAGAAATTCCTCCAAAGTTTTGATACATATTACAAGTTGTTTTCCAAAAAAAAAAGAAAGAAAAAACCTGTGCTCATTTATATTTCTAGAAGTAACATGGCAATCTCACTGTGCCCTCACCAACAATGAATATTATTAGACCCTTAGAAATATGTGTTCTACAGAATAGAAAACTCACAAGTAAGACTGCACATCTACAACCATTTGATCTTCAACAAACCCAACAAAAACAAGCAATAGGGAAAATATTCACTATTTAATAAATAGATGGTGCTGGGACAACTGGCTAGCCATATTCAGAAAAATGAAACTGGACCATTTCCTTATACTGTATACAAAAATTAACTCAAGATACACTAAAGACTTAAATGTAAAACCTAAAACTACAAAAAAGCTAGAAGAAAGTCTAGGCAATTCCATTTAGGACATAGGCACGGGCAAAGATTTCATACCAAAAAAAAGAAATTGCAACAAAAGCAAAAATTGACAAATGGGATCTAGTTAAACTGAAGAGCTTCTGCAGAATAAAAGAAACTACCATCAGAGTGAACAGACAACCTACAAAATGGGAGAAAAATTTTGCAACCTATCAATCTAACAAAAGTCTAACATCCAGAGTCTACAAGGAGCTTAAACAAATTTACAAGAAAAAAAATCCCATAAAAAACTGGACAAAGGACATGAGCAGACAGTTCTCAAAATAAGATATTCATGTAGCTAACAAACATATGAAAAAAGCTCAGCATTACTGGTCATTAGGGAAATGCAGATCAAAACACAATGAGATACCATCTCATACCAGTCAGAATAGTGATTATTAAAAAGACAAGAAACAAGAGATGCTGGCAAGGTTGTGAAGAAAAAGGAGCTTTTACACTGTTGGTGGGAGTGTAAATTAGTTCAGCCATTATGGAAGACAGTGTAGTGATTCCTCAAAGATCTAGAACCAGAAATAAAATTTGACTCAGCAATTCCATTACTGGGCATATACCCAAAGGAATATGAATCATTCCATTATAAAGATATATGCACACATATATTCATTTCAGCACTATTCACAATAACAAAGAAACGGAATCAACCCAAATGCCCATCAATGATAGACTGGGTAGAGAAAATGTAGTACATATACTCCATGGAATACTATGCAAGGAACGAGATTATGTCCTTTGCAGGGACGTGGATGGAGGTGGAAGCCGCTATCTTCAGCAAACTAACACAGGAACCGAAAACAAAACACCACATGTTCTCACTTATAAGTGGGAGCTGAACGATGACAACACATGGACACCTTTGGGGGAATGACACACACTAGGGCCTGTCAGAGGAGGGGCAAGTGGGGAGGGAGAGCCTCAGGAAGACTAGCTAATGTATGCTGGGCTTAATACCTAGGTGATGGGTTGATCTGTGCAGCAAACCACCATGGCACATGTTTACCTCTGTAACAAACCTGCACATCCTGCACATGTACCCTGGAATTTAAGATAAAAGTTGATGAAAAAATAAAAATATAAAGTCAGAGGCCAGGATATCCTGGTGTGTGTGTGTGTGTGTGTGTGTGTGTGTGTGTGTGTTCTAACATGATTTATGTAAAGACCTAGATCAAGGTTTTGGTAATGTTAATGTCTTTGATTAGTGTTCAACACATGTAAGGACTACTCTCTATCACCAGAATGGAAGAGGCAAACAGGATGCCTTCCCCACATAACCCCAGCATCACTTCACTGGCTGTCTCATTGCTTCCTAGAAGTTATAATTTTCCACTGGTTGCAGAACTTGTGTGTCTGTGTGTTTCTGTCTGTCATAAACTATACTTATGTCATGTGTTTCTATGTGGGAACAGGTAGAGACAGAAAAAGTATTCTGACCATCACATTAAGTATATTCATGCTATAAAGGTACAATTGTTGAGTTGTATGAATTGCTTAGATTACCTGAGGCAGATAAAGGTGGGGAGATAGGGGCAAAATATCTTTTCATCTTCTACCTGGAAGGTAGTTCTGCTATTTTATGAGATGGAAAATGAATGAGTGGGCCATCATTTGTATAATGTAATCTTTGAAAAGATTACTTTTAATTTTCTATGCCATGAATTTCAATATTTTGGATCTTCACAAGAACTCTAGTGGGAAACTTGAGATAATGCATATTGGCTGTGGACCAGCAGTACATTCAGCTACAAGTAAGAAGCCTCAGCTATAATGGCTTAAATAACAACAGTTTTATTTTTCTCTTATAACAAGAAGTCTACACTTAAGCAGTTGCTGACACTTGTTCAGCTGCTAAATAATATAAAGCAGAGTTTGGCAAACTATATCCCATTTAACTAATGCCATCCATTTTAGGAAATAAAGTTTTACTGGGGCATAGACACATCTATTTATTTAAGTATTGTGTATTGATGCTTTCACAAAAATGCAACAGAATTGGTTATTTCTGGCAGAAATGGCATAGCACACAAAACATAAATTATTTATCTGTGTCTTTACAAAAAAAGTTGTCATTTGCTGATACAAGGTATGAAATCTCCATGATCTCTTGACCTTTCCTCCAAGGTTGCAAGATGGTAGCTATGGCCATCTCATGTTACTAGGGAGAAAAAGGCAGGGGGAAATAGTTATAACTAGCTGTATTTGGCCTCAATTTTCAAGAAAAGCCAAAGCCTTCCCAAAAGATGACCTCTATACTCATGTCATATTAGCCAAAACAGTGTCCCGTAGTACTCCTAGCTATAGAAGAGGCCTCTAAAGTGAGCATCTATAATTCTAACCAGTAATAAAGGAGTTGGGAATTCCTGTTGCCTTAGTCCATAGTCAATGCTTATAATAGCCTGTTAATAATTTTAAACAAAAAACTTGGTTATTTCCATTTGGTTTCTGCTCACTTGTTCTTCCTTCTCTAAGTAATTATATGGACAACATTATTAGCAAACAAAAAACATCTAAAATATTTTAAGTGACAGGGATGATTATTACTGTTTTTCTTTTATTTTCTGGATCTTTAATAATTTATGTAGATGTATGTTTCTTTCTAAGTACAGTTAAAATCCTCAGCCATTTACATATAAACAAATATGAAAAGACTAAAAAGGGGAAAAAAGAAGAAAGAAGAAGGCAGACCCACTAAGGACCTGGGGACCTCAGGAACTACACTTCAGTGAGTTTTCTCAGTTTTTTTCTTTACCTTATATATTAGAAACTAAGTGTGAGAGAAACAGGCACCTAGAAATACCAACAGGCATAGACCAAAAAAAAAAAAAAAAAAAAAGACTGTAAGGAAAGCTGACTCTCTCTATTCAAAGGACCAGAAAAGAGGAAACTTAGCTTATATAATAGAGAACTTTATAACAGAGTAACTGTATATTCAGCTAAATACCACAGAAAAAACTGTAGTCACACACTACCCCTCCAGCAAAGACCACACGAAGAACCTGGACTCCCATTTCATATTAGGTTATAATGAAGCTCCATAATCCCTCTTCTCAGGTGGTATCAGAGAAGGCAGAGTAGGAGCTGGGGCTTTCATCCCCACTGGGTGGTAATGAAATGCCAACACTATGTTGTCATAAAGACAAAATAGAGAGCACAGACTTTCAATCCTTCCCGTTCATTCAGGGGTGGAGTCAGAGAAGGCCTGGTGGAGAGACTTTTATCACTGTCCAGCGGTAATGAGGCCACCCTCTAGCAATATCATAGGAAGCCACATGGAGAGGAAAAAAAACAAGGCATCCATGCTCCTTCTAACAAGTGTGATATCAGCAGAGACTTAGTGAAGAACCTAAAAAAACCATACCTACCCAGCAGTAACTAGCAGACCTCCCTTCTCTCTTTAGGTCTTTATGAAGGCCAAGTAGGAAACCTGAACTTCCACTGTCACGTGGCAATAACGAGATAATATCCCTCTTCCTCAGCTGGAGAGGTACCACAGAGCATGGATGCAAAGTTTAGGATGTACAAAAGAGCTAGGCAGCTGGGTATTAGCCTAGCTACGAGCCATTACTCAAGCATGTCAACTGGATTGCAGCCCAAACTATAACACCAAACATTATCTTGTTAATATACACACCTGTGAAATCAAGCACAAGAATTTACCTACACATAAAGCTCCTGTACCTAACCCTGGCCTGCTGAAAGCACCCAGAAAGAAGCCAACTTACTATACTCTACTTTCACCACAATTAAAGGAATTGAAGGAATGCCAACCCTCCCCGATGAGAAAGAATCGGCACAATAACTCTGGCAATTCAAAAAGCCAGAGTGTCCTCTTATCCTCAAATGAGTCCACTAGCTCCCCAGCAATAGTGCTTAACTAGTCTGAAATTACTTAAATGACAGACACCGATTCACAATCTGGATGACAAGTAAGTTCATTCAGATTCAGGAGAAAGTTGTAACTCAATCCAAGGAATCTAAGGAATACAGTAATATGATCCAAGAGTTTAAAGATGAAATAGCCATTCTAAGAAAGAACCAAACTGAGTTTCTAGAGCTGAAAAATTCACTACGAGAATTTCATAATATAATCAGAAATATTAAAAGCAGAATGGAGTAAGATGAGGAAATAATCTCAGAGCTCAAAGACAAGTTCTTTGAATCAACTCAAACAAAAATTTATTTTTTAAAAATTAAAAGTTTAACAAAACCCCTGAGAAATATGGTATTATGTAAAAAGATCAAATCTATGACTCATTGGCATTCCTGAGAAAGAAGAAGAGAGAATAAACGACTTGGAAAATATATTTGAGGATATAGTTCATGAAAAATTTCCTACTATAACTATAGCCTTTGACATGCAAATCTAAGAAATGCAGAGAACTCCAGCAAGATACTATACAACATGACCATACACAAGGCTATGTAGTCATAAGATTCACCAAAGTCAATGCAACAGAAAACATCTTAAAGGCAGCTAAAGAGAAAGGTACAGTCATGTACAGCGGGAATCCCATCAGGCTAGCAGCAGACCCCCCAGCAAAATCTTACAAATCAGAAGAGATTGGGGGCATATTTTCAGCATCCTTGAAGAAAAGAAATTCCAACCAAGAATTTCATATCCTGCCAAACTAAGCTTCAAAACTAAGGGGGAAATAATTCATCTCAGACAAACAAATGCTGAGTGGATTCATTTCACCTAAACCAGGCTTACAGGAGGTCATTAAGACAGCACTAAACTTGGAATCAAAAGAATGACACCTACTGCCTCAGAAACACATTCAAGCACATAGTTCACAGCCACAGAAAGCAACTACACAATTCAATCTACATAACAACTAGCTAACAACACAAAGACAGGATTAAAATCACACATATCAATATGAACCTTGAATGTAAGTGAGCTAGATACCCCACTATCTAGATACATGCCATATATCTATGGTAAACTAGATAAAAAGATGAGACTCAGATATCTTCAAGAGACTCATTTAATGTGTAATGAGACCCACAGGCTCAAAGTAAAAGGAAATATCTATCATGCAAAAAAAAAAGAGCAGGAGTTACTGTTCATATATAAGCTAAATTAGATTTTAAACCAATAAAGATCAAGAAGGACAATGAAGGGCACAATTCAGCAAGAAGACTTAACTATCCTACATATATATGCACCTAACATTGGAGCAGCCATATTCATAAAACAAGTTCTTTTTGTCCTAGGAAAAGACTTAGACAACCATACAATAATATTGGAAGATTTCAACACTCCACTGACAGTGTTAAGACAGATCACCAAGACAAAAAACTGAAAAAGAAACTCTGGACTTGAACTTGATACTTGACGAATTGGATTTAATAGACATCTACAGAACATTCTACCCAACAAACACAGACTACACATTCTTCTCATTCGTACACAGAACATATTCTAAGATCAACCCCATGGTTGTTCATAAAGCAAGTCTCAATAAGTTCAAACCAATTGAAATCATACCAACTGCTCTCTTCAACTGAAGTGCAATAAAAATAGAAATCAATGTCAAGGAGATCTCTCAGAACTGCACAAATAAATAGAAATTAAACAACTTGCTCCAGAATAACTCCAGGATGACCATCAAAATTAAGGCAGAAATTAAAAAATAATTTGGAATTAATAAAAATAGGGACACAACTTACCAAAATCTCTGGGATGCAGCTAAAGCAGCATTAAAAGTTTATAGCCCTAAAAAGCCTCCATCAAGAAGTTAGAAAAATTAAAAATTAACAATCTAACATTGCACCTAAAGGAAAAAAAGGCTAGAAAAAAGGACAAACCAATTCCAAAGCTAGCAGAAGAAAAGAAATAACTAAAACTAGATAGGAACTGAATGAAACTGAGATGAAAAAAATCCATGTAAAAACATCGGTGAAATTAAGAATTGGTTTCTCAAACAAACAAGAATGGTAGACTAATAGCTAGATTAACAAAGAAAGAAAAAGAGAAGATTCAAATAAGTACAATCAGAAATGAGAAAGATGACATTTCAATTGACCTCACAGAAATTGAAAAGATCTTCAGAGATTACTATAAACAACTCTATGCAAAATACTAGAAAATATAGAGGACATGTATGAACTCCTGGAAACAGCCTCCCAAGATTGAATAAAGAAGAGACTGAAACCCTGAATAGGCCTATATTGAGGTCTGAAGTTGAATCAGAAATAAAAACCCTACAACCAAAACAGCCCTGGACCAGATGGATTCACAGCCAAATTGTACCATGTATTAGTCCATGTTCATGCTGCTGATAAAGACATACCCGAAACTGGGAAGAAAAAAAGGTTTAATTGATGTTACAGTTCCACGTGGCTGGGGAGGCCTCAAAATCATGGCAGGAGGTGAAAGGCACTTCTTACATGGTGGAGGAAAGAGAAAAATGAGGAAGAAGCAAAAGCAGAAACCGCTGATAAACCCATTAAATCTCATGAGATGTATTCACTATCACAAAAATAGCACAGGAAAAACCAGCCTCTATGATTCAATTACCTCCCACCAGGTCCACCCACAACACGTGGGAATTCTGGGAGATAAAATTCAAGTTGAGATTTGGGTGGGGACACCCAAACCTTATCATTCCACCTTCGGCCCCTCCAAATCTCATGTCCTCACATTTCAAAACCAATCATGCCTTCCCAACTGTCCCCCAAAGTCTTAGCTTATTTCAGCATTAACCTAAAAGTCCACAATCCAAAGTCTTATCAGAAACAAGGCAATTCCCTTCTGCCTATGAGCCTGTAAAATCAAAACCGAGCTAGTTACTTCCTAGATACAATGGGGGTACAGGTACTGGGTAAATACAGCCATTCCAAGTAAGAGAAATTGGCCAAAACAAAGGGGTTACAAGCCCCATGCGAGTCCAAAATCCAGAGAGGCAGTCAAATTTTTTAAAGCTCAAAAATGATCTCCTTTGATTTCAGGTCTCACGTGCAGGTGACGCTGATGCAAGAGGTGGAGGGGTGGGTTCCCACGGTCTTGAGCAGCTCTGCCCCTGTGGCTTTGCTGGGTATAGGCTCCCTCCTGGCTGTTTTCACAGGCTGGCATTGCCTGTGGCTTTTCCAGGTGCACAGTGCAAGCTGTTGGTGGATCTACCATTCTGGGGTCTGGAGGACAGTGGCCCTCTTCTCACAGCTCCACTAGGCAGTGAGCCAGTAGGGATTGTGTGTGGGGTCGGAGCCACCACATTTCCCTTCCACACCCTAGCAGAGGTTATCCATGAGGGCCCCACCCCTGCAGCAAACTTTTGCCTGGGCATCCAGGCATTTTCTTACATCTTCTGAAATCTAGGCAGAGGTTCCCAAATCTAAATTCCTGACTTCTGTGTACCCACACACTCAACGCCATGTAGAAGCTGCCAAGGCTTGGGATTCCACCCTCTGAAGCCACAGCCCAAGCTCTACGTTGGCCCCTTTCAGCCACAGCTGGAGCAGCTGAGACACACGGCACCAAGTCCGTAGACCACACACAGCACGGGGACCCTGGGTCTGGCCCACAGAATCACTTTTTCCTTCTGGGCCTCTGGGTCTGTGATGGGAAGGGCTGCCATGAAGGTCTCTGTCATGCCCTGGAGACATTTTCCCCATGGTCTTGGGGATTAACAGTAAGCTCCTTGAAACTTATGCAGTTTTCTACAGCCAGCTTGAATATCCCCTCAGAAAATGGGTTCTTCTTTTCTACTGCATCGTTGAGCTGCAAATTTTCGGAACTTTTGTGCTCTGTTTCCCTTTTAAAATGGAATACTTTTAACAGGACCCAAGTCACCTTTTGAACACTTTGCTGCCTAGAAATATCTTCCACCAGTTACCCTAAATCATCTCTCTCAAGTTCAAAGTTCCATAAGTCTCTAGGGCAGGGGCAAAATGACACTAGTCTCTTTGCTAAAACATAACAAGTCACCTTTGCTCCAGTTCCCAAAAAGTCCTCATCTCCATCTGAGACCACCTCAGCCTGGACCTTATTGTTCATATAACTATCAGCATTTTTGTCAAAGCCGTGAAACAAGTTTCTAGGAGGTTCCAAACTGTCCCATATTTTCCTGTTTTCTTTCAGCCCTCCAAACTGTTCCAGTCTCTGCCTGTTACCCAGTTCCAAAGTCACATCCACATTTTTGGGTATCTTTTCAGCAAGGCCCCACTCTACTAGTACCAATTTACTGTATTAGTCTTTTTTCATGCTGCTGATAAAGACATACCTGAGACTGGGCAATCTACAAAAGAAAGAGGTTTATTGTACTTACAGTTCCACTTGGCTGGGGAGGCCTCAGAGTTATGGCGGGAGGTGAAAGACACTTCTTACATGGCAGCAGAAAGAGAAAAATGAGGAAGAAGCAAAAGCAGAAACCACTGATAAACCCTTTAGATCTCATGAGATTTATTCACTATCATGAGAATAGCATGGGAAAGACTGGCCCCCGTGATTTAGTTACCTCTCACTGAGTCCCTCCCACAACACATGGGAATTCTGGGTGATACAATTCAAGTTGAGATTTGTGTGGGGACACAGCCAAACCATATCATACCATACATATAAAGAACTAGTACAAATCCTACTTAAACTATTCCAAAATATTGAGGAGAAGGGACTCCTCCCTAACTGATTCTATGAAGCCAGTCTCAGCCTGATACCAAAATCTGGGAGAGGCATGACAAACAGAAAACTTCAGGCCAATACCCCTGATGAATATAGATGCAAAGATTCTTAAAGAACAGTACTAGCAAATTGAGCCCAGCAGCTCATCCAAAAGTTAATTCAACATGATAAATTAGGCTTCATTCCTGGGATACAAGTTTGGTTTGACATATGCAAATCAGTAACTGTGATTCATCACACAAAATGAATTAAAAGCAAAAACCATATGATCATCTCAATAGATGCAGAAAAAGCTTTTGAGAAAATTCAACATCTCTTCATGATAAAAATCCTCAACAGAGTAGGAAGGCATCAAATGAATATATCTTAAAATAATAAGAGCCATCTATGACCAACCCACAGCCAACATCATACTGAATAGGCAAAGCTGAAAGAATTTCCCTTGAGAATTGGAACAAGACAAGGATGCCCACTCTCAACACTGCTGTTCAACACATTGCTGGAAGTGCTTGCCAAAGCAATCAAGTACGAGAAAAAAATAAAAGGTATCCAAATAGGAAAATAAGAAGTCAAACTATCTCTCTTTGCTGACAATAGGATTCCATACTTAGGAAATTCTAAAGACTCAGCAAAAAGCTATTAGAACTGATAAACTCTTTAAGCAATGTTTCAGGATATCACTTTAGCATTTCTATATATCAATAATTTCCAGGCATAGAGTCAAATCAAGAACACATTTACAAAAGCCATGAAGAAAATAAAATACCTAGGAATACAACTAACCAAGGATGTGAAAGATCTGTACAAGGAGAACTACAAAACACTGCTGAAAAAAATTTAAAATGACACAAATAACAGGATAATATTCCATGCTCAGAGATTGGAAGAATTGATATTGTTAAAATGGCCATACTGCTCAAAGCAATGTGTAGAATCAATGCTATTCCTATCAAACTGCCAATATCATTCTTCATAGAATTAGAAAAACACTATTCTAAATTTCTTATGGAATCAAACAAGAACCTGAATAGCCAAAGCAATCTTAAGCAAAAGAATAAAGCTGAAGTCCTCACACCACTCAACTTCAAATTCTACTATAAGGCTACAGCAACCAAAACAGCATGTTATTAGTACTGATTTTTGACAAAACTGCAAAACATTTCAGTGGAAGAAGGATATTCTTTTCCACAGATGAGAGTGGTGCAATTGGATATCCATAGCCAAAAAAGTAAATATCAATCTAAACCGCATACCTTATACAAAAAAGTAACCCTGATGGATCATAGATCTAAATATTAAACATAAAACTATAAAACTTTTAGAAAAAAAGTGTAGGAGAAAATCTTCAGGAGCTAGAAAATGTTTTTGAGCTTTACACCAAAAACATGACCCACAAAGAATCAGCACTGGTAAATTCGACATCATCAAAATTAAAATATTCTGTTCTACAAAAGACTCTGCTGAAAGAATTAAATGACAAGCCACAAACTGTGAGAAAACATTTACAAACCGTGTATTTGACAAAAGACTCATATCTAGAATATTAAATGATTATAAAACTCAACTGTAAAAAAAATAATGCAATTAGAAAATGAGCAGAAGATATAAAGAGAGATCTCCTGGAAAAGGGTCTGTGGATGGCAAATAAGCACAGGACAAAATATTCAACATCACTAACCATCAGAGAAATGTAAATGAAACCACAATGAGATATAACGACACGCCTATCAGAAAAGCTAAAATAAAAATCATGACAGTACAGAATTCTGGCAAGGATCCTGACAAACTGAATCTCATACATTGTTTACAGGAATGTAAAATGGGAAAGTTAGAAAGTTTCTTTTTAAAACTAAACATACACTTACCACATAACACTACAATCTCATTTTGGGCATTTATCCCAGGGAAATAAAAACTTATATCCACATAAAACCTGTACATCTCTTTCGAGCCAAGATGGCCGAATAGGAACAGCGCCGGTCTACAGCTCCCAGCCTGAGCGACGCAGAAGACTGGTGATTTCTGCATTTCCATCTGAGGTATCGGGTTCATCTCACTAGGGAGTGCCAGACAGTGGGCGCAGGCCAGTGGGTGCGCGCACCGTGCACGAGCCAAAGCAGGGCGAGGCATTGCCTCACCTGGGAAGCGCAAGGGGTCAGGGAGTTCCCTTTCTGAGTCAAAGAAAGGGGTGACGGACGCACCTGGAAAATCGGGTCACTCCCACCCGAATATTGCGCTTTTCAGACCGGCTTAAAAAATGGCGCACCACGAGACTATATCTCACACCTGGCTCGGAGGGTCCTACGCCCACGGAATCTCGCTGATTGCTAGCACAGCAGTCTGAGATCAAACTGCAAGGCGGCAGCCAGGCTGGGGGAGGGGCGCCCGCCATTGCCCAGACTTGCTTAGGTAAACAAAGCAGCCGGGAAGCTCGAACTGGGTGGAGCCCACCACAGCTCAAGGAGGCCTGCCTGCCTCTGTAGGCTCCACCTCTGGGGGCAGGGCACAGACAAACAAAAAGACAGCAGTAACCTCTGCAGACTTAAATGTCTCTGTCTGACAGCTTTGAAGAGAGCAGTGGTTCTCCCAGCACGCAGCTGGAGATCTGAGAACCAGCAGACTGCCTCCTCAAGTGGGTCCCTGACCCCTGACCCCCGAGCAGCCTAACTGGGAGGCACCCCCCAGCAGGGGCACACTGACACCTCACACGGCAGGGTATTCCAACAGACCTGCAGCTGAGGGTCCTGTCTGTTAGAAGGAAAACTAACAAAGAGAAAGGACATCCACACCAAAAACCCATCTGTACATCACCATCATCAAAGACCAAAAGTAGATAAAACCACAAAGATGGGGAAAAAACAGAATAGAAAAACTGGAAACTCTAAAAAGCAGAGCACCTCTCCTCCTCCAAAGGAACGCAGTTCCTCACCAGCAACGGAACAAAGCTGGATGGAGAATGACTTTGATGAGCTGAGAGAAGAAGGCTTCAGACGATCAAATTACATTGAGCTACGGGAGGACATTCAAACCAAAGGCAAAGAAGTTGAAAACTTTGAAAAAAATTTAGAAGAATGTATAACAAGAATAACCAATACAGAGAAGTGCTTAAAGGAGCTGATGGAGCTGAAAACCAAGGCTCGAGAACTACGTGAAGAATGCAGAAGCCTCAGGAGCCGATGCGATCAACTGGAAGAAAGGGTATCAGCAATGGAAGATGAAATGAATGAAATGAAGCGAGAAGGGAAGTTTAGAGAAAAAAAAATAAAAAGAAATGAGCAAAGCCTCCAAGAAATATGGGACTATGTGAAAAGACCAAATCAACGTCTGATTGGTGTACCTGAAAGTGATGGGGAGGATGGAACCAAGTTGGAAAACACTCTGCAGGATATTATCCAGGAGAACTTCCCCAATCTAGCAAGGCAGGCCAACGTTCAGATTCAGGAAATACAGAGAACGCCACAAAGATACTCCTCGAGAAGAGCAACTCCAAGACACATAATTGTCAGATTCACCAAAGTTGAAATGAAGGAAAGAATGTTAAGGGCAGCCAGAGAGAAAGGTCGGGTTACCCTCAAAGGGAAGCCCATCAGACTAACAGCAGATCTCTCGGCAGAAACCCTACAAGCCAGAAGAGAGTGGGGGCCAATATTCAACACTCTTAAAGAAAAGAATTTTCAACCCAGAATTTCATATCCAGCCAAACTAAGCTTCATAAGTGAAGGAAAAATAAAATACTTTACAGACAAGCAAATGCTGAGAGATTTTGTCACCACCAGGCCTGCCCTAAAAGAGCTCCTGAAGGAAGCGCTAAACATGGAAAGGAAAAACCGGTACCAGCCGCTGCAAAATCATGCCAAAATGTAAAGACCATCGAGACTAGGAAGAAACTGCATCAACTAACGAGCAAAATAACCAGCTAACATCATCATGACAGGATCAAATTCACACATAACAATATTAACTTTAAATGTAAAAGGACTAAATCCTCCAATTAAAAGACACAGACTGGCAATTGGATAAAGAGTCAAGACCCATCAGTGTGCTGTATTCAGGAAACCCATCTCACGTGCAGAGACACACATAGGCTCAAAATAAAAGGATGGAGGAAGATCTACCAAGCAAATGGAAAACAAAAAAAGGCAGGGGTTGCAATCCTAGTCTCTGATAAAACAGACTTTAAACCAACAAAGATCAAAAGAGACAAAGAAGGCCATTACATAATGGTAAAGGGATCAATTCAACAAGAAGAGCTAACTATCCTAAATATATATGCACCCAATACAGGAGCACCCAGATTCATAAAGCAAGTCCTGAGTGACCTACAAAGAGACTTAGACTCCCACACATTAATAATGGGAGACTTTAACACCCCACTGTCAACATTAGACAGATCAACCAGACAGAAAGTCAACAAGGATACTCAAGAATTGAACTCAGCTCTGCACCAAGCGGACCTAATAGACATCTACAGAACTCTCCACCACAAATCAACAGAATATACATTTTTTTCAGCACCACACCACACCTATTCCAAAATTGACCACATAGTTGGAAGTAAAGCTCTCCTCAGCAAATGTAAAAGAACAGAAATTATAACAAACTATCTCTCAGACCACAGTGCAATCAAACTAGAACTCAGGATTAAGAATCTCACTCAAAGCCACTCAACTACATGGAAACTGAACAACCTGCTCCTGAATGACTACTGGGTACATAACGAAATGAAGGCAGAAATAAAGATGTTCTTTGAAACCAACGAGAACAAAGACACAACATACCAGAATCTCTGGGACGCATTCAAAGCAGAGTGTAGAGGGAAATTTATAGCACTAAATGCCCACAAGAGAAAGCAGGAAAGATCCAAAATTGACACCCTAACATCACAATTAAAAGAACTAGAAAAGCAAGAGCAAACACATTCAAAAGCTAGCAGAAGGCAAGAAATAACTAAAATCAGAGCAGAACTGAAGGAAATAGAGACACAAAAAACCCTTCAAAAAATCAATGAATCCAGGAGCTGGTTTTTTGAAAGGATCAACAAAATTGATAGACTGCTAGCAAGACTAATAAAGAAAAAAAGAGAGAAGAATCAAATAGACACAATAAAAAATGATAAAGGGGATATCACCACCGATCCCACAGAAATACAAACTACCATCAGAGAATACTACAAATACCTCTACGCAAATAAACTAGAAAATCTAGAAGAAATGGATAAATTCCTCGACACATACACCCTCCCAAGACTAAACCAGGAAGAAGTTGAATCTCTGAATAGACCAATAACAGGAGCTGAAATTGTGGCAATAATCAATAGTTTACCAACCAAAAAGAGTCCAGGACCAGATGGATTCACAGCCGAATTTTACCAGAGGTACCAGGAGGAACTGGACCATTCCTTCTGAAACTATTCCAATCAATAGAAAAAGAGGGAATCCTCCCTAACTCGTTTTATGAGGCCAGCATCATTCTGATACCAAAGCCGGGCAGAGACACAACCAAAAAAGAGAATTTTAGACCAATATCCTTGATGAACATTGATGCAAAAATCCTCAATAAAATACTGGCAAATGGAATCCAGCAGCACATCAAAAAGCTTATCCACCATGATCAAGTGGGCTTCATCCCTGGGATGCAAGGCTGGTTCAATATACGCAAATCAATAAATGTAATCCAGCATATAAACAGAACCAAAGACAAAAACCACATGATTATCTCAATGGATGCAGAAAAAGCCTTTGACAAAATTCAACAACCCTTCATGCTAAAAACTCTCAATAAATTAGGTATTGATGGGACGTATTTCAAAATAATAAGAGCTATCTATGACAAACCCACAGCCAATATCATACTGAATGGTCAAAAACTGGAAGCATTCCCTTTGAAAACTGGCACAAGACAGGGATGCCCTCTCTCGCCACTCCTATTCAACACAGTGTTGGAAGTTCTGGCCAGGGCAATCAGGCAGGCGAAGGAAATAAAGGGTATTCAATTAGGAAAAGAGGAAGTCAAATTGTCCCTGTTTGCAGACGACATGATTGTATATCTAGAAAACCCCATTGTCTCAGCCCAAAATCTCCTTAAGCTGATAAGCAACTTCAGCAAAGTCTCAGGATACAAAATCAATGTACAAAAATCACAAGCATTCTTATACACCAACAACAGACAAACAGAGAGCCAAATCATGAGTGAACTACCATTCACAATTGCTTCAAAGAGAATAAAATACCTAGGAATCCAACTTACAAGGGATGTGAAGGACCTCTTCAAGGAGAACTACAAACCACTGCTCAAGGAAATAAAAGAGGATACAAACAAATGGAAGAACATTCCATGCTCATGGGTAGGAAGAATCAATATCGTGAAAATGGCCATACTGCCCAAGGTAATTTACAGATTCAATGCCATCCCCATCAAGCTACCAATGACTTTCTTCACAGAATTGGAAAAAACTACTTTAAAGTTCATATGGAACCAAAAACGAGCCCGCATTGCCAAGTCAATCCTAAGCCAAAAGAACAAAGCTGGAGGCATCACACTACCTGACTTCAAACTATACTACAAGGCTACAGTAACCAAAACAGCATGGTACTGGTACCAAAACAGAGATATAGATCAATGGAACGGAACAGAGCCCTCAGAAATAATGCCACATACCTACAACTATCTGATCTTTGACAAACCTAAGAAAAACAAGCAATGGGGAAAGGATTCCCTATTTAATAAATGGTGCTGGGAAAACTGGCTAGCCATATGTAGAAAGCTGAAACTGGATCCCTTCCTTACACCTTATACAAAAATCAATTCAAGATGGATTAAAGATTTAAACGTTAGACCTAAAACCATAAAAACCTTAGAAGAAAACCTAGGCATTACCATTCAGGACATAGGCATGGGCAAGGACTTCATGTCCAAAACACCAAAAGCAATGGCAACAAAAGACAAAATTGACAAATGGGATCTAATTAAACTAAAGAGCTTCTGCACAGCAAAAGAAACTACCATCAGAGTGAACAGGCAACCTACAACATGGGAGAAAATTTTCGCAACCTACTCATCTGACAAAGGGCTAATATCCAGAATCTACAATGAACTCAAACAAATTTACAAGAAAAAAACAAACAACCCCATCAAAAAGTGGGCGAAGGACATGAACAGACACTTCTCAAAAGAAGACATTTATGCAGCCAAAAAACACATGAAAAAATGCTCATCATCACTAGCCATCAGAGAAATGCAAATCAAAACCACTATGAGATACCATCTCACACCAGTTAGAATGGCAATCATTAAAAAGTCAGGAAACAACAGGTGCTGGAGAGGATGTGGAGAAATAGGAACACTTTTACACTGTTGGTGGGACTGTAAACTAGTTCAACCATTGTGGAAGTCAGTGTGGCGGTTCCTCAGGGATCTAGAACTAGAAATACCATTTGACCCAGCCATCCCATTACTGGGTATATACCCAAAGGACTATAAATCATGCTGCTATAAAGACACATGCACATGTATGTTTATTGTGGCATTATTCACAATAGCAAAGACTTGGAACCAACCCAAATGTCCAACAATGATAGACTGGATTAAGAAAATGTGGCACATATACACCATGGAATACTATGCAGCCATAAAAAATGATGAGTTCATGTCCTTTGTAGGGACATGGATGAAATTGGAAATCATCATTCTCAGTAAACTATCGCAAGAACAAAAAACCAAACACCGCATATTCTCACTCATAGGTGGGAACTGAACAATGAGATCACATGGACACAGGAAGGGGAATATCACACTCTGGGGACTGTGGTGGGGTGGGGGGAGGGGGAGGGATAGCATTGGGAGATATACCTAATGCTAGATGACGAGTTGGTGGGTGCAGCGCACCGGTATGGCACATGTATACATATGTAACTAACCTGCACAATGTGCACATGTACCCTAAAACTTAAAGTATAATTAAAAAAATTAATTAATTAATAAAAAAATAAATAAAAAACCTGTACATGATTGTTCATAGCAGCTTTATTTGCAATAGCCAAAAGATGGAAGTAAAGCGTTGTGCAATGGGTGAGTGGTTAAACTGCGGTCCATCTATACCATGAGATAAAAAGAATGATCCATACTAAACAATAACAAAAATAAAAAGAGTTATTGATACATGCAACCACTTGGATGGTTTTCAAGTGCATTAGGCTGAGTGGGGGGAAAAAAGCCAGTCTCCAAGGGTCTCATCCTGTATGATTTCATTTGAATAACATTCCCAAAATGATAAAATTGTAAATATAGAGGACAGATTAGGGGTTGCAGGACTTAGGGATAATTAGGAGAAAGGGGTGATGTAAGGAAGAAGGAGTGAGTTTAAAGGGGAACAGGATGGAGATATTTGTAGCGATGGAACAGTTTTCAATCTTGATTTCAGTGGTCAGAAATCTGCACTTGTGATAAAAGACATAGAACCATGATTACACAATGATGTCAATTTCCTACTTTTGATATTGTCCTATAGTTATGTAAAATGTAGCCACCAAAGGAAACTGGGTAAAGGGTACAGGGAACCCCTCAGTACTAGCCTTGCAACGTCTTTTGCTGTAATTATTTCAAAATAAAAAGCTTTTTAAAAAATAATGTAAGCCTCAATTGTTCCATGCCTTTTTCTATTTAATTAAACACCATACACTTCATGCTAAAAATTCTATGTCTGGGTAAATAAAGCCCATAAGTAGAGTTTTCTGATTTTTTTTTTCTGAATTAGAAAATGAGGACTTTAGAACAGGTCTTCAAGTGAAATCTAAGGAAAATCTTTCACTCTCATGGTCACAATGTTGATATAGTTTAAATGAAGGTTTTGATAATTAGAAATATAAAATGTTTAAAGGTGAGCCACTTAAACAAATATCTATGTGAATGTAGACCATATTAACTTATACAATGATGAGGCTGGAAATGTATGCTTAGCGTGGACATATTATATGCAATTAAACATCAGTGAAATGCATATGGAGATTTTTGCATGCCTAATTTATTTGTTCATAAATTCTTTATAACATTTCATTAAATTAAATTAAACCACACAATAATTACCACTTACTATTTAATTCAACCTGCCGACAGGTAATTTTTAATGGTCAATATAGGTAGATAGAAACTGCTAGCCTACTAGCACATGAATGGTAATTTGTGTAATCTTCTTAAATGGAAAGATTCCCTGAGGAGCCACAACAAGGATGCATAGGCTAATTTGATCAACAAACCATACCTTGGACATCTAGGGACTAAATGATTTCTTAGTAGCTTCCCACCCTAAAATGCTGGGAGAAAGACAGTGCAACATCAGGTGACATTTTTGTCTCAAGAGGACAATAGAGAATAGCTTAATTACTGAGTAGAAATCTTCATAGTTGGATACAATTCTACTTGTCAGAGACTCTAAATCAGGTTTTTAATACTGCTCTCTGCAGTTACCTACAGATATAACTAATGCAAAATTGAAAATAGTATAGATTCAGATAGATTAAATACAAGCATTTATTTCCACTATCTACCCCAAATCCAATTGTAATACAAGAAGGATGTGTAGAAGAGAATAAATGTGTAACAACACTGGAAATGAGAGTGAGCCTTTAGCAAACATGATATTTTGATGAATGTCTGGACAATAAGCAAATGTAATAACATCGACAAAGCAGAGCAAAGAGAACCTGAAAAAAATACAGACAAAAGCTGATGTGAAAGAGAGAGCCTCTGCTTTGGTGGCATTTTCAAATATTTTCATATTTTCTTTGTTTTTATTGTTACAGTTAACTTTTTAACTTTTGCAGAATTTGTTTATGTGTAGAGATACATTTACTCTTTTCACAATTGCACAGGCAATTTGTCAGCATCATTTATTGCGTAGTCTACCTGACTTACATGGGTTCTTCCCAAAAGCAAACCTGGGACAGAGGTCATACATTTTCTTAAGAATGTGTTCTCAGGTGGCAGGAGTGAGTGACAGGCATCAAACAAGGACTGAAAGCCAATTCAAGCATTATCTAACATGCCACCACTTCAGCTGACTAGTTACCCAGTGAGGGACATTCTGTGATGCCTTACGACATGTGGCTCAGAACCATTCATCTGAGACACAAAAGAGAGGGATGTTAATCCATTAGTTCCCATACCTCTTCACGTGACATGTATCGGGGTCAAGTGGACTCATGGGATTATCAGAGAAACCCCAGGGCAGGAAGCAAGAGATACTCAAATCACACTTGTGATGAGGAGCTAAAAGCAAGGAGGTCAAAACCTGTGCAGATCTGTGTACCAGAGCAGGGCTGCAATCAGAGGTCAGGAGAAGAGGACATAAGCTAAGACCCTAGTGGTGTCACATATACATTACTTTGACACCTGATTTGAAGTACTCACTTAACCTTACAATAAATTTCCACATATCTATGAAGTTTCTTCCCAGAGTCTTCAGTATGTTCCACTGATCAATTTGATTATTTCTATGCCAACAAAATAAGTTTTTAAAATTACAGTAGCTTTATAATGTAAGTTGATATCTGATAGAAACATATCTTTCATAATTGTATTTTTTCAAATATGTAATGGCTATTTTCTTAGCTTATATTACAAAGGCACTTAAGCATCACTTTATTAGGAAACAAAATTCTGTTAAGAGTTGAAATTGTATTGCTTTGAACTCATAGATTCATTTGAGGAGATTTGAGAACATGAGCCAATTCCTGCAACAAATCTCTTTATATATCTGTATTTGATTGTTTCTGTGTCCCTGGAGACTCCTGTACAAGCGGTATGAAATTAAAAGGTACTAATTTAAAGCTTACATGTATATATTGTTGAAACTCAACAATAGCCATAGGAATTGCTTAGAACTTAATCCAACAAGATCTCCCTCCCCACACAGAGAAGAGTGTTTTATCACTGAGATTGCTAAAAATTTTCAGCAAATGGTGATAATGAGAAGACTGACTTTTAGTTTGCTTTGTTATTATTTTATATTATCTACAAGTTAGCATCTCTTTGTCACCTACATTGGGGACTGGTTCCTCTTTTTTCTCACTCTTGCTATGTCACTCAGTCGCTGATACAAATTTAAGAGTTGCCAAACTATAGACACTATTTAAACTCAGAAGAGTGACAGAGATTTTTCAAGGGGGAGCTTTTTTAGTGGTAACTAAAGGAATCCAGGATAGAATCCTGAAGATCTTTAAGTGTAGTAGCAATGTAGAGGAAAGAAGAGATAAGTAGAAAGAAAAATGCAAAAAAAGGTATGACAAATAGGAATACAATCTATAGGATGATTGCAGGGAAATGAAAGTGTTTTAGAACTAACAATTTTGAGAGTGATTTGCACAGCAGGGCCAGGTCTTTCATATAACTTCAGAGCACTTAATCTGTATGTGCTTGCTTACTGTTATGTGTTTGTGAATTAAGGAAAAATATTGAGTGGTTTTCAATGTGTTTGTGTTTTGGTGAATCAAAGAAATAAAACACTGTTAATTGGTCTTACAAATACCTTATGTATAACCAGTTGTAAGTATCAGTTCTCCAGGCTGAGCTTTTTACTCTTATGTATTTTGATGCTGTTTAGAATTTAGCCTCATAAAGCTCTATTGGATTGAAACCAGGTTGTGAGTGTTGATGATGAGTCTCTTTGAAAACACATGAACAATTACCAAGACTAACTTTGTTATACTTCTGACCCAGACATTAAGCTGAGGGCTGCCTTTGAGAGATCTGGGATGGCTTTCGGAAGCTTTATGTGTTTACCCACCTTTCCCCAAGGATCGTCACTCGGAGAGAACAGCTGCATCAAATTCCAGAAAACAAACTTCTAAACCACAAAACCACTAGGCACTGGATGAGTTGGGCCAACACACTATGTGAAAGAGAATTATAAATTCAGGCAGCATTGCTTTGGCACTATTCTATTCAAATTTGAAGCATGTTTTATGGTTATAATTAAGAGCACAAATATGTCACCAAAGATCACGTGTTCAATTTTTAGCAAATGTTGGCCCCTGCAGCCTGGATCCATAAGGCAATACATTAAATCAATGATGACATAGCAAATACAATGTTGCATTTTTTTAGAGTGTAGACAGCTTGAGGAGTGAACGCTAAAGTTTACCTAGTTCCTTTTCTGTTTCTGCTAAAAATTTGTTAGACCCTTGTAGTAATTTTCTTTAAAAAAAAAAAAAAAAAAAAGACTCAATTCTTCCCCGTCTATGTACCCACGACCTTCCCCATAAACATTGTAGGAGCCTGGTACTCTAACTCTGAGTTAGTTATGTGACTTGATTTGGCCAACAGGATTTTAGCAAATGCAACACAAGCCAAGTGTTGAAAAGTACTTGCATGACTGGGCTTTTCTGCTCCTCTAAGATTTCCATGAGAACGTTCCTCAGCCAGCCTGCCGGATAATGAGAGAGACACATGGGACAGAGCCAAGTCACTACAGGCATTCCAGCTGAGACTATTTCTATTTGCCAGCAGCCAGCCAACCTTGAGACTCATGAGCTAGTACAGCCAGAACAAGCATAACTGCCTAGATGAGCCACAGCTTACTCCAGAGAAGTTGGCCAACCCAGGCCAGATCACATAAACATCTCAGACTCATGAGGCAAATAAACATTTGTTGTGTGTTTCCCTGAAGTTTGTGGTTGAGTGTGACATGGCATTATTGTGGCATGAGATAACTGACACAGCTTTCTCATCTTTTCAACAGATTTCAAAGAGCCTTACAACTGTCTACAAGGTTAGTAGGATGTAATAAAGATGTTGATATCTAGAAGAATCTAAAGACTCTTAATTCAGAAAATTGACTTTGAATGCTAAATCTGCTACTTATTGGTTTTGTGACACATGGAAAATTATTTAAATTCTCTGCACCAGCCAACTGGGTAATTGTGAGGATTAAAAGATATGTCATGTCAAACTTGCCACGTGACCTTGGGCAAGTTACTTAATCATGCTAATCTCAGTTTGTGTTAGTAAAATGAGGTTTACAATGGTGGTTACCCCTCCAGAGTAATTGTGAAAATTAAAAAAGAAAATGAATATAAAGTGTTTCACTGAGAGCTTGTCAGTTAGAAAGTGCTAAATGTTAAAATTATTATTACATGTTAGAAATTATTTGCACTATTAGTTATACTTTTAGTTTTGACAACAAAAGTTGGGCATTATGGCTAAAACATCTCTCTGGTAAAATGTACTCATTACTAAAGCAGGCCTTCGGGACCCTAGGTGAATGGATCTATGTCCTGTGCTTTCTTCTTTTAACACAAAGGAGTTATTT